>NC_000010.11:126924825-127236305 GCF_000001405.40 Homo sapiens | reverse complement strand
CCATACCTTAAACCGTATACAAAAATTGACTCAAAATGTATCATAGATTTAAATGCAAAACTTAAAACAACAAAACTTTTTAAAGAAAACATAGAAAACTTTTGTGACCTAGGCATAGGAATATATTTCTTAGGATACAAAAAGCATGAAACATAAAATTTTAAAATTGATAAATTGAACTTAAATCAAAATTAAAAATTTTTGGTCTTTGAATGACACTATACAGAAAGTAAAAAGACAGACTGCAGAACTGGAGAAAATATTTTTAAAAACACCTATCTGACAAAGGGTTTCCATCCGCAGTATATGACAAACTCTCAAAAACCAATAAGAAGAAAATAACCCACCAAAAATTGGCAAAAAATGTGAGCAGATATTTAATCAAAAAAGGAACACAAATGGCCAAGATGCACATGAAAGCATGGTCTATCTTACTAGTCAATAGGAACACGCAAGTTAAAACCACACTGAAATATAACTATATACCTATTAGAATGGCTAAAATTAAAAAAAAAAACAACCACCACAAAGATGCAGAACAATGGAAACTCATGTTGCTGGTCTGAAGGCAAAATGGTAAAGCCATTTTAGGAAATAGTTTGGCAGCTTCATATACAGCTGATAATATACTCACCTCATGACCCAACCACGCTGCTTCTAAGAATTCACCCAAGAGAAATGAAAAGATATGCCCACACAGAGACTTCTATACAAGTATTTATAGAGCTTTCTTCATAATTGCCACACATAGGGGACACTCCAAACACCTACTACCTACTAAATAAACAAATAAATTATGGCATATCTGCATGATGAATAGTACTCAGCAAGAATGAGGAACAAACTACTGGTAAATAAACATGAGTGAATCTCCAACACATCATGCTAAGCAAAATAAGCCAGATACAGAAGGCTAGACACTGTATGAATCCATTTTTAATGTCGTTCTAGAAAAGGCAGTACTAGAGTGACAAAGAAGAGAGAACTGACTATGGAGGGGCATGAGAAATATTTTTACGGAAATGGAAATATTCTAAATCTTGTATTTGGTAGTGGCTACACAACTGTATTGTCTGTCAAAATTTAGAAGGAAGAAGAATGGATGTTACTATATAAAATATAAAGTATATCATTTATAATGTATAAAATATACGTATTTTATACTTTATAAAGTATACAAAGTATATAATGTTTAAAGTATACATATATAAAGTATTCTATACATACAAAGTATATAAAGTATACTTTATATAGATTTATGTATAAGTATATATGCTTTATACAGTATATATACTTATATGTATTTATTATATATGTATAAAATGTACATATATTATTTACTTTTTATGTATAAAATCCATATACTTTATATGTATAAAATATAAAGTATATATTTTATATATTTTAAAATAAAGAAGAAAATCTGAAAATCACCATGTCCTATAAGCCATATGTAATTAATGTTGTATTTGAAAGGATTCCTTCTTGCTCTTACACTTATATAGAAACAGAGTACTTTCAATTTAATTAATACTTTATTGTAGCTTTCAAATGGTTTTGCTATTCAGTATTGCAAGGCCTACTTCACATTACCCTTGTTTTTCACATTTTTCTTGAGTATTCCTGCCAATTTATTCTTTTGCATGTACTTTAGAAACACATTATTGAGTCTGAAACAAGGTCCTATTGGGATTCAAATTGGAATTCCATTGAATTTTTAAATTAATTGAAGAGGCTTACAATATCAGCCTTCCCACTTAGACATGCAAACTGTCTCTCCATTTGTTCAAGTCTATTTTTATGCCATTTCAGGAATGTTTTGTGGTTTTCATCATACGGATCTTTAACAGCTCCTTTTATTTTTGTGTCTTTTGGAGGGAGTGCTTTTTTAAATAACCCTTTGAACATTTTGTGTATTTTTATTTGTATATTAGGGTAAACTATTGAATTTGATGTGTACATTTTGCAATTGAACCTACAGAATTCTCCTATTACTTCCAAACTATTTTTCCCCCACTTTGGAGAGGGTTTCTAAATACATCAAGCCAACATCTGTCAATATTTTTGTGTTGTCTTTTCTAATCACTGTAGGTCTTAATTCTGCTTCTAGACTTACTCCTCAGGCCGCACTATCACGGTAATGTCAAATTATAATAATGACAGCAAGCGCCTGTTTTCTTAAGTGATTTTAATGGGCACGCTTTTAGTGTCTAATTTTTAACTATTATTTTGAATGTTGGTTTAATATACTGTATGTATCATGTCAAGGAAGTATTCCTAACCTCAGGATCAGCTATAACAAAGTGCCTCAAGTTATGGTTATGGATATTATTGGTTAACAAACATGGTATGGAAATTATTATAAAACAAGAGTTCTATTATTGAAGAACAAGTAGATCAACAATAAAATGGAGCAGCCGAAATCACATCGTATGGATGCTGTTACATTTTTACTAAGAAGGGAAGAATGGTACCTTCAAAACACAACTTATATGTAAGGTCAAACTATAATAAAATTAAACTTAGAAGATCAACATTTTTTATAATTCTTATTTCCTAGAAAGGGAATGTAGCCACAGTATTTATCCGTTCGCTGAAACCTTTGCGAAGGCACACTGTGTTTTGGACATTGTTCTAGAAGCCCGCATATAACTCACATTCTATTGGGAGTGCTCTGACAGAGAACTTACTGGCAGCTGAATTTAAACATTAGCTTCACTTGTCAGAGTTGACATTAATTAGTATCTTAATAAGACCATCTGGTACCTGGAGTAAGTTAATAGTTATGCACTTGGCAAGTATACATTGTAGATGTTTCACATCACATTTTGTGGGGGAAAAAAATCTCTTGAATGTCTGCTCATTGAGAAAAATAATCAAGGGGATATCAATGTAAATATATAGCTTTGTTTGTAGCTATATATTTGTTTGTTGTAGCATGTCCACTGTTATGTAGACAAAATTCATATTTCCAACTTCTAAGTTATGTTTATACGGACATAATGAAAATATGAGAAGAGGCCATTTCATCAATCTTATCAAAATTTAGAGCTTGCACTTCCTAATTACCAAATAAACACTTAGCATTGATCATACTGGTGACTACCATAATTCTAATTAGGGAATACAAAACATTGGTTTATAGAGATTAATCTCCTTGAACAAAATTCAAATATTTTAATGATATTTTTTCACTTATGACAATCAGGGACATTTCAGTTATTTGCCTCATACATAAAATTAAAAAGGGACCATGCCAAATCAAATCAAATCCCCTTAACCTAAACCAAAAACTCTAATCACCAGTCACATGGTGAAGAGCCAAATTGAAAGTCACTTTGCAACAGATGTTTAGTCAAGATTTTTTATTTTTTATTAATCTTGCTTAGATGAGATCTTAACAGCATGCAGTGGGAGGTAAATCCGCAAAGTAGTACTATAATGACTAATTTTACTTTCCAGAATCACAACTTGTTTGTAAAACTGAGTATGTTTTTCACAAGCTAATTATCTGGCTACACAGTTAAAAGTTGTCAAATGCAATGCTCCTATTTCCTGTTTAAATAAGAAGCACATGAGATCATGAAATGAAGTCCACTTGTTTTGAATTTCAACCCACTGTGTTGGTGTCATGAAGGGGCAAAAAGCAGAAATCTAGGTTGATTGGTTAAATGGAAACAGGGTCAACAGGAGGCATTTGTTCGAAAGAATCAGAAACCTCAGACACTACTACGTGGTAAATATGGTAGGAATATCACCATTATTTAGTATAAAATCATTATCACAAATAAAAACAATAACTGCAGTACGAATGTGGACCAAGGCGCAGACCTATAAGGCCATGATGAGTGCCCCAGCCCCACATCACCTCCCGGACTCTGCCTCTGTTGCTCACATTGCTCCAGCCACAGTATCCAGCAAGGGATCCTGGAATTTGCTGTATGGAAAACAAGAGACTTTGTACAGCACCCTCTCTAAATATACAAGACATTCAAAAGAGAAACCTGCATACATTTTGATATTAGGAAATCATTCCGGGGATTCTTCCACTCCTGAAATGAGTTGACTTGCAGATAACTCACAACTTCTTAAGCTAAATGGTATTTTCATTTTTCTCAAGCTCTTCCAATACATATGACCACCAAGATGCAGAACTAAAAGGTCTGCACCCTTCAGGATTGTACTCTACCTGTACCCTCTACGGAACGCTTCTCTGCCAGCTGACCACCTGGCTCACTTCCTTCCCTCCTTTTCTGCCTTCTCCATGCACCAATCAGGTTGACACAAATTGCATAAATTGTTTATGTCTCTCCTCACTAGAATATGAACTCCATGTGTGCAGGGACCTTGGTTTTGCTTGTTGAAGGACCCCTAGCAGACAGCCTTTACCTAGGTGACACACGAACTGTCTCTCCATTTGTTCAAGTCTGTCTGAAAAAATGGAGTTTATTTGAACAAATGAAGATGTCTGAGCGAATGCACTCAGTCTTCTATTTGTTTGAAAGAACATTAAAAGGCAAAGAAAAGAAGAAAGCCTAACACAAACAAGAAGGAAGGGAAAACATTTATTCCAACAAAAGCCTTGAGTCTAAATAAGGGGACAATGATTCTATCAATTAATGAGTGAATGTGCTTCTGACAAAGTTATAGATGTCATTTCTAGTATTTTTAAAGATCCCCAAGCCTCTAGCTAAATGGCACTCTTCCAAAGAAATGTGTTTAGCCAGGCATGGTGGTGTGTGCCTGAAGTCCCAGCTGCTGGGGAGGCTGAGGAAGAAGAATTGCTTGAGCCTAGGAAGTGGAGGCTGCAGTGATCCATGATTGTGCCACTGCACTCCAACCTGGGCAACAGAGAGAGACCTCACCTCAAAATAAAAAAAAAAGAATAAGAAAAAGAAATTCATGCACTGAATATTCTTTTTTACAATACACTTAAAATATACATTGTAAGACACTGACTACACCAACATTTTCTTGTATCGAATAGTACTGAATTCGTATTTTCAAAATAACTTTGTGGTGGGGCTTGTGGAGAGGGCATTTAAATGTTAAAAAAAAAAAAAAGCCTTGGATTCAGTCTACCCATTCGCTAAAGAGAGTTTGATCTCCATGTGATCATTTTCAAAGCAAACTTTAACCCTGCTCTGATAGAAAAGAATTACCAGATGAGTCTTAAAACAAAAATTTCTGGTTGTTTAATGAAAGTTGCATTAATAAAAGTAATCAAACGTGTGATAAAATATGCTTCAAAAAATAAAAGACTTAGGAATAATTAAACCAAGAAAGAGAGAGATCTGTACACTGAAAACTATAAAACATTGATGAAACTGAAGATGATAAAAATAAATGGAAGATACCTTATGTTCATGGATTAGAAGAATTAACATTGCTATAATATCCATATTACCCAAAGTTATCTACAGATCCAACGCAAGTCCTATTCAAAATTCCAATGACATTTTTCACTAAAATTAAAAGAACAATTCTAAGATGGGTTTGGAACCACCAAAAACAAACAAAAAAACAAAAAAACAAAAAACAAAAAAAACAAAAAACCCAGAATAGCTAAAGCAATCTTGGGCAAAAATAACAAAGATGGAGGCATCAGACTACCAGATTTTTTAAGATCTAATATAAAGCTATAGTAATCAAAACAATATAGTGCTGGCCATAAAAACAGACTCATCGACCAATGAAACAGGATAGAGAGCCTGGAAATAAATCCACACACTTACAGTCAATTGATTTTCAACAAAGATGCCAAAAACACACAATGAGGAAAGGATAATCTTCAATAATGATGCTGGAAGAACTGGATCTCCACATGTAAAAGAATGAAATTATAACCTCATCTCATACCATATACAATAATTAACTCAAAATGTATTAAAAACCTAAGGCCTGAAACTGTAAAACTGCTAGAAGAAAACATAAAGAAAAAAAACCTCTTGAAATTGGTCTGAGCAATGAGTTTTTGGATATAACCTTAAAAAGCACAATAAAAAATAAGGCTAAAAATAGACAAATGATGTTAAATCAAACTAGAAAGCTCTTGTACAGTAAAAGGAACAATCACCAGAGTGAAGAGACTCCCTACAAAATGGGAGAAAATATTTGCAATTCATATATCTGAAAGGGGATTAATATCTCAAATATATAAAAAACTCAGATAACTTAATAGCAAGAAAATAAATGACCTGTTTTAAAAAGGGGCAAAGGAAATGGACAGACATATTTAGTACATGTGTGGCTAAGGTGATCACTGGATAGATATTTTTCAAAATAAAAAGTGGCCAACATATGTATGAAAAAATGCTCAACATCACTAATAATCAGGGAAATGCAAATCAAAACCAGAATAAATTATCACCTTACACCTGTTAGAATGGCTACTATCAACAAAAGGAATAAGAACAAGTGTTAGGATGTGGAGAAACGGGAGCCCCTGTGTGCTGTGGATGGGAGTGTAAATTTGTAAACAGCCATTACGGAAAGCACAATGGAGGGTCCTCGAAAAATTAAAACTAAAATCATCAAATGATGCTGCAATCCCACTTCTGAGAATATACCCAAAGGAAATGAAATCAATATGTTGAAGACATATTTGCACTCCCATGTACACTGTAGCGTTATTCACAATAGTCAAAATAGGGAAACAGCCTAAGCGTGCATCAATGGATGGATACGGAAAATGTGATCTAAAAACACAGTGGAGTACTGTTCAGCCTTAAAAAAGGTGGAAATACCATCATTTGGAACAACATAGATGGACCTGGAGGGCATTATTTTAAGGGAAATAAGTAAGGCACAGAAAGACAAACACAGCATGATCTCACTTCTAAGTGGACTCTACAAGTCGAACTCATAGAAGCAGAAAGTAGAATTGTGGTTACCAAGGACTGGAGAGCGGGGGGACCGGGGAGACGATGGTCAAAGAAAACAAAATTTCATTTAGACAGGCAGAATAAGTTCAAGAAGTCTACATCACGGTGACTTCAGTTAATAGCAATATACTGCACACTTGAAAACTGCAGACAGTAGTTTTGTGAGGTTTGTTTGGTTGGTTGGTTTTGTTTTGTTTTGAGATGGAGTCTTGCTCTGTCACCCAGGCTGGAGTGCAGTGATGCGATCTCGGCTCACTGCAACCTCTGCCTGGTGGGTTCAAGCGATTCTCCTGCCTCAGCCTGGGATTACAGGTGCGCACCACCACGCCCGGCTAATTTTTTGTATTTTTTAGTAAAGACAGGGTTTCACCATGTTGGCCAGGCTGCTCACGAACTCCTGACCTCAGGTGATCCACCCGCCTAAGCCTCCCAGAGTGCTGGGATTACAGGTGTGAGCCACTGCACCCGGCCAAAGACGGTAGTTTTTAAGTGTTCTCACCACACGTGAAAAATAAGTATGTGAGAGAATGCATGTTAGTTAGCTCAATTTAGCTGTTCCACAATGTAAGCATACATCAAAACATCATGTCGTACATCATAAATATACATAATTTTTATTCGTCAATTTAAACAATAAAATTTAAAAATGTTGACATAATGACAATGTAATATGCTAGAGAATGTGTGTGATTTTCCACATGGAACAAAAACACATGGCTTTGCGTTTGACAGAAAAGGGGTCTGCGAGACTATTCAATCAGCAGTAACAAGGTTCTGCTCCAGCATGCAAGCACAGCCTCGTGGCTGCTCACCACCTGCAGAGCTCCACCATGTGTCTCAGGCATGTCACATCATCAAAAGACATGGCAAAGGCTACGACCAAGCCACAGACTGTGCCTGGTACCCACCCAGCAAGCATAATGCAGACGTGGAATTCAGCCCCTGGAAGCAGAAATCCTCATTTTGCAAACAGGCTTTTTATAGCATTGGAAAGAACAGTCCGCTCAGTGCTCTCTGCTGGTCACCACCCAGCAGATGAAAAACAAAGTGAGACTTCCAGCCACCTCCGGGCCGGGCAGCGTGGGGGTGACGCACATACACGTTCTGGAGAATTTAGCAAGAGCACATTCATCTAAATTCCATGAGGAACGAGGGAAGGTGGGTCCCCAGTGATTTAACCCTTCTCACTCTACCACCCCACAGCATAATTCCCTCATAAGGAAAACAGGCAGGAGGCAAATATGGCTTGTTTTTGAAGTATTAAAGACAGATATTTACTGTCTGCAAACTACTGATATTTTTACCATTTTACCAGGATGGAAAATCGTTTTGATTTTTAACAAATAGCAATTATAAGGCAGCCAGTAAAATTCAAGCTAGGGTTTAGAGGCAATGGGGAAGAAAGAGTCAAAGCTTGAGAAATTGCCAACATATCAGGTTTCTGGAAGGTTCAAAGTCCTACTTTAGTACACTGGGAGGCAGATGAATGGGATCACTGAGAATTTATTCTCAGCTTAGTCCTAATGCCACCCTAAGATTTGGCTTCTAAGGTTTGGCTTCCAGATTTGACTGTCTGAGCCAGTGTCAAACCCCAATGTCAATGCCCCAGCAGAAGGGGCAAAAGTCAAAGAAGGTTTCATTTTGATTTCAGCCAGCATGGAAAGACGTGCCAAGTTCTTAGTGCCTGGAACCTCAGGGCTGTAGGGAAAAGTTGCACATCCCTGTGGCTTCCCCACTAACTATGCACAAGCCTTCCTTTATAACCGAACTTGAAGCAAACCTTTTCTAATCAGAGGGAACCCTTTCAGGTGCAGAAGGGGTAGGGTTGTTTCTGCATGGACCAGCATCTGTGTAGAGTGCTCAGCCCATCTTGTGTAGCTAGATGTTTCAGTTAAAGTGCTACTGGAACGTGGCTTGGAATGCAGGTGGCAGGAGGCTAGAGGCTACGGCCCATATGCCTTTCGTGCCTGCTTCTTGCCAGGCCAGATGGGTGCTCAGGACACACTGGGATGCAGCTCAGAGGCACTGGGAATACCTCGTTCCAAGGCACTGAGGCAGGCCCGCACTGGCAGGGTCTTACCAGCCTATCCTCCATCTCCCTACTCCCCACAGGCATCCTTAATGGTGGTAGGTGTCCTCATGGCCTCACCTACTAAGTGTATTTGTGCTGCCATGGCCCTAAAGGGGCCACGATGAAAAGTTCTGGAGCAGCAAGGCCGAAGACTACAGGCAGGCATCAGGTGAGGAACAGGGCTGGCCACGGTGTCAATCCCAGGTCAGCTGTGGGAGTCAAGGGTGGCCACGTGGAGAACTGGACTTCAACGAGATTCCTGGGATCGTGTACTCATTCGTTAATAAAAACAAGCATTGTCACTTGCTATAGGCCAAGTCCGGTGCTGGGGCTTGGGGCATGGAAGAAAATACGCAACATGGTCTCTGCCCCTGTGTCTAGTGAGAAATGACCCTTTAAAGGAGCAGTGGTGTATGCAGCATGACAGAGCCATGACGGGGTGACTTGGGTGCTGTGGGGAACGCAATAGCATGCCTCCCAGGTGAAGGTGGGGATGGGAGCGGGAGAAAGGCAGTCCAGGTAGAAGTATTGTGTAATCACAATGGCGAAGGCATCAGGAGCCCCACCCACTCTTTTTTTTGTTTGTTTGTTTGTTTGTTTTCATTCTGAGACCCAGTCTTCCCCTGTCACCGAGGCTGGAATGCAGTAGCACGATCTTGGCTCACTGCAGCCTCTGCCTCCTGGGTTCAAGCAATTCTCCTGCCTCAGCCTCCTGAGTACTTGGGATTACAGGCACGCACCACCATGCCCAGCTAATTGTTGTATTTTTTAGTAGAGATGGGGTTTCACCATTTTGGCCAGGCTGGTCTCGAACTCCTGACCTCAAGCGATCCATCCACCTCGGCTCCCAAAGTGCTGAGATGACAGGTGTGAGCCACTGTGCCCAGCTTCCCACATACTATTTATGGGGGCTGGGCAGAGAGGTGGAAAGTGAGGCAGGAGCAGAGACAGGACGCCATGAGCGCCTGGCATGGGATGTAGTGGGCCTGCTGACAGCATTACCCAACCCTGTTCTTGTTTGATCCTTCACTGACCGCCAAGAAATACCTGTAGATAGGGTAGGGTAGAGCTAAGGAGTATAAATCAATTTTATCTGCCTTCAAGTTTTTCTTGAGCCTTATGCATAATCATTCAACTTGCAAATTCAGTCCTATTCCAGGAAGCTCAAAATGACAGAGAAAAAAACTGATGATTAGGAAACTCCAACAACTTGGGTGATCACTTAAGGAGAAGCATATGCTATTAACTACATCTTTTTTTTTTTTTTTTTTGAGACAGAGTCTCTCGCACTATCGCCCCGGCTGGAGTGCAGTGGCATGATCTTGGCTGACTGCAACCTCTGCCTCCCAAGTTCAATCGATTCTCCTGCCTCAGCCTCCCAAGTAGCTGGGATTACAGGCACCCGCCACCATGCCCTGCTAACTTTTTGTATTTTTAGTAGAGACAGGTTTTCACCATGTTAGTCAGGCTGGTCTCCAACTCCTGATCTCGTGATTCACCTGCCTCGGCCTCCCAAAGTGAAGGGGTTACAGGCGTGAGCCACCATGCCCGTCCAACTACTTCTTATGGGTACATCAGGTTTGATATGGTCTTCTACTTTTCCACTGTTGTACATAATTTCTATTCCTGCCCATTACAGAGTAAAAAATTAAAAAGGGTACTGGTAACTTTCTAAGCTAGGGATCCAACAGTTAAAACTCAAAAGACTAGCTTCTCGCTATTATTCCAAAGCAACCCCAAACTCCTTGGCTAGAAATCCTTCAGTCTGGTGTGTAGTTAATTAGCTATAACTAATGAAGCCCTTCATTTGGTTGCTGGCAGTCAGGAGCAATATGAGATGTTCAAGAGTCTAAACAAGGAAAAGGAGGGGTTCCATTACAACCTATGTTGTGTCATTTGCCTGGGATCTCAAAGGAAAGAATGAAACCCACGGAAAACATCAAGGCTCGCAAGCCAGGTCATGTCATGGGTTACCTGCTCTCCTCCGTGCTTTGCTTCAGGAAGTTACTGCAGACCCCCTCCTGTGCCCTTGGCATTGATGGGGTAAGTCGGGGAACACTGTTTGACTAAGATGTATTTGTTTTCTGTCTTTACCAATAAAACATAAATATATATATAAAACACCTGTCAGTTTAGTACTTAGAAAATTACATGCGCCTTAGTAATGTATCACAATTCTTGTCCTTCTCATAAATTACTTTCTATATTTTTGGCACGTAACAACATAAGACCTCCAAACCTCTCTAGTTCAGGTTTCCTGGCAGGAAGAGAATAGATTTAATGGTGGAAAATATGAACTTCAGGATATATTTTGAAAAAGAATGTATGTATATTTGGGTAGCAACTTACCCAACAGTAGATTCTTCTATGGTTTCCTTAAACAATTAAGTATGGCTTTTTCATTCTTTTCTAGCAGCCCAGATAACATTCACATTCATTAAAATGTACTCAATGGCTCCATCGTCTTGACCCTAAAGGAATGTTTAATGCATGCACTCCTTTTTGCCTCTCCCTAAAACTCCTACTTCAAATTTCTACTGAAATAATTTAAATTATAATATAAAAATATACAGATATAGATAATATATAGATACATATGAACATTAATATTTCTTTTCTTTTCTTTTTTTTGAGACAGGGTCTTGCTGTCTCTCCCAGGCTAAAGTATAGGGGTGTGATCAGAGCTCACCACGGCCTTAACCTACTGGGTTCAAGTGATCCTCCTACCTCAGGCTCCCAAGCAGCTGGGACTACAGGCATGCACTACCACACCAATTTTTTTTTTTTTTTCTGAAGCAGAGTCTTGTTTTGTCACCTAGGCTGGAGTACAGTGGCATGATCTTGGCTCACTGCAACCTCCTCCCAGGTTCAAGTGATTTTCCTCCCTCAGCCTCCCAAGTAGCTGGGATTACAGGTGTGTACCACCATGCCTGGCTATTTTTTGTATTTTTATTAGAGACAGGGTTTCAACATGTTTGGCCAAGCTGGTCTTGAACTCCTGACCTCAAGTGACCTGCCTGCCTCAGCCTCCCAAAGTACTAGGATTACAGGTGTGTGCCACTGCACCCGGCCAAACATTAATATTTCTAAATAGTCATTCTCCATCTTAAATAACATGATCCAAAGCCATCTCTGGATATAATTAAATCAGAATCTCTTCTTATTAAATACTTTATAACTCATTGAAAAAAAACTGGTTTTCCATGGATGAAAAGCAAATAAATGAATTTTAAGAAAGAGCATGTCTATATAAGCTCAAAACATGATTATAAACAAAACCCAAGAAAATATCAGTATCTTCTTTTTGCTGTGAGTCACTAACTAACTTTGATAGCCTAAATAGCAGAAAACAAACACCAGAGTTATCATGGCAGAAAGGGCTTAATTAACTCATTTCTCACCCACAAGCACAGCTCAGCATCCTTTCCCCTGATCCTGTCCCTTGATGCTGAGACAAGTAACCAAGCTCCACCCTGAGCCTCACTGTCACCTAAGATTTCCTGGGTCCCCTCTATAGACAAGGAGACAGTGATCAGCTTAAAAAGGTGCTAAGGCCTAAAAAGGCCACTTCTTAAAAAGCCTCACTTCTTTATACGAACAAACAGCACTCCCAAAAAAGTAAAGTGCTCATCTGTAGCTTTCACTTGATGCTTGATGTCTTCTCTGGTGGTTTCTTGGTGAATAAGAATAAAAGTGGAGTATCCCTTATTCAAAATGCTTGGGACAAGAAATGTTTCAGATTGCAGATTATTTCAGAGTTTGGAATATTTGCATTATACTTACCGGTTCAATATCTCTCATCTGAAATCCAAAATGCTCCAATAAGCATTTCCTTTGAGCATCATGTTAGCACACAAAAATTTTGGGGTTTTGGAGCATTTCCGATTTCGAATTTTCCAATTAGGGATGCTCGATCTGTAATATTAACATTCTACTAAGTAAGTAGAAATTGAAGGTACATTAGCAAGATAGAATTACTAAACTCAAGAAAATAAATTAAAAAGCATTAAGAGATAATTTTGATAGGAAAAATAGATTTTTACCTTTCTAAATGATAAACACACACTTTGAGTTGATTTGCTTTTGTATACATTTCTAAGCTACTTTCTTTCAGAAAAAAACCTTGAAAGTTGCTGATTTATGTTGTTCCAAATTTTGAGATTAGTAAAACTAAATAATCAGACATTGTTATAAATTCAAAGAGATTTTCAGTATTGATTTATTAGTTGTGACCACTGTGACATGGTAACACAAAATGTCAATAATGAGGGCAGAGACTGAATGAAGGATACATGGGAACAGGTTCTACAATTTTTTAAAACTTATTTGCAGATCCAAACTATAAAGTCAATCTTTTAAAACCTAGGAGAAACTGGCTCGGCACAGCGGCTCACACCTATAATCTCAGAATTTGGGGAAGCTAAGGCAGAAGGAGCGCTTGAGCCCAGGTGTTTGAGACCAGTCTGGGCAACACAGTGAGACCTAATCTCCACAAAAAATTTTTAAGAAAGAAAAAAATTAGCCAGGCGTAGTGGCAAGTGCTTGTAGTCCCAGCTACTTGGGAGGCTAAAGTGAGAGAATCACTTTAGCCTAGGAGGTCAAGGCCGCAGTGAGCCACGATCATACCACTGCACTCCAGCCTGGGTGGCAGAGCAAGATCCTGTCTCCACAACACAACACAACACAACACAACACAACACAACACAACACAACACAACACAAAACAAAAACACAGGAGGAATGAAATGTCGACCAAAAAGAAAGGTGGTCTCTATGTACAGAAACCACAAAATTTATCTCCCAAGGAAACTTGTTTATGATGTTACCACGTTAACATGACAATTTGATATACTCTGATTCAACCGTTTTTTAAAAACCTGACTACAATTTCAAAAACTAATGTTTGAAAAGAGGTATTCAACCCAGTATTTGTGGGTATGCTGAAACTTCTGTAGTTCCTACAACATATTGAGAGAGAGAGAGTAAGCCACAGTGATATGGGGGCTGTTTTTCAGAGATGTGAAGAGACTGAGGAAGAAAAGGTGATTTAGTAGGCTAATTACACAATTCCTTTTTAACAGGCCATCGGTAAGCGCAGATCCTGATTAAAAATAAATGCTGGAAATGCTGGCATGAGTGAAATTTCACATCTGAACTCCTGCACTGCTGCTGGCAGCTCAGATGCAGCCACTGTCCTCCCCACATGTGAGCCTTTAAAGACTACAGGGACAAAAAGCAATGAACGACGCTATTAAAACTGCATCTCCCTGATAGAATTTCATTAAGCTAAAGAGTCTCTGTCAAACACCCTGCCATAATATTACTTTGTTACGCAGCAAGCAAGTTTACACATTGAACATAATTTTACTCTCCTTTGAGTGAGGCTAATGTCTCTACTGCTTTGGAGAACAGAAAATCTTGAGCATCAAAGGATGCAGAATGTCCTCCCAAACATTTACCATCAATATTTTTTAATTGAAATAGCACTAAGGCATTCCATTAAATTAAGGAAATAAATGAAGAAAACCTACTAAAGGAAAGATAAGCCATAATTTGCCAGCTTCATACAAGAGCTCATTTCAAGCCACATTCTGACTTGGTTCTCACCAGGACACCACTTCCCCTGAGTTGCACCGGACAGCTCTGCCCAGAGTGACACCTCAAAACAAAGGACACATGACCTTGAGCGTTGATGCACTTTTTGGACATCCACGTTTCCAACCAATTACATCATGTATTATGAGCCCTGGAGCAATTGATCAAAGGATAAAAGTAGCTGACACTGAAGGGATGTCACAAGGATGACACATGGGCACATGGATGCCCAGAGCTCCCTGAGCAGACTGGAGCTGACCATGAGTGAAAGCACAGCCACCCTCTCACCTGGAGAGGCCCTCCACACAAGACACACATGTCTCTCACGTTAACATACATGAGGATCAATATCTTGAGTTAAGATCTTGATGTTAGTTTCCTAGGGTTGCCATAACAACACACCATGCACTGTGTACTCTTCTTTACCTCATAAATCACACCCATAATGCATTTTCTGCAATTTCCAGTTTCAGTTCCTTTAAAGAACTTGAAGACATAGGAAAAACAACGTGAATATAAAATGCTCCTCCATTTTTACGATTTCTTCCAACCTTTGATAATGGTTCCACCCACATCCAATTCAACAGAAATTGCTTAGCAACTTGATTTTCTTGTACTTTCCATAGCTAATTGAAAAATAAAATACCATAGCTTCCAGTTACACTTTTTTGTTTATGTATATTAAACAAAGCTAAACATGGACCAATGGTACCAACAGGTTTGCAAACAAATACCGTGACTCTTAGCAACCACACATCTAAACTGGTGAGTGCACAGTTATCCCCATAAAACCTACTGCCTTCCAGCTGCTATTCTGAGGATGCTGAAAGCATCGGCATAGAGAGAGGAGAGCTCTGCTCCTCCATGGAGCCTGTGAAGTGGAGGCCATTTAACAGCACTTGTTTAGGAAATAAATCTATAAGCAGAGTATTCAAAAGAGAACAACTTAAAAACAGAGGGAAAAATCAATTAAAGGGAAAAAAAAAAGGGCAAATTCTTTAAAGGTAGAAGATGGAATTCTACGGCCCCCATCTTTGCTTGTAATTCTTGTAATCTCCACCCTCCGCCCTCCATATTACTGAACTGGACTGGGGACACCGATCGCTCCTCCATCCATGCCTTTGTCCAATGCTTGGCTCTACCCCACAAAGCTCCTTCTTCCCTTTACAGCTAGGGTTGCAAGACAAAATCCAGGACACTCAGTAAAATTGGAATTTCAGATAAGCAACATTTTTTCTAGTGTAAGTATATCCTAAATATTGCATGGATAGACTTAAGTTTTTTTTTTACCTGAAATTAAAATTTGACTGCATATCTTATATTTTTATTTGTTAAATGTGGCAGCCCCACGTGCAGTTCATTCTTGCCCATTCACACTCAAAGCTGCTGCAACACACACGTCCCTGGGCCTCCTGGTTCTCTGTTCCTTCCTCCCCACTCCTGCCTCCTCTTCATTCTCCTGTATCCTCAGTCTAGGGACTCATCAAGTTTCCCTACTTAGCTTCTCCACACTCTTTCTCTGCAAACTCCAAACTCTGGTATATTTAAATATCACATCAACTGAGACAGACAACTTCCCATTTATCTAGGAAGACACAAGAGGGGTCAATCTAGGATGCAAAAGTGGAAGGAATGAATGTTTAACTACATGAAATCTTTGAACATTTTTTTCTCTGTAATTTTCTCCTAATGCTCCCAGCATTGATTTTGAACTCATGCTCTGTGCTGAAGACTCTGTGAAGGATGGAGGATACAGAAATGTAAAGATAATGATCTCAAAACTGTAGATTCTCAATCTGTAAGTAAGACTATCCTGTGAATGGTGCACAGGACTGCCAGGGTGTAAGTCAACACTAAGAGACATTCTGCACCTGCTGAAGATGTGGGCTGGGGCCATGGTGGGTGTCACCAAACAGGATGGGCTGAAGACGGGGATGGGATAGAGTGTAGGATAGAGCTCCATGGGCAGGGTCATGGTTGGCAATGGAAATAAGTATGTTGGGAAGAGGATTCCACCTCAAGAAAGGCTGTCAAAATTGGCCCAATAACCTAGAGTAACCAAACTCATAGAGACAGGAAGTAGAATGGTGGTTCTACAGGTGCTGAGAGGAGGGAGAAATGGGGTGTTGTTATTTAATGGGTAGAGAGTTTTAGTCTTATAACATAAAAAGAGTTCTGGAATTTAGTCATGCACAAATGTGAATGTTCTTCACAATATTGAACTGTACACTTAAAATGGCAAAGGTGATAAATTCTATGTGATATATATTTTACCACAATTAAAAATTTTTGAGAAGAAAAAATCAGCCCTGACATGACCTAGCATGCCCACATAGACAAAATGGCCAAGGACTAATTGGCCTAAGCAAGTAGGCCAACTGCTGATGAGAAAGTTAATATAAAGCTAAGTAACTCAGAAATAGCCATATGCTCAACCAAAGCCTTTCCTTCTATAATATAATACTGCTTTGATAAGATGGCAAAGCACATTCACAATTGTTGGGATGTGTAGAATATATTCAGAAACTGCACTTCCACCCAAGATGAATTTATGGTTTCTTCTTTACCCATTTATTCTACTTTCTCCTGAAAGGAAAACTTCAGAACTAATCTGCAGTCCCCACTACTTAATTTGGGGAATTAAATAAACAATATGCTAGAAGTTAGTCCTTGCTACAGTTTGAATGTGCCCCCTCCAAAATTGCCAGTGCCAGTGTGATAGTATTAAGAAGTGCATCCTTTAAGAGGTGGGATTAAGGCCCTTAAAAAAGAGGTTTCACTTAGCCCTAGGTTGGCTTCCCTTTCCATCCCACCAGGAGGGGACACAGCTTTCTCCCCTCCAGAGGATGAAGCAACAAGGCGCCATCTTGGAAGTAGAGAGCAGACCTCACCAGACGACCAAACTTGCTGGTGCCTTGATTTTGGACTTCCCAGCCACCAGAACCACGAGAAACAAATTTTTGTTCTTTATAAATGACCAGTCTCAGGTAATTTTGTTATAACATCACAAAGTGAACTAAGACAGACCTTAATACTGGTTTTACTTTGATTGGGAAATAACAACAGAAAGTGGAGGGAAAAAAAGGTAAGAGACATTGTATTTTAATATGGCACCAACTGTGCAGAGTCCATACGGTCATGTGTGAGCTTTGAAAAACCACTGCTTCATTTCAGCACAAACAGTCAGAAGTCATTCCAAGGGAACATTTTTGGTTGGCAGAGTGAGAAAAGGTTGATAATCACAGGTATGATGGGGAAAATACTGAACAGACTGGGAGTCGGAAAACTTCTGTTCTAGTCTTAACTTTGGCCAAGAAGTAATGCAAGTCATTAACTTATTGTCATTGAAGAAGATTTCCCTATCACCACCTCCAACCAAAAAAAAATGGAAAAATCCCTTGAAGTTCAAAAGTTTTATGACTTGATGATTCCATTGTGAACCAAAGTTCTCTGGCTCTACCATTGCTGGTGTAAAAAGGAAATGAGCAGATTCTGTTTAGATAAAACAACAATTTCAATTGTTAAGTCTCATGTATACTACTGCATATTAGGTCAAATTATAGTTGTATTTCTATAAATATCTGTATTCAAATACATTAACAAGGATTCTCTTAGATTAATGAGATTAATTACTTTCCACAATTTTTAGATTTCATAAAGATACTTTTTTAAAAATTTCAACTTTTATTTTATCAGATATTTAGAACAGCAGAATAGAATGGAAAACTCAGAAATAAAGCTGCACTCCTACAACCATCTGATCCTCAACAAGGCTGAGAAAAAAAAAAGAAAAAAGCAATGGGGAAAGGACTCCTTTTCAATAAATGGTTCTGGGATAACTGGCTTAACATATGCATAAAAATAAAACTGGCCCTTTAACTTCCGTGATATGAAAAAAATTAACTTGAGTTGGATTAAAGATTTAAATGTTAACACCTCAAACTATTAAAATCCTAGAAGAAAACCTAGTTAATACCCTTCTTGACATTGGCTTTGGCAAAGAATTTATGGCCAAGTCCCCATAAAGGTATTTCTATGTGGCATGTTTTTCAGATAAATGTTACTAGCATATAGACAACCTTATTCTTCAAGATGCAGAAGCATATTTGAATATGCTCAGATTTTTAGTATGTTGGCCTTATATATCTGAAACAAGACTTTATCATTACTTCCATGTGGTTCTGCAAACAGATAAGAAACTGTTAAGTGAACTCAAAATTTAATAACTGAAAATAAAGATATGTTTTTGCTATTTTTTAAGAGAAGGATGAAAAAATCTTAGGAGCTCAAGGTCTCCTGGCCAAGTCCAGCAAGCTGAACAGACTGCCAATACACATGATAGGCTTCTTGTCAATTTGGTTTCCAGTAAATCAGCATATTATCAGTTTATGAGAATTACAATCCATACAGCATATCACTAATGAAATAAAGCCCAGTGTGAAACTACTTAAACCGCTTATGTTCTGCAGTTTCACAGGGGTAATGTGCAGAATCCAATTAAAAAACCTGTTTTCATCTGTTAAAGCAGGAAACCAAAAACTAACCCCAGGTAAAGTGAAATAAGAGGGTGTTTGCAAGAGTCCCATTAGCACAGACACTGGTTCTAGCTCTAATGTCCTGAGACATGGCTTTGGAATGTTCCTATTCTTTTCCTGCCTGTGCCCCTTCCCTTCTTTTCTCTTTCTTTCTCCTCCTTTCCTTCCCTCTCCCTCTCTTCCTCTCTGTTATAATGTAGCCTCCATGAAACTAAAAAGCAAGGGCTCTGCCCTGATCTCAAGGCAGGATGCAGAGGCTCGGATTTCAACCAAATGGAAATGATGCCAGTTGTGACAGGCCCCATGCACTGCCCACGACATGTACTCACCACAAAAAGAAAAAGTCACATCTGTGGTAAAACGACTTTCTACTTGGTCTGACTCTTTTATTCAACTAGCAAGTTTATTAAATCAGCAATTTTTTTTAAGTACTTCAGAACTTCACCAACCTTGAAAAGTCATGAGACAAGGCACTGATTTTGAAAATTAAGGTAAAGGGTACTTTGAGATATGCCTATGTTTCCTGAACAGCAAAGCTCTGGGGCGGTTGGGATGGGTGCATTACTATTATTATTGAGATGGAGAAATCACGACTTTATCAAAAGGAACCTTTTGCCTACATATGAGAGTGGGGTTTATCCTCTTCATTTTCCAGCCAATGGAAAGGTGAGGTTGCCCAGCCCAATGGCTGTAAGGCACACGCATCAAGAACACTCTTGGGGCGGAGACTTCCAGGACAAGCTAGCTCAGAAAGAATTCCACCCCTCTAAGCAGGAGTGGTCTTCCCAGCAATAGCTGGCAATGCTTCCAAAGACAGGCAATAGTCTCTCTCTGCCCATAAGTATCTGTATCCTGCGCTTTCAGGTTGGTTTCGAGGGCTTGTTTGTTCTTTTTCTTTTTTTTTTTTTTTTACTAAATTATCACTTTGGCATGAAGACTGGTAGAAAAGCTCACAGATAGCTACTTCCTAACTTGGGTACTTAAAAGCATATATAATGAAAGATACAAACAGGTTTTTGCTCTCCCTAAAGCAGCTCCAGGACGTGGCAGACTACATCCTCTCTAGAAAACATTCTCATTCATGCATGTCATTGTCAGCCCCTTCCCTACCTCCTGGGGATCAGGGATTCTATTACACTCAGTGAAGGCCCGGTCCTGGCAAAGCTAAGATAGTTTACTGGGGAGCAACATCTCTGAAGGCTTACGTTTCAGATGGAAAGCAGCAGTTAGATAATCCAGCAATGCAAACACAAACGAATATTCAGAACCACATTTAAATGAAGTGGTGCAGTTCCTTTTGGCTGAAGGTACTTAGTAATAAAGGGGAAATCTTGTTTCACTGCAGGGATTATTTTGATGTTTTTGCTTTTGTTGTTTTCTGGGGGGTGAGGGGGGGTGTTGTTTGCTTGTTTTTGCTATGGTAAAGTTGGGTTGTGACTATTTTGAAAATGTCCATACATCATCCCATATGTAGGTAGGACTTTTTTTCCTACTTATTTTTCTTTAGGTCAATTTAATATATCTTGAAATCAACCTTGGGCGGCATATTTTAAGCCTTTGAATGGGATTTAGTTACAAAAAGTGCCCATCAGTCAAAAAGCATTATCAAAGCCAATCTGTCTATTTCAGGGTCTAAAAAAACAAGGCAGAGCTGTTTGTTCACAATCCATCATTATTGGTACCTGCTAGCAGGAACTCAAGATAAACAGGTACAGAATGTAGCTACAGCTTCTGCTCTAAATTATCTTGGTTAGATGCCCCGGCTATCCGTGGGAACTGGACCTGCCATGCTTGGCGCCAAGTAACAGAGACCCTCCTTTCAGTAGTAGCACCAGGCGGACCACAGAGGGATCACATGGAGCTGCGTGGCTGGGTCTTCCCTAGTGCTCCATGGATGCTGCAGGAAACCCGAGGCCAGTGGACCAGGGGAAGGAAGACAGGGCAGGGCAGGAAGACAGGGAAAGCTTCCTGAGATTTACAAACAGCCACTCATGGATCCCAGGACTCCTAGGGATGTGGGAGAACATGATTACACAAGCTGTCCATTGGGTGTGGAACGTGGCTGGGGATGTATTCTAAAGAAGGCTGATAGCGAGGCAGGAAGGGAGGCAGGAGTCCTGGAAGAGGCAAAGAACAAAACGAGAACCAAAGGGAGGCCCTGGGTGAAACAGATGCAGGGCTCAGGGTGCCCGAGGGAGACTGTACACGATGATTAAATGAGGGCAACCATCCTGCACGTGAGGCGGAAAGGAGCGGGTGACCAGGCTGGATACTTAGATTCTCACTACCATATTCCATCACATAGAAACTACACGCATATGTTTAAAATGACAATATCATAAATATGATTCTGGGTTAGGACAAGAGGAGGAGTGGCTGAGAAGGAATCACGGTAGCTGAGTCTTCATATTACTATTGCTGTGTAGACCACACTTCTGAAGCCTAAGAAACACTGGGGGCCTCTGTTTCCCTAAGGTAATCATCTGCCTTAAGGACCTGTTGGCCTGGCAATCCTACCCCGGGGTGTGTTTCCTGGAGGCGCTCTCCCGCAGGTGTGCCTGGAGATCGCTAAATGCAGGATCTAACACGCTGTCCTAATAGCAAACACTGGCATCACCCAGGTACCCATCCATGAAGAGGGGTTACGCTTGCTGCCATCTATTCCTACAACAGGAGTATTATTCAGCTAAGAAAACGAATGGACCACAGCTGCACCCATCAACCTGGAGAGACTGCAAAACCACAGTGCTGAAAGCTAAAAGCATGTCATGGAAAAATATATATTGTTTGACTCTGCTTCTATAAACGGCAAAAGGAAGCAAGGCTTAAGAACATATTGTTTAAGGATACATTAATATGTGGTAAAACTAAAAAGAGAAGCGAGGGAAAATGAATCCCAAATCTGTGTAGAGACCACATCACAAAGAAGAAGACGTGCACAGCTGGGCGGGGGGAGCTACTCAGGGACTGGAGCGGGAAGCATTACAGAGAGGCCCACTGAATGATTTGTCATCTCTACATATGTATTTCTTCTCTTGTATGAATGATCTGTTTTGATTTAAAAGTGAAAAAAAGGTCGGGTGCAGTGGCTCACACCTGTAACCCCAGCACTTTGGGACGCCGAGGCGAGTGGATCACAAGGTCAGGTGATTGAGACCATCCTGGCTAACATAGTGAAACCTTGTCTCTGCTAAAGAAAAAAAATACAAAAAAATTAGCCAGGCATGGTGGCGGGTGCCTGTAGTCCCAGCTACTTGAGAGGCTGAGGCAGGAGAATGGCGTGAACCCCAGAGGCGGAGCTTGCAGTGAGCTGAGATGGCGCCACTGCACTCCAGCCTGGGCGACAGAGCAAGACTCCGTCTTAAAAAAAAGAATGAAATGATGCTGATGAATATTACTGATCAGCTGGAATAAGGCAGAAACGTCTACAGGGGAAGCTCACAGCCCCTTGTGCGCTACACAGCCAAAGGAGCGTCATTTCCCAAAGTGTGTTTCCTGGAACGCTGGCCACGGCAGCCTAACAAAAAATAAATAAATAAGGAGCCTGTGAGTAAGGAAAGTTAGGAAAACACTGTAATGCTGAGCCCTAATCCCTCTTCTACAAATGCTTGGTGTACATTAATGTATTCACGTTTCTGAAAGCACTGCTATAGGGAAACATTTTTCATTCTGTTCATCTTGGTGTTACCCAATCTCACGTGATCAATCTCTTTAAAGAGAACTTATCACTATTCCAATCAAACATTTTGAAAAACACCCCCAAAAATGATTCCAAACCATGTAAATTCCACCCTAGCTCAGAAGTACACAAAAGTACTTTATGAAGAATAAATCAGACCTTTCTTGGGAACATTCTAGGCATAGAACCTTTCCAAAGCATTAGAACATATCACTGATTGCTTTGAATAAAAAGAAAAACTACCCATCTTGTTCTTTCTGTCTCTAGCATCCTACTTCTTACTTACACTGATGCCCACACTTAACTTCCAAGTACTGTCTTAAAAATCAAAGAAAACATTTTTCTCTCTCTTCCCTTCCCAACAATATTCTGAGCTTTTTGAAATACATGTAAAAGAAATATCTATGCATATAAAAGCTTTCATGGGTACACACAAACAAGAAGTAAGGTGTCTAAAGACATACAGCAAGCTGTCGACATTACTGAGTAATCTAAAGGGGATGGATAGAAAGGGGATGGGGGAGAAGAATGATTAATTAGCTTTGACTTCATACATCCTTATTGTATTATCTTCACTCATTACAAAAAGCAGGTATTACTGTTAAATTTTTTAAATAGGGAGGTTGTTTAAATGAAAACATTTTTCCAAACGTGAATTGAAAAGCAAGAAATCATCACAGAAGAGACGCTGAAGCAAAAATGAGATTCTCCATCCTTTTTTTTTTTTTTTTGGCAAGGGGTGGGGAGAACATGAAAAAATGTTGACAAAATAAGTCAAGTAATTAACAAGGTACTTTCCAAGCCCTTAACAGAGAAGCTGCCATCATGGTCAGGTGTAATTATGGATTTAGAAAATTCATCCTTCATTGAGAAAAAAAAAACAACACTCCTAAAGGAAATGAGAGCTTCGGCCTTGCTGGGCATCGGGAAATCACTACAAGGAGAGGCTTAACTCACGCAGGCTCCCTGAAAGCACAGAGGGAGCTAAAGAAAAATAATTCGAGGTGTCTGCAAGCGAGAAGCACAGTCCTCCACCGTTCGCACCTGCCCGCTGAATCAAAGGCTTTGAATACTAGAGGCTCTTTACCTTCTAATGGAAACACATTCTCAACTTCTGTATGGATTAGATCTCACGACGCTTGCATATTCCTTCAAGCATACATGAGTATAAAATCATGTGCAAAAAATAAAGTCTCACTTTTCTTGATATGCAGCCAGTGTTGTCACACGATGGCCAGGTAGAAGTTTCCTTCTAAAACCACTTTTACTTGAGAGCAAAGACCAAAATGATTCTTGAAATAATTTAATGCCTTACCCAAGCAGACACATCACGGAAAGCCGCCTTGTAAACAACTCTGAGAAATCAGTGAACTGGGGTTAAATAACTCTGCTTCCGTGAGGATATCATCCTCGGAGTCATTGAAAGGATGCACAGAGCTGGAATGACACACCCACTTGTGATGGGTGATTGAATAATTTTGTAATATATGCTTATTCACCAAAGCATCAAGTCCTTCAAGAAGGAAAACACATTGTATTCTCAAATGCAAATTTAATTTTATTTGCAGGTTTAAATCTTTTCAAAGGGCACTACTTTGAAACTCTGGAATATTGGCGCACTCTGCAGAGCTTTCGGAACATGCAGTGGGCTGGCTGACACTCACAGGAAATGATTTGCAAGAGTCCAGCAGCGGGGAAAGGCAGGTGTGTGCAGGGACCTCCTTGTATCTCAGCGCACATCCCATGAGGATTCAGGGCTCCCATCCTGGGGGTGGCCTGGACAGCAGGGCTGGACCCTCTGTCATGACGTCTTCACTTTTCACCAGGTACATGCGTTATTTTCAGTATGTTTAGAAAAACAATGCTGTCTGAATTTTTCTTATTTGGCCAATTATCTGATCCATAATTTCTGCTATGAAGAAAAAATCAATGTCTTCAAAATTCAATAAATGAAAGCTGTGAAATGTCAGCAGCAAACATGACAATAATAAAAAGCACACAGACAGTTATATTTCCTCTGTGAAACAGCAGGTCCTCATCAGATGACGTCTCAAGACCCCAAATTCACTAACAGGGGATGGCGATGTCTATAAAGACACCAAATCGGAGACACAAACGGCAGCTTTGCTAAGGGCAGTAGATGAATTAGGAGCATGCTTATCAGGGGTATTAGGAGCATGGCTGAGAGGAGTGTCTCTCCTTTTATGATGTCTGACAGCATCAGCCCAGAACCCGAGTCTAGGAGTCTGCTGAGTACACTGAGACAATGTCTTGCCTGATAGATGAGACATGAAAATCCCATCTGTCTGGCAAGTTGCACTTGGCTTTCCTTAGCTGCCCTTCCTGCAGTTAGAGTGCAGGACTCAGCAGCCCAGCTAAGGCTTTAAGAAGGATCACAGACACAATTGTACAGTTTCACTTCCACAAGATGAGTAAGTTCTAGACATCTGCTGCACAACATCGTACCCAGAGTTAACAGTACCGTAACGTACATTTAAAACTCTGTGAAAAGGGTGGATATAAAGTGTTCTAAATAAAACAAAGACAATAAAATAATAAAGTACAACAAAATGCTAAACAAAATATAATAAAATATCATGGGTCCTATACCAAGAGCTGCTGGCTGTAATACGTTTAAGTCATTACGCCACGTGTCACATTCAGAAATCAGTCACAAGAATATTCTGAGTTTTTATTTTTCTCTTTGGAGAAATTCAGTGACACCTAGAACAATGCAGCGGAGGGAGAGGATCTGCATTAGGCTTTAAACTTCATGAGGCTGAGGAACCCTCAGAAAAGGAAAACAAAAAGAGGCAGGGGGAGAGAGCAGAGGCCATGCTGCACTCACCAGAGGGGCAGAGTCACCAGCTATGTGCCTGGCACCCATGCAGTCCATGGCTGGAGCCACCCAGGGAACAGGCAGTGGCTCAGAGGCAGGACTCAGGGACAGATAGAAGAACCAAGGTTCAACGAGACAGAGCAAGAGGGAAAAAGAAACCCCTCTGCTTCGGCTCCTGGTAGACGTGCATTTCCTGGTTTCCCGGGCTCAGCCTGAGAGTTATTCCACCGTAATCACAGGAAGCCCTCCTCTGACTGCATTATCATCCAAATGCACACGGTTCTACATCCTGCAGAAGAAATTCTCAGGCATCGGTCCCTTTACAGCCCCTCTAATGCCGCCTGCCACCTTCGTGGCTCTCCACAGCTTCCGTGGGAGTCATTTGCCGAGACAAGCAGGGGCCATTCTTCCTGGGATGAGCACTGGGGCCACCTTATGTGGCACCGCCGAAGTCCAGAGCGCATGCTGATGGCAGCACTGTGAGGTCTTTACAGTGGTTTCCATAGGTAATGGGCCAATAACCACCAAATGTAAGACTTCATAAAAAATCTCATTCTCACTGTGAGGGAACCAGGAAATGGAGAAAAATCTTTTCTTATTTCTTGATTGGGGTTTTGGGGAAGTCTGGCATCGCATCATAATGTATCCAGGTGACTAGAAAGAGAGAAAGATGATTTGTACCAGCAGCCTAGCAGTCAAGTTTGGAATTCCTTAACCTAAGTCTCCAAGTCCACGGGACTTACCAACTCCTGCAGCCTTACTAAGGTGAATAAAATTAAAATGAGGTTTATTAAGTAGGCTCTCAACGGAATGTCTCTGCTGAGAGATTCTGCGTATTTAGGTGTGTGTGCTAACAGGAAGAGGTGAGCACATGCATTTATAACCACCTTTGCAATCCCTGGGACACTCCAAAGTTCTTTCCATAAATTCTATGTGTAACCTTTAATTGCCCATTTGTGGGACATGTTGATTTTTACTCCACATCTGCTGGAGCACCTACTGATGTGAATCATTTTCCTGCATTTTCACTACTTGTCCGTTTTTCAAATCCATCATTTACAAATGAAAGGCACCTCCACTCAAGGTAAGAAAAATGGATTTGATGATGCCCTTTAAGCACCCAGCTCTAGTGGTATAATGTGAAATACACCCCAGGGCTGTACTGTTGCCTCTGACAGTAAGGATGAGATGGGCCCTCACCCTTGCGTCTATGATGTCCTGAAAGTCACCAGGTGCCCAAAGGACACACAGGCACCACCCAGTCCTTAGCTCTGCTCTCCAGGCGGCTACTTCTGGCCCTTGCTCCTATTTTCAATCTCCAGTCTCGGATGAGGTTTTCCCACACAGGGTGACCTCAGATTTTGCTTTATTTTATGAAAATCCAACTTAGGCCCTAAAATAGGCACATGCACTTGCATTTTCATTCTTAAACTCCAAAAGCAAGCTCAATCTTCTCCTAACTTCTGGGAGTTAAACATTCAGACTCATCCACTGGAATCTCAGTGTAAAGAACTGAAACCTTCTCAAAGCTGCCACTTGTTGTGGATGGAAATAAAGTTAAAAACCAAGGAACTGATTCTGGATCATCAAATAAATTTCAGTGTTTCCAGTTATGCAGTGAGAAGATAAATTCAAAGATGTTTCCTTCGGTTAAACACACATGAAAAAAATGCAGTGTAGGTTAAGCTTTTCATCGCTAGGTAAACAAAAAGCCATCACCTAAGAGAGGCTGTATTAACGACCACTTGGTAAGTGGTAGCAATATACACAGTGAACTAAATTTAATTAATAAGGAAGCTCCACAGTCTTAATGACAGGCAACACAAAAATACTGCAATAGGAAATTAAATTAGAACTTTATCCTAGGTCTTTAGAGAATATCTCAACGTTATTATCTTAGAGAACATCTCAACGTTAGATATCATCTAACAGATGATATCGTGTTGACAAATTTGAAAGTGGGGTGCTAATCCACAATGAAGCTCAGTGATCTCAATGTTCACTATGTCACATTTTGTCATGTTTTTAAAAAAATGAAACGGGGTCTTGAAATCTTGGCTTCCTGATAATATTCAAATCTGAGGCATTAAATATAATATTCAAAAGGATAACCAACTGATTATTGATTTTTATTTTAGTGAAAAAACTCATGTTAAGCTAATATATAATCATTTTTCATATGGTTACAGAGAACAATTATAGAAACTTAACTATTCATCTCAATTGTTTGGAAACCATCAATACAGGAAACTAAATTACATCAGTCATCATAATAGCTCCAGTATTAAAACCCTACAGCAAAGATACTCCATTGGGTTGCATGAAATACTAAATCAATCAGCTGGAGATGAAAATCCAATGCTGACTGTCCAGGATTGTCTTGTCAAGTCTTCTCTCAGGGGAACGTGGTGAATAAAATTATTGGACTAAGGAGCCAAACATATATGACCGTCCATTTAAAGCAATTACTGCACTTTAGTTCCCATAACTGGAGCATTCCCATAACTAAGACAGCAAAATTCTTCCGTTTCACAATGACAAAGACATTACTATTCCCAATTGTTTGTATGGAACTGTTTCTTACTCAAATACTAACAGATGAATGGCCCCTTCACCATATCCCCTGCCAGAAGTAATTCTTGATAGGATATACTGCTCTAATTCTGCCCAAATCGCAGAGGAGGCCGGGTGAGCCTACAATCTAGCGTATGTAAGAAGCAAAGGGGAAAAACACTGAATTCTCCTGTGATCAATCAAACGCATCAATTCATTCTTAAAATTTGGGTCTACATATGGTATCAAAATTCTGTCCAACAACTTATGCTATAAGCCAGGGGTCATAAAACTATAGCCTGTGGACCAAATCTGGCCCACCTCCTGGTTTTGTAAATAAAGTTTTGTTGGAACTCAGTAGTTGCCCATTTGTCTACATATTCTCTACAGCTGCTTCCCTGCTTCACCAGCAGAGCTGGGTTTTCATGACCTTTGAAATGTTACGATGTTATGGCCTTCAAAGTCCAAAATATTTATAATGTAGCTCTTTAGGAAAAACTTTTAACACCTGCTATGAGCTATTCTTTCAATCAACACGTAGATAATAAAGTCAGTTGCCTATTAAGACAATCCTAAAATGTGAGAATTGTCCATGTTCTCAATATGTACAGGAATGAATACTCTCCCATTTTCCTGGGAAAAGAGGAAGAGTACGTCCAAGTCTTCCAAAAGTGTTATTGGTACATTCAGGTACAAGTTAAACAAGGCCAAAATATGCCTATCTTTTGCTTCACTAAAATTTGAACTGTTTATCTGGTATTTCTGGAGACAATTCCTAATCACCCCCCAACTTCCTTGTAAGCTTTCTACATAAGATTCCTGACTTAGTCACATTTAGGGACCGCCCTGTACTTGCTGCCTCATTTCACAATGGTGCTGATAACAGTGCCCAGTTTCACGGAGATTTTAGGAGGATTAAGGTGAGATCAGGATTTAATTCTCATAAAGCTCTAGAACTATGACCAGCAAGAACTGGTTGGCATAAATTGAGTTAGCTCAATTAAGACTGGAGAATGAGGGAAGGCTGTATTTTTCTTTTTCCCCCATAAAGGTTCAGTTTCTTCTGGCAATTGCGGTCCTATTCTCTGTGAAGTGCAGGCAGGTTTTGGGAGAGATTACACCTCCACTGCCAAGAAAAAACTCAAAAGCATTAGAAGTAAAATACTTAATAGGCCACTAAGTCTGTTTATATTAGGAGTAGCAGGGAGCTGGATATGGTAAAAACAGGAATAAACTGATTTAAATTGAAAAAGACCTTCAGACGTACTGAAAGACAGCACATTGTTAAGTTCCAATGGAGCAAAGCTTTGAAAAATGGAGCAGGGAAGGAATCCTGCACTATTCCGTAAGACCAGCTCTTGATTTTTCATGTCCTATCAATATTTCATAGTTCATAATGTTGTCAAAAAATGAAAATTAAGAGATGTATGTATAAAGCAGCTAACACAGTGTCTGGCTCTTTGGGAAGTACACGAGGTTCTTTATTTATTGAGCTCGGATTCTACTGAATAAATGCCATCCAGGAGGTGGAGGGGGACTTTGGAGAACATAGAGCACCTAAGTTCTGCTCTCACAGCGCAAATCACATCAAGACTCTCTTACCCAAGGAACATGTGCAGAAATCCACAACAAACAATTCTGTACATTGATAGCGTATTAAGTAAATGCATATTCTTATACACATGTATATATAAGAATATACAGTAGGCCGGGCGCGGTGGCTCACGCCTTTAATCCCAGCACTTTGGGAGGCCGAGGTGGGCAGATCACTTGAGGTCACGAGTTTGAGACCAGCCTGGCCAACATGGCAAAACCCTGTCTCTACTAAAAATACAAAAATTAGCTGGGCATGGTGGCGGGTGCCTGTAATTCCAGCTACTCGGGAGGCTGAGGCACCAGAATTGCTTGAGTTTGGGAGGTGGAGGTTGCAGTGAGCTGAGCTTGCACCACTGCACTATAGCCTGGGCAACAGAGTGAGACTCTGTCACAAAAAAAAAAAAAAAAAAAAAAAAAGAGAAGAAGAATATATGGTAGATGACAATGTAATAGATGATGTTCTAAAAAGTCACCTTTTAAATTATTTTGGAAAACTGAATCCCTCTAAGTGCATGATAAACAGTGGTTATCTGAAGGTAGCCTTAATCAAAATGAGCATTTATTTGGTAAGGTTTACTTGTTGATAAGTCATACTTGCATGTAAAGAGTTTGCTTAAAGTGCATTATACCCATAGATGATAACTCTTTTAAAATAACTGACTCTACTCTGTATTCAAACAGAGAGACTATTCATGCTTGTCAAGAAGTAAAGAACAGGGGAAGGCTATGGGAGACCATTGTGTCTTACATGGTATATAGACATTTCTGCTTTAACGGAGCTTATTTAAATTTCATGGCAAACATCACCCTGTTTCAACACTTGTCATATGAATCGCAATTTAAGCTGATTGCACTTCAGCAATGTTTAAAAATGTCCTTTAAATACTAACAAAATATGTATTGTCATCGAAGAAGCAAAAGTCCAACAAGGAACTTTACACAGGCCTAACGTATGGAAGAGGAACATTTCTTCGTAAAGCCACATGGTGTTTGCTGTGGCCACCTGCCTCCATCCACTTACGCCATCAAGAGTGGGTGGTTGCCAAACACGTGTCTGAGTTCAGCTTTAATCTGCTTACCCTATTTTCTCAGTAGAGGTTCTGTAAAATATCAAATCGAATGCATCATGCAACTCGCCCACCACAACAGAGATGGAACGTGGAAATCCCAGGGCTGAGAGACCCAGAGGATGAACCAGGCAGGCCAGAAGCTGCACTCCTTCATCCACGCTGGAGTCGGAAGCAGAGAAAGCTCCAGAGTGAAAATGTTCATTAACACCCACGGACCAAAAAGGAAAGAGCCAATAACGTATGAATCTGAAGGTGAAGATGTTGGTTCTCTACCATTTTCATGGTGTGAATGAATCACAAGTCTTATTTTAAGGGACTCAGAAGTATCATCAGCAGTTCCATGTGACAATATTTACTCTGTGGGGAAGGAAAAAATCAGTACCTTTAAAATAAATTTCCTCATTGTCATATTTGGGTTCAGAGAAGAAAAAAAAAACCATCAATAAATGTTATTTTCTATTAGAACTTAGGGGCATCCAGCTCAGATAGCCCAAGGCATGGTAATGAAAGGGTAACTTTATTGCTCATGGTCATCAAACAGAGCCAGGCCACCCACAGTCAAATGGGGAGGGTGACTGATCTGGAGGCGGGTCATAGGATAGCAAGTCATGTGCAAGGATGGCTTGTCCAACAGGCCAAGAGCAGCCATTGAGGGTATCGGCTATCACGGCCTCTCAAAGCCACATTTACTTCTTACCTACTCAACCCTAGGTGATCTTCTTCAATGTTTAACAAATTCTGAAACAAATGTCTGGGATGCACACTGGAAACACAAATAAAATGAATTTAGGTTTCCTTTCAACTTTGTACTGAGTAACAGATCTGTGGGACAAAGCTACTTCACCTTTTGAGTGACTCAGTTTCCAAACGCCCATCTCTATTTTTTTTTAAAAAAACGGTCAGGCACGGTGGCTCACGCCAGTGATCCCAGCACTTTGGGAGACTGAGGCAGGTGGATTGCTTGAGGTCAGGAGTTCGAGACCAGCCTGGCCAACATGGTGAAACCCTAAGTCCACTAAAAATACAAAGATTAGCTGGGTGTGGTGGTGCATGCCTGTAATCCCAGCTACTCAGGAGGCTGAGGCAGGAGAATTGCTTGAACCTGGCAGGCAGAGGTTGCAGTGAGCCAACATCACATCACTGCACTCCAGCCTGGGTGACAGAGTGAGACTCCATCTCAAAACCAAACCAAACAAAACAAAACAGATTTTCAAGTTTCTTTCTCGAATCCACGGAAACAGCCAATAAATGAACACAAATGGGAAAAAGCTCTGTAGGATTTGCCTCCCTCGCTTAAATGAAATGAATATTCTGGAATCTTAAGATCTTCCCTTTCCCCTCTCAATCTAGGAAGGCCTAGGAGATCACTCAGAAGCCTCCGTCCAGGCAAGGGGGAGAAGGTGCCAGGGAGCTGTGACTGCCGAGATACAGGGATGTGGATGAAGCCAGGAGCGTTTGTACAACATTCTAGCCATATTCACTTTAAACTATGGACACTGGAGTTTCTAAAAAGAGAAAAAAACATTAAGCAACATTTACAAGCCAAATTCCCTGCCTTTCTTTGAATCTCAAAAAAAAAAAAAATCAAAATTGTGTAAGAAATGTCTTAAAATAAGTTTTTGATTTTTTACTTTAACTTTAGTTAGTGGACTAATATATGAGAACCCCGAAGTGAGGGGTGCACACACATTTAGAGTATGGCACAGCTGCAGAATGTGCCAAAACACAAATTAGGTGAATTGGACACGGGGAGATCCGCAGCCCTACCGTGCAGTGCAATTAAAGCGAAGACTGTTTAATTCTCCAAAGACTCAATAATATGAAAAAAAAAAAAAAAACGTTTACGGAAAACATGGAACTGACAGTTCCAGGAACTCAGAGGTCATCAAACATAACTAGAGATTTTTTTATTTTTAATTCTGTACTTTTCCCATTTGGAACTTGGTGTTAAAGAATAAAATGCTTGCTTTCCAATGTTTCATAGCTTGTTATCACATCACCCATGAGCCACGCTGCGAAATAAATACATCTAAAGTCAGGTCGTCAATTCTTAGACCAAACTAGCAAAATAATTTATTGCACTAAGCGCATAAAATGTCAAGGGTAGGTAATTAGAATTATATGCACAGTGTGTTAGTCATCTTTAAAAAAAATAAAAACACATATCCTGTCCACTATGACTGAATCTCAGCAAATGACAGCACCAAAGAGGTGTTCAAGATAATCAAAAGGCCATGGTAATACGATGCCATTATACATGGCACCAGAAGGGTGTGAAGTGGCCTCTTGTGGTATAGATGGGATACGTATATTGTGATGAATCATTTTAATAGCTGTTATTCAACGAAGAAAACGTGAGAATATCACTGAAATTATATTGGGGAAGCTTAGAGTGCTATCGAAATGCAAAATGATTTGAGTATATTGCTGTTTCAGTGCCTGTTTTTATTTCAAAGTGTAACTAATACAGTGAGATAATGAGGGACGGCTAATGACGACAAAAGAATGCTGGTCAAAGCTACTCTCCAGCCAGCCTGGACGCAGCATCAGCTTCCTGAGAGCCTGGCATGAGCAGTTGGCATTTTTGGTCAGAATCTGTCCTCTGGTTGCATCAGACAGAACTGGATTTGAATCCAGGCTCCACCCCTTCCTAGCTGTGTGACCTTGGAGAGATCATTTACGTTCTCTGATCCACATCTGTGGAGACAGTTTAACAGTATTGAGTGCCCAGTTATCTGGTAAGAACCAAAGTATATAATCCACAATGGACCGAGTACCTGCCACCCTGGAGGCGCACAACCGAAGCGGAGCATCATTCTCATCGAAGTCTCATATTCAGTCAGGGCTTGGGGAAGGAAAAAAGTACAACAAGGAGGCTTCCATGTTCCTTGCCTTCCCCTTTACCCCATCCCTCTTCCATGCCTGTGGAACCTAAGGTGGGGATGGAGGGCAAACAAGGAAGTTCCTACACCCCCCAGCTGGGAGAAGACTGCAGGCCTCCCTGCAGCAGCTCCCTAAAGAAAAGCCTCCTGTGCACCGGGGCAGAAGGCCTGGGAAGGGCAGCCAGTAGCTCCAGCACCAGCACACAGCGCTGGTGGGTGGAAACTCAAGTGTGAAATCCATTCTTACCCCTTCCTGTCCTAGTTCTTTTTTTTTTTTTGGAGACAGAGTCTCGCTCTGTCACCCAGGCTGGAATGCCATGGCGCGATCTTGGCTCACTGCAACCTTCACCTCCCAGGTTCAAGTGATTCTACTGCCTCAGCTTACCGACTAGCTGGGATTACAGTCATGAGCCACTATGCCTGGCTAATTTTCCTATTTTTAGTAGAGACAAGCTTTCACCATAGTGGCCAGGCTGGTCTCGAACTCCTGAGCTCAAGCAATCTGCCCGCCTTGGCCTCCCAAAATGCTCGGATTACAGGCATAAGCCACCGTGCCTGGCTCCTTCCTGCCCTAGTTCTGATCAGAAGTGTCACTCTCTGTGGGCATGTCAGCCACTTTATGAGAAGGTGGCTTCAGCAGGCTCAATGAGACTGGTGGCCTTACCAGCAAGGATTAAGACAAGCCCATTGAGCCATCTACCTGTGCTGAAGAGGTTGGCTCCCCAGTGACGAGAATGGGATAGTAAGAAACCCTATAGAAACCAGCACCCAAGACTGACCAAATAAAGGTCAACAAAATAAAGGGTTTCTGTTTCATTCCCCAGGAGTCCGCCTAAAAGAAAGGAGAGGCTGCAGTTGGGAGGGGAAAGCCTTGGGGTTTGCTCAGAGCCCTGAAAATGAGGGATTGTGAGGGGAGAGGGGAGAGCCAGAGTGCACGCCTGCTCTTCCTTATTCCCATACATCACTGCCTCAGTTGCAGGGAGCATTAGAAAAAAACAAAAACCTAGAGCTACTTCCCTCTCTTTCAAAAGGAAAACCTTCCATTTCTGTGGATAAATCAGATTCACAATGATGCATCATAGAAAGCCAGGGATCTCAACGAGTCCTCACGATGCTCAGGTTTTCCAAAACAAATTTGTATTTCAGGCCAATAAACCATCTCTAGTTTCTTACCATGAAAGGAAAAGAAAGCCAGAGGAGTGGCATGGCCCTGGAACATGGACCAGCACCTCAGAAACAGCTCTGGTTCCCACCAGAAGGAAACACGGCTCGGCTGCCAGGACCGTGCAAGAGCCACGGGCAAGGGGCTTTACACAAAGCGAGAGTCTTAAACCAGAAATAAGCCCAGAAAGAGGAGAGTGAAGGCTCGAGCAGAATATGACAAGGGGAATGATGCAGAAAGCCTTCCTGCAGGGCTTCTCGGCAGAAAAGGAGGCCCCACTGGGGCACCTTGAGGATTGTGTCTGTCTTGTTCTTGAAAGACAAGGCTAAAGTGTCCCCAAGGGAATGATCTCGACCCTACAGGTCGAAGGCGATATGAGTTACTTTTCCCTCGTAGGCGTTGAGCACTGGCTGATCTGCTACCACAGCTTCTGAACTGACGGGTGTAACCTGCCCATCACAGACTTAGGTTGGGCTCATCTATGAGTCTCTTTGGAATATGCAGATGTCAGAGGCATCCGAACCACAGCGACTCCATTTTGAGTGAGGACTAGAGAAATGAGGCTGAGACTTACTGGGCTGCATTCTTAGAAAGTTAGGCATTCCTCACCTCTAGATGTTTAAGGTTAAGGGAACACACTGGTGATGTTTACTAAACAGACCCAGACTTGGGAGTGTCCTAATATCCAGACATCCTGAGAACAAAGGCGTTCCTAATTTTACTTTAAAGATAATAATATCGGGCGCAGTGGCTCACGCCTGTAATCTTAGCACTTTGGGAGGCTGAGATGGGTGGATTGCCTGAGCTGAGGAGTTGGAGACCAGCCTGGGCAACATGGTGAAACCTCATTTCTACTAAAATACAAAAAATCAGCCAGGCGTGGTTACAGGTTACTCAGGAGGCTGAGGCACGAGAATTGCTTGAACATGGGAGATGGAGGTTGCAGTAAACTGACATCACGCCACTCTAGCCTGGGCAACAAAACGAAACTCTGTCTCCAAAACAAAAACAAAAACAAAAACGAAAACAGATAATATCGATTCTTGCAAAATATAATAATTAAGAAATTTAATCCTTTATCACAAACCCTCGTAGCAGAGCAGAGCTCCCCATATATATGAGTATTGTACCTAGGCTGGACGCATTCCTCCTCTTACTTTTGGGAATGTCCCACTCTGTCTATGGAGTAGCTGTTCTTTCACTACTTTATTCTCTTAATAAACTTGTTTTCACTTTGCACAGTGGACTCGCCCTGTGTTCTTTCTTGTGTGAGATCCGGGAACCCTCTCTTGGGATCTGGATCGGGACCGCTTTTGTGTAACAAAGACATGGGAAAGAAAAATTCACGTCCATAGCGAGCTCTGTCACAGCGACATCGGACAGTTGGGAGGGCAGGCGTTTCATCGGCAGTCTCCTAAAGAAGGAAGTTCTGCTGTGTAGCTAAACTGGAAGGCTCCTCTTCTGCAGTTGCTAGTTTGGAGACACTTTTCTCTTCTCCTGCCTTGCACACTGGAGAGGATACAGGTTAATCACACTGACAGATACACTGGTTCACTGAGGGGTAAGGGTTATTGGGGAGCATGCATGTGGACATTGCAATGACACAGTGATGATGCTCAGACAAATGAGGTCACACTGAGACAGGAAGCATCTCCATGAATTTCTATATAGGTGGAAAACTGCATAAGCAACTAGTGCAGGAGACAGAATGATCCAGCACCAGTGAAGTTGCTGTGGTCCCGGGCAACGAGTATGCCTCAAAGGTAATCCCCATTCTGATATTTTCCACCATTGATAACTTTGTCGCATTCTTGGACTTCATCTAAAGGGAATCATGTCATAAACACTGGGCGTCTGGCTTCCTTTGTTCTGCACCTTTGTAGAAGCCCTCCATGCCAAAGCATGCATCAGCAGTTAGTGCTTTTGGGTTGCTGTCTAGTATTCCACTATACGAAGAACCAAGAAATCTTTATCTACTGTTGACTGGTATTTGGATTATTTCCCGTTTGGAACAGATATAGATAAACCTGTTATGAACATTCTTGAACATGTTTGACTTGTATATTCTTGACTTTTTAATGTGGAAATTGAGACCTCAAACTCACTATACCATAGGGGTGGAATTCCAGCAATTCTCTGTACAACCCCTGCACAATTCCAAGAAGAAGGCAAAAGAAGAGAGACGTGGATATTTTGCTTAGTTAGCCGTCTTGAACTTTCCCTTATTTTTATTCCTCTGCTTTTAGGAAATCCCACTTGAAAAGTAGCTATTTTCTCCTTTGCAAGTCTATCTTTTTCAACAAAAATCTTAAGCAAAATATAAAAAGCCAATACCAATTGATTCCTAAAATGAATCTATCAAGTTTCACTTTTTTTTTTTCCTGAGGAAGCCGAGCATATTGACTCATTCTAGACCCTAAAAATATGCCTACATCCCATCTATTAAAAAAAAATGCAAGAGGGATCTGTGGGCAGGAAGATGGCTGAAACTCCCTTCTCTCCAGCCAGCCCCCAGCATGATGCTTGCTTTAAAGCCTGGAGCATGATGACACACACCTCACCCATGTGGAATATCTCTCCAGAGCCAAAGGTAAGGTGAGGCAAGTTTTCACCAATATTTTGATTTGTGATGCTGAAGACATGCACTTAAGCACTACAATATGTAAATGGTTTCCTACTTCAAAAAAAAAAAAAAGAAGCGATGCCAATGATTTTAATAGACTTAGCAAAACAACTGTAAGTCTACTACACAATTGAACAACTCTAAGCAGTCCTGATGATGCTACAGAATTCCGTTATACTCTCCTCTTCATGTAAGTGGATTTTCTAACCTGCCAATTACGGCTTTCCATTTTCTTCCTGGAGTTATACATCATGCGAATCTCAGATAGCACTGTCCTTGGAGCTGTTTTCTTGCCAGTTCACAGTGCCACCTGTGGCTGAGCACTGCCTTGCTGGGCATGCATTTATGTTGACCTGTTTTCACTCTTGGTCCCGGAAAACTTCAGCCTTCTGATACTACCAGCCCAATGCCCAAGTTTCCTGGCAGCTTTATTTACAGTCACTTTAAAAGACGGAAGGCAGATTTCAATTTTATGGATTGCCAATAAAGTAAGATTTACAGAAGTTCCCCAGACCACTGGGAAAATTACTGGAGCCCACAGCTGCAACAGCACATCCCCAAGGGAACATGCTGGAGAGTGGCAACTTCTCCTATCTGGTTTTAAACGTCCCCAACTCCTATACATTCCCTTCCCAGGCCCCTTCCAGGCAGAAGAGGGGACTGCAGTTTCCATACTGCTCACACAAAATTAAGCATCTCTTTCCAGCCAGCTCCCAACAGCCTCCCTGGTAAGCTGGAAAATCAGCTTGGGGGATCTGAGTTAAGAAGAACAACAAGAAGAGTGAGGTGGGCAGAGTTTGGATCCACAGGCTCAGGACTCCCGTCCTGGGCATATCTGGATCCCCAAGGCTGGCAAAATTGTATACCAAAGGATGCTGCGGGGTAAAGAGGGAAATAGATGACATTTTAGATTTTTTTTTCTTCTGAAATGTCTGGACACACTGCCCAAAGCATCCACATACAAAGAAGGTATTTCGTATAAAGTCATTTATAAAAAACAGACACTCTATAAGGCAGTGATAGGCTCAGTTCAGCTCAGCGAACAAGGATGGAGCTATGGCTTGGTCACAGGCACAGAGCTGGTGCTAGGTGCAGAGACTCAGGGATGTATAGGCAAAGAGGTCTCACTGCCCACTGATGTGTCTGGAGAGGTGGGTGGGTGAAGGGACTTTCCATTTGTCCTCCCAATTTCCTCTCCGAAGCCTGTCCCTTCCCTGGGGTCCACTACTTCTCTGACCTTTCCTGAGAAACAGACTAATAAATGTGGCTACTTACATTTTACATTACATTCTAGGAGCAAATCCAGGGGGCCAGGAGCCCTGCACTCGGCTGGCTGCTTAGTCCCTGGCCCAGACCCCAGGGCCTGACAGGCATCAGAGGGGCCCCTGGGTCTGCTGCTCTGAGCTCAAAACACCCAATACTCTTTGGTGGGTGGGAAATTAAGGGCGGGGATAGCTCCGTGTGCATCCTAGGTCTTTTCCTCTCCCAAGAGAATTCTACTCTGCCACAAAGGAACTCAGCCTCTGCGCCCTGTGGCTTCTGCTGACGGGTGGTGTGTGCTCTGGATGGGGGGTAGGGTTCCTGGCTAGGAGTGGCAGTGGCGCCTGCTCTGGAGTGTCCCTAAATGTCAGCATGCAACATTACCAGGCAGGCCCTCCCACTTCAGTCCTCAGGCCACTCATAGGACCTCCTGTCCCCATGTAGAGAGGCTGACACCAGGTTGGAGCCAGCACTGAAAGGATCCCCGAACTCCTGCTTCTACAAGGCAGCATCCGCAGGTGAGCGGCCAGGCACCTACAAGACACGCACCCTTCAAGCCTGGCTTCCCAAAGCCCCGCCGGGCCAGGCTGGCTGGCACAGCAGACAGTCATGCAGCAGGGTCCCCAGCGACCCCCCATCCCTGAGAGAACACACGGAGTCCCCCGCCCGCCAGCTGCTCCGGAGGCGGCTCCAGGGTAGACTCAACAAGTTCCCGGGCCATGCAGCGCCGCCTGCAGCCCAGAAACCCGGAGGACGCGCTGTGGCGGAGCCCCGCGCGCAGGCGGCAGCCGGCGGCAGCCGGCGGCAGCTCCTTCCACCTCCTCCTCCTCTTCCTCCTCCTCCTCCAGCTCTGGCGGCGGCGGGAGGGGGCTCCTCCACTCCCTCCCTATCCCCCACCCCACGCACGCGGCCCGGCCCGGCCCGGCCCCGCGCCGCCCCCGCCCCACCTCCGCCCCGCGGGGCCCGGGGCTCCGCCCGCCTCGGTGCCAGCCGGGCGCACAGGCGGCAGGCGCGCGGCTTGGGGCGCCCTCGCCTCTGGCCGCCCGGCTCCGCGGAGTAGCTGGGACCTGGAGCAGCGGAAAGGACTTCCCTCCTGCTCCCTCCTCTGCCCCGCCCCCGCCTCCTGGCCCTGGCTCTGAGATCTCGCCGAAGACAATTGCAGTAAATGAGGACATCGGAGGAGCGCGAAGCCGGGTGGCTGTGGCTGGCTCCGCCGCGTCGCGAGCAAGCGAGCGCGCGGGCGTCCCCGGAGCTGGCCCAGCCGCTGCCTCCCCGCGCGCGTCGCTAAGCGGGGCCGGAGGGACGCGAGCGACGCGAGCTGCGGCGCGGGGGCCGGCCGGGCCAGCAGGGCCGGGCCGGCAGCGGTGGAGGGGGCGGGCAGCAGGCGCGCAGCGGGCCAAGTCCCCGGAGCCGAGGCTTCCTCCGCGTGAGCGCGGCGAGTCTGGCCGCGGATGCCCTGTCCGGAGTGCTCCGTGCCGCCCCAGGCTTGCCAGGGTCCGCAGCGAGACATGCCCGAGCCAGGCGCTGCATCGACCTCGACTTATCTGTAAGCAGCGGAAGGTAAGCGGAGCCCCGCGTGCCCTCCTCCCGCGCCCCCGCGCCCGTCGTACTTGGCCGCGGGCAGAGCACCGCTGGGACGGGCGCCGACCCCGATTCGGGCGCACACACTCGGCCCCAAACCGGCTTGGCCGGAAACTCGGCGGCTCCCGGGGCCGGGACACCCCGGTGCAGCCGGGAGCGGACCCGGTGCGGTCGCAGGTGGGGGGCAAGGTTATGCAACTGCATCTGGCGCGACCGGGTCGCTGAGGGGCGTCTGGCAACTTTGGCGACGTCAGGGAGGAGCGGGGCTGCGCCTCTGCGATGTGGGTTCCAGACAGACGCCACAGCTTCGTGAGCGCCCGACAGCCCTAGCCAGGCAAAACTGGGAGATCTGGGGGCGGCCGTCTCCCCGGAAGGTTTCGAGGCTTTTAAGTATTTTCCAAACTAAAGCGCCCTGGAAAGTACAAGTACGGCTGATTAACTTCGGGGGGGGGATGAGTTGGAACAGAGGGGCCCTGACGCCGGCCGTTGAGGAGAGGCGCGAGCAGCAGTGAAGGCAGATGCCCACGTGAAATGCTCGTCTCCTCCACTCGCTGGGGTTGGCACCTTCCCGGGGCTGCGGGTTGGGGTCGGCGCCGCGGGGCTTCCCGGTGCCTGGCAGCCCGAGTCAGACCGGGACAGGCGTGGGAAACCAACCAACGCTGCAGACCTAAGAGACTGCGAGCTGGCGGGCGAGGGCAGGAGGGAGGAGGGAGCCCGCGGGCAGCCCGGGGTCGGGGCAGCTCCTGGAGCCCAAAGTCAAGAGCGAGAGTCTGCATCTTGCTGGTTCATGCTCAGGGCTCCAGGCTGATGTCCCCACTGCTTGGATAAAGAGCCGCTCCCTGTGACCTCAGCATTCTACTACCCAAAAATATGCCACAGGGAGAGGGAGCCAGTGATAAAGAGATGCCAGGAGTGGGGGAGGAGAGGTGCCTCTGGAGTAAATAGGAGAGAAAATGGGTGCGTTTTGCTTATCTACAGCCCAGGGCTCCCGCCCGGACCCCTCTCCTGCTGTTGGTCTGTGCTGGGGAGCTGCACGCGCTCTGGGCCCCTGCGCCAGAAGCAGCGGTGAAGCGGTTTACTTTGACCTTGTCTGCTTAGGCGCTGAAATTCTGCGGAAGCATCCCGAGGTGAAACTGCAAGAGTGGGAATGAACTTTGGGGGAGCCCTGCCTTGGCTGGGAAGCCAAACGATCATTTCAGAAGACTACAGCTCAGGATAGCACAGGGTAGACGTCTGTGCACTTGAACGCTCCCCCCTCAACGAGGACTTGCTAGAGGGTTACCTTTCCATGCCTTATCTCAGTGGGGGGACTGTCAGAGTGACTGCGCTGGCTGGGTACTTGATGAAAAAATACCACTCACAAGACCCGGGCCATTCCCAGAGTAGTACATACATGAAAATGATATAACCCTTATTAAGCTTACGCTACAGCAAGTTACCGTCATTTCACTATGCAGAGGCGGAAAGTGCTGGTTTTTACTATTCCCCCACACTGTACTATTTCTTACATTCATATCCTGTTGAATGTTACTTTTGAAAGTTCATATTTATCTTTGCAATTTTTTTGCAAGAATGATTAGCAAACATGCACAAGGAGCTCAAAGAAAAAATGGAAGTCCTGCCATCTGCATGCCTCACCAGATATTAATCATTTACTATCCATGTTTACTACTTACATTAGATGGCACTGCTCCTCACGATGGTTTTATTAGAGGCGCATTTGGTTAAGGAAAAGAAAAAGTCTAGCACAGCTATCACTAATTGCATGATTTTGCATAAATTACATTAGCCATGGAGAGTTTTGTTTTCTTCACTAAATTCATCATTTTGTTTAAAAGACTAAACAATTCAGTTTAATTTCTTTAGCTAAATGAAAGACTTTTCCTTAAAGACAAGATGTCCTTGAAAAGCTACATATGTCTTTAAACTTATTACAGTTGCCACGACTTTGTATTTTATCATTGTGATTAAGACTTTGAGCTTTCATGTAAGTCAGGCCCTTTATCCTATTAAGAAACAGAATTACTGGTTAAGAAATAGGCTAACAAGGCAAAAGCTGGGAAGCTCCATGTCTGCACAATGAGATTTCTGCAAGCTCTATGGGAGGCTGGGTACTCTATTACTCTGTTTACTTCGGGGGCTTCTCTGTTTTGCCACAGTTGTTTTCCCCTGTGGCAGGAAAGGGAATTTTTGTGTTTTGTTTCTCCCTCTGTAGGGAAAAATTTTTAAATAAATCAATAAATAAGAGAAAGACTTGTACGTGAAAGGCATTCATCTACAAGGAAGACTCCTACACACTGAAATAAGCAGTCCAAAAATCAAAATGATTCTCAGAAATAACAACGGATCGCAGTGGAGTGGCAGGACAGACCCGTTCACGTAGACATTTGTATTCTCTTGTTTGCGCCCAGCCATGGCTATCTCATTTAGAGACAACTACTGAACTCTGGAATATGAGAAGCAGGTGACTTATGCTTCTCAGAGACTCATGATACAGAAATGATCACAGCTACCTCCCAAAGCAGCAGCTCTGTGGTCAGATATTTACGTAGGAGGGCAGTGACAGGTTCACCACGGATTTTAACGCTTGTGAAGGATGCTGTTCAACGCGTCCATAGCATCCAAGAAGCTCAGTTGGGAAGGCAGGCAAATTCTACATACTTGAGGCAAACCACCGTCATTCTGGGAGTGTGAGGTCATAAAAACTCCCCAGATAAAACCAGTGTCATCGTCATTTTCAACAGTCTTTCATAAATGTGAAGCACCACAACCCCTCCCCACCATGATTCCACTGGTTGGAGACCTACATTCCCCAACCAGAAATTAGCTGGCATGATTTATGAAGCAGATCCTTTTTTGTCTCACATATTTGATTTTAATATTTCATAACATTATGGGGTGACTTCAATATTTTAAAGCAAAATTTAATATGATTGATACTACATGACGACACTTTCATTACCATGAAATTCTCATACAAACATTGAGAGAAGTCTTTATTCCAATACTGGAGCTAACCTATGATATATATGTAGTGAAACTTCATGACTTTTAATCAGTTTATTTAAAATGTACATTGTTCTTATACATTAAGGACAGAATACAGACTTGCAGGAACCAAACTATAGGGACCCTGACAGGATTGCTGTAAACAAGTTGTTTGGACAATGTCTTGTGTTAAGCACTAAGCCATGAAAGGATAGGTTTGAACCTTTGGACCATGTGTGATAATGTGTCTGTTTCAGATCCTGAAGGCACTAACTAAGGTATCTCCAGGCAACCAAGGATCTTACCTCTCACATTGAGAAAAACCATAACTTCAGAGACATTTCCTGGCTCCAAATTCAAGTCCTTTCAGAGACCCCTCTACTGTAAGTCACAGGATATTCAGTGTGCATTTGAGTCGTACGTGCTTTAGACATTATTCAAACCATAATGAATGGGTTGAGGGACTTTGAGGTGTATAAAGATGTTATCAGATGACAAATCACTACCTGAATAAAAACAAAACATTCTAACCTGACAAATGTGTCTCTTTCTGCTGAGTATGTATTCCCAGCTCTAATTGGGACTGAGAGAAAATTAACTTGAATGTAGAACAGCAGATATTAGGGACAAGCAGGAATTATGATTCTAAATTACTCTATAAACCTTTTGGCTAACAACATATTTCAAAGGGATTTGGAAATAACTCTCCCCAAAGTCATTATTTGTGAATATTTATTTTATAGAGCACTGAACTGTTTATTCAAAGTATTGCACATCCATAGACATGTTCTCTTTACCACACTATCCTGCTGTTAGGAAGTTTGAGCAAAAAAAGAAAAGAAGAGAGTCTTACATCTCTGCACAGCATACATTCATATGAATTATACTATTCTATCCAATAGAATGGTAAAGAAACAAAAGAAAACCCCACCATATCAAAATGCTTGTTGAAGTTTATATTCTACTTAATATGGAAAATTCCAGTTCAGCCCTTAATAATCTAGCTTTGGCCATGAAATGAAATGCAGTAAACTACAACATATGAGAGACATGGGAAGGAGGCTACGGAATGCTGAAAATACTACAGGCAGCCTTGCAAATAAAAGTTGCTCTCACTCCATCTCAGCAGAGATGATCACAGCTATATCCCAAAGCAGGGGTTCCATGGACAGGCACATCCCAGAGAGAAAGAGGAAAAAGCACAGGCTGATGGCATGAGGGCCTTTTTACAGCTGTTCAGTTGAGGAAGCAGCATGGGGCTATATCCTATTCACTGCCAACCTTAATGAAATTGAGCAGTCTTTGTGTTTCTAGGTCATTCCACTGGTGATGTGAGATCCCCCACCCTTGTTCTTCTCTAGGAAGGATCTTGTATTTGTCAATGGTCCTTCTTCATGTTTTTAAAAATCTTTTCTATGTGTACTTAGTGGTTACATTTTAGATACCTCTTACTACCTGCATTTTGTACAGTGAAATCTGCTTATTTTTGTAGTAAGTGATTTTAGCATCCTTAAAAAATGCAGCAAAGATATAAAACCTGGGATTTTTAAATGGGGCAAGCATAGGGAAGGTAGATGGATATGCAGATGGCTTTGTTCAGAGAGGACTTCTGATTTGTGGATATGTACTGAGCTGTTGCAGCAGTGGCCAAGGCAATGTGTAAGGTGTTACAAGACCAAGTGAGAGGACTCCAAGAAGCTCAAGTCCAGGAGGAGGGGAGGAGGTGGCAAGGAAGTGGCAGGAGCCTAAAGACTCCCAGGTAGAATCAGGATAGGAGATTACAGGCAGAGAGTGATGCCCCGGCTCACTTCGTGGGTGATGCTTGAGATTGCACTCCTGAGCCCAGCAGACATTAGTCCTGGAGCTTAAGCCAAGTGGTAGGGTGCTCAGGGCTACAGACTTGTATGGGAAGAGTGAGAAGTGACATTCAGCAAAGGTTGAGGTGCTGGAATCAGAGAGTGGAGGCATAGTCTGGAGTCAGTTTGAGGAGGAACCAGCAGGGCAAGAGGGTCCTCTGTTGATGTTTGAAACAAGAACATATATTCTCAGAAGATTAAGGCGGTATAACTAGAGGCAAACCAGAGGAGAGGAGTTGGAGACCAGTTGAGAAGGTGTCACAGATGAGAATGTGCCAGTCTCAGTAGCACTGGGAAGTAAGTTAGGGGGCAGCTATGAGTAAAACCTTCTGGCAGACAAGTCTTTGTAATGTGGCAAGATAGAAAGAAGGGATTAAAGATGCTACCCAAGGCCAGCAAGGCGGTGGGGGATTTTAATGGCAACAGAAATCTGGGAGCCAGCAGGAACGGGGGGGGGGGGGGGGGGAAGATAGGATTTCTATTAAATATTTGAGTGTGAATTTTCAACTGGAAATATTATTTAAAAAATAAGTTTTTCATTATCTCTTACGTCCTAGAATGTCCACAAGAAATACTTTGAAATAGGAGGAAATTGGATGAAGCGATTCACAGCGCAAATCCTTAAATGACTAAGCATAGTAGTATCTATAACAGGTGCTTAATAAATATTTAATGAGGCTACTAACACAAACCTAGCCAGTGATTTTGCTACCAACTCAGGGAATCCTGATTGGGAAAGAATTGTTTTCTTCCATTTCCACTTGTAACTTTTTGTGTAGCAGGAATTAAAGGAAACACCGTGAGAAGGCAGTAAAGAGGAAGACGGCTTCCAGGGCTGAACAGTACTGACGTCTGGCCATGCAGTGTTTAGAAAAGAAAAAAGCACCAAAGGGTTGGGTTCTTTACCACCAAACTCAACCTCAGCGATTCCTTTGGTGAAAATTCAGTTGGGTAGAAGTTGAGTTTTTAGAGAAAGAATGTCTTTGAATTTGGTGACCTAGTATTAGGGTAAAAGAAGCAAATAAGGAGAATTGAGAAAATGTATCTCACTGCAGTCAGATAAATTAATGTTCTTATAACCCAAATGCTGACATTCTGGGTTAAAAAGAGTTTTCACCAGAGCTCACCAAAAAAACTGGAGAGTTCATCGGGCCAGCATGAGAGAAGGAGATGTCTGTCTCTCAGCCTTAACCTCACATCTCAATTTGACGTCGTGACTTCAACTCCATTGATCTCTGTGCCAGACCCACCAATTTATCATTTTAAAAATCAATGACAGCGCTGCATAAAGATTATTTTTGTCTTTTTTTCCTTGCGTAAATCACACTGCACAGTGTCCACTTAACCGTGCACTTGAGACTCCCATAGCTTAGATAATGTGCCATGTGCAAACGTACTGTGTGAACTTAAAGGAATGCTGAAAATATGCTGTTCACTTTCAAACCGTATTTTTCATTTGACTTCTTGCCCAATGATAACTGCATTTCTCAATTACTTACTGTTTTAGTTTTAAAGGTAGTTGTTAGCTCAGTGGCTTCACTGAAGTCATTCATATCCTCATTTAATTTGTTTTGCACTTGCTATTTATATTTTAGTCTTGCTATATAATATTTATTCTGAATATATATCTACTTTATTTATTGTGTCTATCACATTTGTCCATGTGGCAAAAACACCCAGGGTGAGGCTGAATGACAGAAGTTAGCAGGTGGCTGGACACTGGAGCCTCAGACAGAGTGCCCAGGCTCACTGGCAGGGTTGGCCCCACACTGCACTGGGCAGGTCAACTACTGAGTGAGTGGCAGAGACTGGACCCCAACTCACTCCTAGTAATTATTTAAAATAATTCCACATGGAAGCATCAGTTCTAACTGTATCTGAAGAGTCAGTGAGAGTGACCACTAGCAAATGCAGCTTTAAAGTATAAGTCTAAGACAACCGTACAGTTTTTAATCAGCCACTCAAGGTTGGAACCTTCTGGTGGTGATTCTCAAGCTTGTGTCTCGTAGGTCCTGCATCCAGTGTCATCCACATGCACAACACATCCCAAGGTGTGCTGTCTTTGTGTACATCCACTTCATCACCAGGGCTGTGTACTGAGCGCTTCCTAGGAGCCGACCACCTGAGCCCTGACCCAGCTCACAGTGGAGTGCAGCGTGGTGGTGCGGTAACAGGCTCCAGGCCAGGCTGTCCTCCTTTGCCCTCCTGGCTCTGCCAGTATCTGTGTGACCTTTGGCATGTGACTCCACTACCTGTGCCTCTGTTTCCCCATCTTTATTACAAATAGTAATTTCTCCTTCAGAGGGTGTTTGGAGAATGAAAGGTTCAGACATACACAAAGCACAGAACGGTACCTAGCTTGTGCTGAGTGTTATACACAAGTGTTACCTTTTCTGATCTTTGCTCTCCCAGGTTAGATCACTTGCCCAGAGTTCTGGGCTATTAAGTGGAGGGGAAGGGCCAGAACTCAAATCCAAGCAGGTGGTCTCAAAGCCCCAGTTCGTAAGGACTACGGCCAGAAATTAACCACGTTAGCAAACCATGGTAGCATGGGAAGACCTTGAGCACCCCCTCTCTAATGCAGAAATTCCAGAGTTATTCACTGTGCAAAGACTGTCAATGTACGAATGACTGGTCTCAAACCCCAGATCCATGGTTGAAAAGAGCTGCCCCAAGCCATGGAATTTCTAGAAGGGAACAGAATTCTAAATGTTTTGCGTCTCCAACCAGAAATATATATACATAAAAAAAAGTGTGAATATGCCCTATTCCTACTATGGGTCTGCTCAGTGACAATTTACTTGGAATTTGCCATCCCATAATTAATGGATGTTGTGAAAGACCTGGATTTTCATCCATGACAATAACTGGCCACTAGCTCTCTCCTCTGTGGAACATGAATCCACCCCATCTGTTTGTGCACAGCACAGCCCAGCCAGGCCAGGGCACAGACACTCTGTGGGCCTGTGTGGGATCTGCTGGTGATCATCCCAACACCTGGCTGATGTCCAGGTTCATTCTAGAAAAAAATGGAAGGGGCTCAACCTCCCTGCTCCCCCGTGACATTCACTCATTCATTAAGCCCTTCGTTCAGTCAATATTTCTGGGTACTTTTTGTATGCCACAAACTTCTCTAAGCTTTGGAGATACAGCAGGAAATAGAAGACAACAAAGGGTGAAAAAGATAAAGGAAGAAGGCCAGTGGTTCTTTATCGTATGTGCATTATTAAAATTATATTAGGCATTTAAAACAAACAGTGGAACCCAGTCTCCATCCTCCAGAAGTTCTGATTTACCTGGACTGGGGTAGAGACCAATATGCTTTTGCTTTTGCTTGCTTGCTTGCTTGCTTTTCTCTCTCTTTTCTTTCTTTCTCTCTTTCTCTCTTTCTTTCTTTCTTTCTCTCTTTCTTCTCCTTGTTTTTTAATGGATTAACTTCCTGGCCTCCAAGTGTGGCCTTCGAGGGAGCGAGGCTGAGGGAATAGAGCCCTTAAGGAAAAATGCTTGTTTACCTCCTTCCTGTAGGAGGACAGCCACCCCCTGGATTTTCTTCTACGTGGCAGGATATGCTCTCTTTAAAAACCCACACACAAAAACAAAAACCAAAACAACTTTTAAAAGACTCCATTTCATCCACACCTATGCTCTCCTCCAAAGCTTCAAGAAGGCGAAAGCATACAGGGGTCATGTGAGGTTTTGGAAAGATTTATGTTTTCCTTTTTCAAGATCTTTTTAGCATGCTCAAGTCCACAGAGAATCATTTCACAGATCATCAGTACTGCTTACTCACTACGATGCTAACTTCTATTCATGAACTACACAGGCTTTTGCTACTGTTCTCTTTCTCTTTTCCACAAGCCTTGTAAAGTAGCAGGGCATCTGTTCCAAGGAGGTGCTGGAGAGATAAAAAGATAGAGGCAAACGCAGGAATATTTGCTGAAAATGGGACTCTTCATTGAGTTTAACACTTAATGTGTTATGTGTTGGGTGCTTCATAGAACAGGAAACTGTATGATGTCCTGCTTTGGGTGCCTGCCCGAGCCTGGGCTCTTGTTTTGCCCCGGGGTGAATTGTCACGTTCCCTTCTGGACAGGAGATGGGGTTGCTGCAACTGGCCCTTTAAGAGCAACCAAAACGCTGGGAGTCATGGCTGAAGGCTATCAAAACTCTATGTGCCTGATTCAAGGAACAGCCCACAGATGTCCCACAGCTGACCTGGACTTATGTTCCAGCACACATCCCCTTCCCCTCCTGTATCTGTGTGTGCATGTGTCTGTTTGTCTGTGCATTTCTCTCGACTCACCGTTCCCCTAACAACCTCTCTCTCTTTATACATCCCCATTGCCCTTCTCCTTCCTCTCCACGTTCATCTCAATGGACAACAGCAGTGTGGCATGAGATTCCTAAGTACTGCGCTTCCTTATTTAGTATAATTTTATATTCATTGTTCTCAGTCTAAAGAACAGGAAAATGAAAGCTATTTCATTCATATGTTTATGCCCCTCTGATACGGTTTGGCTCTCTGTCCCCACCCAAATCTCACCTCCAATTGTAATCTCCATAATCCCCATGTGTCAAGGGTGGAACTGGGTGGAGGTAACTGGATCGGGGGGGGGCGGGGGGGCGGTTTCTCCCATGCTGTTATCATGATTGTGAGTGAAATCGCAGGAGATCTGATGGTTGTCTATCGGATGTGTTAAGGAGAGCCTCCCAAGTAGCTGGGATTACAGGCACGCACCACCATGTCTAGTGTCTGGCATTTCCCCTGCTTGCGCTCATTCAGTCCTGCAGCCTTGTGAAGAAGGTGCCTGCTTCTCCTTTGCCTTCTGCCATGATTTTAAGTTTCTTGAGGCCTCCCCAGCAATGCAGAACGGAGAGTCCGTTAAACACCTGTCCTTTATAAATAACCCAGTCTCAGGCATTTCTTCATAGCAGTGTGAGAATGGACTAATACACCCTTGGAAGTCACTAGAACCCTGGGTATGCCCCAGACCCTCTATTGTTTTTTTCCCTCTGAAAGCCAGTGATTCATCCTCTAGAGCAGATTAGACAACTGAGTTTAGGAAAGGTGCCATGCTCTAAAACGTTGTTATTCCAAGCTATTGAGATTTTTTAATTAAACTCAATTTATTTTGCCACTACCATATCTTGGGAGTACCCAAGAAGAAAGTTGAGTAATATAAGAACAAACCTTCTGATAATTCCTAGCAAGTCACATTTTCTACAACAGTATGGGGCCCCAATATACTGCATGGTTAAATATAGAACCTGTACCATTTCTGTGCCATCTACTCATTTTTGTGAGTGTGTGTGCCATCTCCTTCTCTCCCATCAGCACCGGAAACATTTGTACAACAACCACTCAAGGTAGTCATGCCAAAGTTCAGAAGATAAAGATCTCTGGATATGGTTTTACCTCAACGAACAAAACTATCCCTTCTCCTTTCCACTTCTCTAATTCCTACTCATGTTTCATTATACAGCCAGGTTCTACCTAATGTGAGGATCCAGATAATGTAAAAAGACTCCTTGGAAGCCATTAATATTGTACACTCATCCTAAGTCTTCTTGCTGTATCTCAGCTAAGGTCCCAGCTCTAAGGATACTGTGATGTATAGTGTTAAGATTCTCTTGCTGGAGTGCAGTGGTGCAATCTCGGCTCACTGCAACCTCCCACTCCCTGGTTCAAGCGATTCTCCTGCCTCAGCCTCCCAAGTAGCTGGGATTACAGGCACGCATCACCACGCCCAGCTAATTTTTGTATTTTTAGTAGAGACGGGATTCACCATGTTGGCCAGGATGGTCTTGATCTCCTGACCTTGTGATCCACCCACCTCAGCCTCCCAAAGTGCTGGGATTACAGGCATGAGCCACCGTGCCTGGCCAGTGTTAAGATTCTTAAACCAGTAAGTAAAGAAGGATGACTGAGCATAGGAGGAAGACTTAGAGGGACCTACTCCACAGAACACTTATATTTGTGTTAAGGAGAGAAAACCGACACAAAGCAAAGCAAAGTGAGCATCCTTCAGGCCTGCTCTTGCACATCTCCCAGGTAGAGCCTACCCTGACTCCCCAGGGAGCACTCTCAGTACTTCCCTCCTCTTACATGGTCTTGTGCACAGTGGACTGGTGTCAGGCATCAACGTGTCTCTCTCCTGCTGGACTAGACACTGCCAAAGAGTATGCCTTGTTTTTTCCTGTGTGCCCAGCATCCAGTATGGTGCCTAGGTCACCCCAGGCATGCACTGTTCAGTGAGTAAATGAAGGTGACAGGTAAGGACTGGAGAAGGCATAGAAGATAAGACTAGATCTAGACCACCAAACACAGACTATCCATGAGGAAGGAGGACCAGGGCGCGGTCCTGGAAAATGAACCAGTGGAAGTGAAGACACAAAGTAGAGACTGACCATGGTGTGTTCAGGAGACAGTGCAGGAAATGGCTTAATGGAAGTCAGCAGATGGAGCATTTCTGAGTAGCCAAGAGAAATCTAGAAAGATGAGCAGGTAGGAAAAAGTATAGATGATCTTATAATAAGAGACTCTTTGGAAGTGCTACCAACTGGGATGTATCCAGGTATATGCACAGAGAAGCGACGTGTGCACTTGAAGCCAAGACTAGCAGGACCTGCAGGATGGGGGACGGGGGTGGGGCATGGGGGAATGGAGAGCTGAGGGCAGGAGAGTTATGAAGGCCAAGATCAGGGTGGGAACAGTGTGGAACTAAAGGGAAGAAATCAGTAGGAGAAGCAACAGGAAGGAAAAACAAAAACGAATAGGGCATGGTGACGACTGATTTGGGGGATTAGACTGGGGGGGGAATGAATTGAGCAAGCCGTTGGCAGCACTTGTTGGAAGCCTTCAGCATAAAAATACTGACAGAATCTACTAAGTTGGAGATGGGTCTCGTGACCCCAATGCAAACCAAGTCCAGTCCTGCCTTTAACATGGGGTGTCTTTTGCTCCAAGCTCAGCTGGGGTAAGCACAGTAGCTGTGTTGCTGGGTTGAGTCCAGGCCACCCTTGGGTCTCAGGCATTACATCATGTCAGACTGCTTCCCAAGAAAGACCACTGAGTCCTCCTCCTCCAGATTACCAGAGACACTGCCAAGTTTTTCATGCACAAAGAGATAAACCTTCGAAGACATTAGATGAAACTTTGTGAGGGAAGGATATGGTTTCATGTTTTTAAAAAGTAGCTACTTATTATCATGCACAGAGAAGACAGAGGTTCACAACAGCTGCTGGTCAAGGGAAAAATTAAACAACCAACTAACCTGGCAGAGTAACACCAGGATTGATAAGAGGTAGATTTTTAAGGAATAAAATATACAGTTTCAAGTATACAATATATAGACCTTTTGTTTATTTTCTCTTCACCAGCCCCCCAACAAAAATGACATTTTGTGTTATGAATGCTAAAATTTCGCTCTGTGCACACTTGCAATGAATAGCTCATTCAAACCAAGACAGTCTTTTCAGACTAGGCCATGAACTGCAAACTGTATGAGGGCCGAGAAGATTACAAGCACTAACTCTTTCTGCAGACTTCGGTTAGGATTGTGTACATGGACCCCAAGTGCAGGTTATTTTCTCTACATTTGGCTATCAGCTTAGGAATAGAAGCTCATTACAAGAAATGCTCAAGTCTCCTTTTCTTCCTGGCACAGCTACCTCTGCAGTGAACCGAAGACCATGCAAAGTTTAGGATTTGGCCAAACCAAAGAAACATTGTGGCATTTTCATACTACGATGAAAATACAAGAGGGATCCATTCTGATGGTCGAGTTGATGGGCATTCCCATGGCCTTGCCAGAAAGACAGACTGCATCTTCAACTCTAAATGACTTCCATTGTAGTGACCATTACCTCCAAGCAGATATCCTGCCCTGATTGTCCCAATAGGGTATCCTCAAATAAGACTGGGAAGTGTCAGGGAAAACAGACTCCTTTGATATAAGTCATTTTTAGGGGGGAAAAAATCAATGTCCTAGTTTTAGTTTCAGATAAATCATGAGTCAAAACATGCTGTTTAGTTAAAAAAAAAAAAAAAAAAAAAAAAAGATTCACCATAATCAGGAAGGCAAAGCACTCCCCAAGTACATTCTAGTATGTATCTTTGTGTTTTCATGTGAGTGAGATTCCCACTAAGTCTAAAAAAGGGAGACCACCTCTTCTGTGTCCTGCCAACTCCCGCCTCTGATGGGCCCCAAACTACCAGCTGATTGTTGCTTCATCACCAGGAAGCCTCCAGGGTCAGTGGGACACCTGCTATCGTAACTAAAGGTACTCATGAGCTGTGTTCAAAGCACAGCCCTCCTGTCTCACACTCTGTCACTGTCATGATGATGGGAAACAGGGAGGCAGGGAAATTAGTTCCTTTTACCAATCTCACAGGTGATTTTGGTGAGTTGTTGGAACCAACTGTACTGAACTCCTTTTGGCCATTATTAGCTGGCATAGCTAACTGCTGCAAATAAAACTTTTTTTACATTGACATAATGTCTCATTTCAAGGAGGCATATTTTCCAGTTGATTTTCACCAACATCATAAAATTTTGGTAATTCATCTCTATGAATGTAGCAGGATGAGCAAAGGTTAACATCAACATAAGCTGAAAATCAAAGAACTGGGTAGTGAAACATAAATTAAAAGTCTGGACCATTTAAGAGGGCCATTCCCTGGTTCTTTTAAAACATGAGCACCAAGCACCAAGCCCCAAGCATGCATGCTTGCCCTCCTTTGTTCTCACTCCCCGAAGTAGGCCAGTGTGAGCCTTTGTGGTTTACATTATGTGGCTAAAGCAACTGACCATAGGTTTTTTTGTTCGTTAAGAGTGTTTTCTAAAACCGCAGATATGCATGAGTGGGGGCTGAACCTAAGATAGGTTTTCTTCTGCCTCGATGCCTACATTTAACCTCTGTGAGTGCCCCTTTTCCCTGCTTTGGACTAGGTGGTCATCAGTTCTTAATGACAGAGGTTTCACTGCAATATTCTACACATCGAGGGAACGGGGCGTGCCATCTCCGTGTTTCCTCCAAGGAGCCATAGTTCTGCAAGAAAACAGTTCCTCACGCATTGCTCAGTCACACAAGGGTGTCTGAATTCATCCAGTCACCCCTTTTTGGTCCTCATCAGTGACCTCTGCTGAAAACAACAAATGTAGGGAAAAAATAACATTTCACTATATAAAGAAAATTAAACCGGATAATGAATCTAAGACACAGTCCACCATCTATGGCAGCTGGCTTTGCCCCAAGGAAAAGAGGACTTCCAGTTCTGAAGACTCAATTGGCACCTATGAAACAGGTCTCTAAGTTAACTATTTCACAATGTGAGTGACTTCATTTAGTGAGTGAGGTTCTATTTTACCTCCCCTTCCGGTGGAAGCCGGTGGTGAAGAATGGGATGTTCATTTTCACCATTCTCCCATTCTGAGTAGCCTCATGTTCAGGCACCCCCTTGGCATATGGAAGAAAATGCTGACCCAGTTCATCTTGAATCCCCACCAGCATCTTTGACTCCAAGGTGTCTGAACAGTGAGAAAGCCACTAGGAAAACCCATAATTTCATACAATCCCTTGTGGCACTCCTCTGACTGCTTGCCTAGCTATCTTACTATATGCGGAGACTGCTGGGCCCTGGGAGGTGTCTCGGTCAGACTGGCAGCTGCCTGCATCTTCCCCCACAAATCCCATCACAGGGTCAAACTGCAAACCTGCAAATCAGCACGGACATTTTAAGAATGGACAGAATCCAATGGAGAGTTTCTCTTGGCAGCTAATGGAACCCCACAAAATTGCCTTCAGACTATTGAGTCTGTTTTATTTCTAATTAAAACAGATGCTAACTTCCTTCCTTACAGTACGTTTGCTCAAATATTGACATATCTTCTGCTAAACATTTAACTATACATAGCCAAATACATACGCAGGCACGTATATACCTATGCATATATACATACATATACACACTTGAAATTCATTTTCATTCTTTATCAGGGCTCCCTCAAAACAATAAAAGATGACCTTTGACAAATTACTTATAGCCCCATCTCATCATTTCTGGGTTTTTCTTATTCTGATACTAGTGGTTATGCCTTCCAGAGGCCTGCTTCAGGTGTGGATTAGATTTTACCTTGTGTTATTTTCATTGGCAAAACCAGAACGACGCTGTACCTCCCTCCATTCTCCCCAAATTGGAAAACAGAAGGAAAAATAAATCTCTCCGAATGTGCTATCTTAATACCACAACGATGACCGTTTTTGTTCATTTTTTTCCAGTATAATCTGTAGACTGCTTTGTTTCACTTAACATTATTTCGTGTTTTTCTATGATACTAAATAATCTCTATAATTATCCTTTTAATGGCCGCCCAGAGTGAATGTAAACCATAATTTACTTAACTGTTTACCTATTGTTAGCCATTAAGTTGCTTCCATTTTTCACTTATTTAAGTTGGAATGCACATTTTCATATCAGCCATTAATTTAAAGCAGCATGCAGAGATGGTTCTCCGTCACTAATCTAAAAATGCAGGGTTTATGTATTTACAGCTCACTTTGATTATGAAATTTAATTTGAGGGTAATTAAGACATTTATATTCCAAACAGCTCCTCGACATCTAGCTCTCTCGAGCCAAACAGGCACAACCATGACTAGCCATTTTCACCTCAAGACAGCACAGTCCAATGAATTCTAAAACACAATTTTCTTACGAAAAATAAACTTTATGAACTCCTGCTGCTTTAGAGCCAAGAGATCAGCTCCCCAAACCAGAGTCCATGGTTCTCTAGGGTGACCCAGCCAAGGCAAGCCATCATGAAGAATCCTATTGCAGCTTCATGCTCAGTCCAGAATTCAAGGCAACATTCACTCAGTGCTCCAACACCCACTGTGTTACCGGAACTACCTGGATGTCCTTGCCTAACCAGCACCCAGATACACTGTGGGAACAAGACAAGGGCATTGCTCAGATGAGTTTCAGTTGTTTGATGTTTTCAAGTTTATCATGGATCACTTCAAGTTACAGAGTTCCTTGAGCAGGGGTAGTGGGTTAGGGCATGTGATTCAAACGGATTCAGCTGTTTCAATGGGTGTGGCCCACTAGCCTCCTCACTCTGAGCAAGTTGCAAAAAATCCCAAAATCGTGTGCCTCGGTTTCTCAATCTGCAGTATGAGGGTATCAATAGTGGCTGCCTTGTAAGGATATGATGAGGATCAAATCTAGAAAACACAACTGCTATGCATAGGGGAATGGTGACATTTGATTAGCACATAGGAGCACTTAACTGCATGCTTACTGAATGTTAATGCTACACTGTAACGTATGTACATTCACTTGCTGAATAAATGCATGAAGGAATGATGAATGAAATAGTGTGGGAGAAGGTTCCACTTGTCTTAGGGAAAGTCCTCTGTAGAATGCCCCATTTCCTTTCATAACAAAATCATTTTCTTAATGGTAATCACTGTAAGCCTTACCCTCCACCCCCAATAAAGAGCAAATGAACACCCCGAAAAGATGTGTCCACCTTAGTAATTCTTAATGTCCAGAAATTCAATTTTAAAGCTTTAGAAAATGTCATCCAGCCGTCAGAAAGAACTCATAACCTCATTTGAAGCCAAAATAAACCAGCCACAAAAATTCCTTGGTGTTTTCCCTATCAGAGAATAAGAACTCAATTACTATTACTGTTTTTTAAGTCAGCAATAACAAACTAAAGTGATTAAAAATCCTAAGTATTACCATCATTTTTTTACTAACAACGAAATGATTTTTATGTACCAGCAACCCTCTATAAAACAGAGAAGAGCTTAGAATTTTTTATTATTATTTGGCCACCAGCAATTAATTCTTCTGATTTGTTGTATTAGTTTGATGGTTGCGTCCAAGACCTAGAATATTTCTTACCCCAGCCAACTGATGTAAGAAAATTATTTCAGTGCAGTCCCTAGCAAATGGTGATGATGAATAGCATGGCAGGACAAACTTATTCAGACACACATTTTTCAGAAGTAGCAGGGAAAAGGCTGATAAATTACTAGTAAATTGCTTTTTGTAAAAATGCTCTCTCTTTCAAATTTTCCCTAGTATGAAGGTCTTCTGCAGAATGATGGCACAATACATTCTGACATACCTGGACAACAAAGGCAGTTAAAGAATGAATAGGAGATCAGAGTGAAGGTTAAGATTTAATTTTCTTATTCCACCCCCACTGCTACCCATACTGTCCCCCACACCAAGCTGTCTTGTGTGCATCTGTTTAACCTGCTGGGATAAGAATCTCTAAAAGCCATCGATGCTTTCTCCTGAGCAGGCACGCCTTGTCCCTCCTTCCACCTATCATCTAGCCATCCCAAACGGGGCCAAGATATTGGTGCATCTCCAGTCTGTTTCTTGCCTTTTCTCTCCTCTCTAAAACTGCCCAGTTTTTCAAGTTTCAAATTGCAGCAATCTCCAAATACCCCCAGCACCTAGTAAAGCACCAAGGACTTCCTTTGCTGTCTACGCAAGCCTCACCTTTCAGGACACACTATAGGATAATCGAACAAGAGCCCGAGGCATCCAGAGGTGCAAGGGCTAATGCAGTGGTTCTCTGCCAGGCAAGACTCTGCTCCCAGGCTCATCTGGTAATGGCTGGAGACATTTCTAGTTGTCACACTGGGAGGGAGCGGTGCTACTTCTTCAGTGGGGAGAAGCCAGGGACTGCTGACCACCCTGCACCGCACAGCAAAGCCCCTCCAACAGCAAATGATCCATCCTGAAATACCAGTAGTGCCAGGATTTAGAAACTCTGGTCCCACCTAAATCAAATGCTGCAGAGATTGTTTTTTGTTGTTCTTACACATGATTACCTGTTAGTTGTTCATAGCATAATGTATGAAGAATTTGATTCCTTCACTCTTTCATCCAGTGAACAGCAGTGGAGGCCAGCAAGGTGACAAGACCAGGCTGGCCTGAGACATAGAGGTCATTTTAATAGAGGGCTAGTCATGTCACTTACTTTTAGATGGTGGCTGTGAAGTTGTCTCTTCTTCCCCCTTATGGAACCACCGTGCACCTCGGCCTGTCATGCTAACTCAGTAAGGGCTAAGGATGTGGGGAGGGGTCATGCCTCTGTCTGTTGGACAGCTGGGTCTATGAGAACAGCATGGATTCAGCGGTCCACTAAAGTAGGGTCCTGCTCCTGCCTGCGCTGCTTATTTCCTGTGTGACACCGAAAAATGACGCAACATCTCTGAACCCTAGTATCCTCCTTGAAATGGGAAGTGTAGCCTTGACCTTCAGGAACATTTGTAAGCAAGGCATTCTGTATGTGAACGAGCAGAGCATCTGGCACTCGAACCACCTCACTCCAGAAGCAGTGGCCATGCTGCGCATGTCATAGTTCTTGTGGCATTTTCCAATGAGTGCTGCCACAGGTCTCTGGGCTGGTTTTTCAGACACCCCCAGGACAGGGCACAAGGTCGGCAGCTGGGCTGGGGGCAATGTGGACGAAGTCTGTTTCTGTGCAGCTCTCACGGGCCCATGTCCATGACCTTGCCTCTCTGGGCACTCAGCTCCAGCCACTCGGGCCCCGTACACCCTCAGTGCCTTCCGTTTGACTGTTTTCTTCTCAAACACAAGGGGGGAAAAGGCGAAGCCTCACTCACAAACAACACACTTAACTCTATTTTCTTGCTTTAAGCGCAGCCATCAAATAAGTTCTTCCATGTGCAATAAACAGCTGTGAATCCGCCTAATAAAGTGAAGGCATTTTACCCCACTGGTATTCCCCGAGAGGAGTCATTGGCCACCTGCATCTTTTTAGCTGCATTTAATAATTCAGCCCAGGATGAATTTGCATGATTAACATAAAGCCTCATAGTTTTATTTGCTTTCAGAATTTAAGTACTGAAACCACCACCATTGTTTTCATTTTCGGAGGTTGTGATCACAACACAAAACTTGATTCTAGAATGAGTAATTTCTTTTATTTTTTTTTTTAAGAATTATTTTCCAGTACCACTCTCCATGGAATAAAAGGAGTTGCAAACATGGCCTTTGTAGATGCAGGGAAACCCACGTTCCTTTTAGAGCTGATGTTAACCCATGAGAAGCGACCACCCCTCGACGACTTCTCCTTCACGGTTCCCACCCAGGAGCACGGCCAACTCTCCCCCGGAATCCATAACGGCTCACGCAAATAGATTTCTTTCCGTTCCTCCTCGGAGGGCTCTCCACATTTATCTGCTCGAGACGTGGCAGCTCCAGTAAGTCTTTAAAACAGCAGCTCTCCCAGATTCCAGCAATAGATTAATGACGTCATCCTCAAAAAATAGTCAAAACGCAAACCAAATAAGTAGCACTTGGTAAACCATCTGCCTAAGAAGGGGAGTCACGCGTGTGAAAAGATAATTTGCAAAGCAGAAGAGGCAGCATCATTGGGTTTCTTGATGAATGTAGTAAAACAGGTTTGTCTAATGGGGAAACATGCATTACTGTCAAAAGGAAAGCGAGTGTATCCCACCTGGAAAAGCAAGCAGGCTTTAATATCTGAGAAGCATTTCAAGCTGTGCTGCCAGCGACTCTCAGCCCGTGTGATTTTCCTTAACATAAAGGCCGACCTCACCTGCTTAAATATAATTAGGAAACAGGCAGTCGTCGTGGTGGCTAAAAGTTTGTGCGGCCGGTGCTTGAGTGTGTATTTCTGTCCCACTGACACCTCTGTTGCTGTTTCTGAATGCAGGAACCATGGTCAGTAAGGACACCGGCAAATGCATACTCACAACGTCGGAGAGTGAAGTGGAACCCGCCGCCTGCCTGGCCCTGGAGATGAAATACGCCCTGGACCCCAACCGGCAGATTAAAAAACGGAACAAAGCCCTGCAGGTGCGGTTTAAGGATATCTGCGAGGCACAGAATGAGCAGAGGGACACACAGCTGTCCTCGGGCCAGCTGGGGGAGAAGCGGGAGGCCAAGCCCGTGTCCTGCAGAGCAGCCTACCGCAAATACATGACAGTGCCCGCACGCAGGTCCATCCCCAACGTCACCAAGAGCACAGGCGTGCAGACCTCGCCCGACCTTAAGAAGTGTTACCAGACGTTCCCTCTGGACCGCAAAAAGGGGAACCTCAAAAGCCTCCCAGCTGCAGATCCCTTTAAAAGCCAAAACAATGGGTTTCTAACAGATGCGAAAGAGAAGAACGAGGCTGGACCCATGGAGGAGGCCCGGCCATGTGGCGCGGGGCGGGTGCACAAGACCACAGCCTTGGTTTTCCATTCCAACCAACACATGAACACAGTGGACCAGCCTTTGGGGGTCAACTGCACAGAGCCCTGTAAAAGCCCGGAGCCGCTCAGCTATGGAGAAGCTGCGCTCCAAAACTCCACTCGGCCTCCATCCGAAGAGCCCGATTACCAGCTGCTCGGGAGGGCCAAGCAGGACCGGGGGAGGCCAAACTCCGAGGAGCCCGCTCCACCTGCCCTCAGGAGGGTGTTTAAAACGGAGGTTGCCACCGTTTACGCACCTGCCCTCAGTGCCAGGGCCCCCGAGCCTGGTTTGTCAGACTCTGCAGCCGCCAGCCAGTGGTCACTCTGCCCGGCAGATGACGAGCGGAGGAGAGCCACACATCTCAACGGGCTCCAGGCGCCCTCGGAAACTGCCCTGGCCTGCTCACCCCCGATGCAGTGCCTGTCCCCCGAATGTAGTGAGCAGCCGTCGCAGACTCACACCCCGCCGGGGCTGGGGAACCAGCCTAGTCCCACAGCGGTTGCTGCAGGTGAAGAATGCCAACGAATCGTGCCTCATACGGAAGTGGTCGACCTCAAAGCACAACTTCAGATGATGGAGAACTTGATCAGTTCAAGCCAAGAAACCATCAAAGTGCTCTTGGGGGTCATTCAGGAGTTGGAAAAAGGAGAGGCCCATCGGGAAGGGTATGTATGTTCACCCATGTCTTAGGAAGCTATGCAGGCTGATCACCACAGAGTCCATCTGTAGCCCCAAACCCAAGTCTGTAATGAGACTAAAGCCAGCATTTCCGTAAACAGGTCATAGTCTAAGGGCGTGGCGAGCTCCAAGGGGTCGCAGATTATTTTATGATACTAGACGTCACTGCATCCTGCACGATACGCTTTCTGGTTAATGTTCATCTTTCTGGCCTTGAATTCAAACCATACCTATGCTTAGAATGAATTGATAGACCTTTCCTTTTATTCTGCTAGGGCTAAAGGTTTATGATATTGATAATGTATAACAACATATGCCAGTCCAAAATATCTATTCTAAATAAGAAGAGAATCAGGAAGAGAAGAGGCCACAGGCCTCTTAGGAATCGTATTAGGAAGAGAAAGGAAATTTCATGTGACATTTGGAAAAGTAAATGCTGACTTGCTTATAATAAATAATTGAAATAATATTGGTATTCAGGACTGTACAAGGCTTTACATCATAGACAGTGTGTTTTCCATTCTGTACCTGGAACCCAAAGAAGCAATGGGCATTGTGAGACCAGTCCTGACTGTATATGATTAGGAGACAGATGCCCTTCCCCACGGGCTGCCCTATGTGTCCAGTGGGGCTGCAGAAAGAATGATACTAACTTCACGGCCAATACTTTATTGCGTTGATAAGACCATCTTGCACTTCATGTTTTGAAGTTTAAACTGTGCAGCAGCATCTTTAAAAACAAATGACCTAAAGGTGGGGTTTTAGTTCTTGAGCTCCCCAGTGCGGAAGCCTCCTACAGGCCGGCATGTGCTCAGCTGATACAAAGCAGCCTGTTCTACTCTGGGTCTGGGGGTTATCGGACTTCGCCTGGATTGCCGAGACCTCTCTTGCCCATTGCCCCTTGAAAGTGTCTGTGTTCCTGCTAGCCTGTGTACTGGAGGTAACATCGGAGGCAGCGCCCTGTTGCCTCATGTGATGTGCACCCTTCACTCTGCGAGCCCTGAGCCCTGGGTTTAGCAAGCTAGAAGCCAGCCTGAAATAAGCCAAGTAATGTATTTCCAGGACAGAAAACCACCTGGGCACAAAGTTTCCTTAAGAGGATTGCTGTGGCTGAGTTAGACAGTTTGCTGACTGCAAAGAATGGGGAGGAAACACCTCCTGCCTTAAGGTGGAGGCTGAGGTGAAAGGCCCAGCTCCAGCAGTGGAGAGGCTGGGGCAGGTCCTGCCCTGGGCTCTGGCTGCTCCAGCTTGGTGCAGGAGGCCTGTCTACAGCTTGATGCTCTTAAGCAAAAAGAACTGCCAGCCAAATGTACAAAAATCTTAACAGTAGATTCATAGGTAATCTAACACCATATAACATTTCCAAAAGGCCTTGTTCAATCTTGGGTTTACATCTCCATTTTCATCCCATTTCCATCAGTACAGATCCAAAAGCAACACTCATCAGGCGTGGGGTGGGGGAGACCAGTGATTTACTGATCAGTAGTCCACATTCCTGCAAAAAAATTAAAAGGTCAAACATTGACCCAGTCACTGATGTTGATATAGTTGGTAGTGAATTAAACCAGACAGCAAAAGAGAAAGATGCCAACATCTTTGGTGAAATAAAGTTCACCAAATGGTGTAAAATGAAATATGTACACTAATGTGCATACTCACAGGAGTGTGTGCCCAAAGAAGAACCTGAGAGGGCTGAACACCCACGAACACAAGAAAGGAAAACCGTACGATATATGGGAGCGCCTTCTTACACTCCTCTTAGAACAAGTATGGAAGATTGCTTTAAATAAGATCCTCAGGGTTCTCTGAGATGCCATCCATCTAGCAGTGTGGTTCTCAGTTTACTAAGACATGTCTGGGTAGGAATCTGGCACTGAGGGCTTGGGCAAGGGCTGTATGTCTCTGTGCCTTCTTTCTTCACCTGTAAGTTGAGATCACTGTCTGTCCTGCAGACAGGGGATGGAATGACATGGGGTGACCTTCTAATGTGTTCAGCCTAGTGGCAGGTGTGTCTGAATGGGTAGATGTCCACTAGTGGCATGAGTGTTGATCTTGCTGGCCAGCAATGCTGGAGCAGGGGTCTGGGGAGGACTTAGTGGTCTTGTGGGCGTCCAATGTGATGAATGCATCCCCTATATGCCCGGCACACAGGCTGCCACACAAGACTGTCCCTGAAACTCTGGAGCTGCTCTATCCAATACAGTGGCCACTAGCTGCACGTGGCTATTGAAATTCAAACTCAATGACAATTGAAACTTCACAGTCACAGCAGTCACATTTCAAATGCTCGATAGCCACATACATAAGACAGTGCAGCTACGGAACATTTCCATCATCACGAAATGTCATTCACTCCGGTATCCCAGAACATGGCACAGTGCCTGGTTCTTAAGCATCTGAGGACTTGGGCACCTTAAATCAAGACAAAGGATGGTTTTACTTTAAAATCAATCCTAGTTCAGTTGCTGCCAGCACAAGCTCACGGTGGAAGGTAGAAAGGCAGGTCTCTGTTGTGTTCCTGGGAACATTCACTTCCTCTCTCTCAGAGCCCTCTGGACTCAGATAGCAAAGAATCAAGTGCCACCTTATGGGCTCCAAAATTCAAGGCCACCTTATGGGGCCCCCTCTTGCTCAATGCCCCAGGGTCATTAATTTGGCTGAAATTCAAATTTCCCACCCGTCTTCTCCATGTCAGAACATAGGAGAGGACTGCAGCCTCAGAGACAGGCAGATAAGATGCAAGCTCATTCTCCATCCCTTCCCAGACCCTGGGTACAGCACAGAGTCCCAGGAGTGACAGCTGTGAGCAGTGGCAGCCAGCACTGGGCTGGGACATCTGGAACAACAGGCTCTGGAGGGAAGGGAAGTAGCATCTGCTGATTTCCATGGTGTAAATACTGCTACCGTGGCCAATTTCAATCTCATGAAATCCTAAAAATGTAACACTCTGCTCCACTCAGCACCCAACCAATCCCTTGAAGGGCAAGTTCTAGGACTTTAGAACGAGGGATTCACAGGGCTTACTTTATGTACCAGATCTGAACTGGGAAGTTGGTATTTTAGTTGCATCTCATGGTTTAAAAAAACAAACAAACAAAAAAAGAAAACAGGAAAATGCACTCTGTGTACACTGATACATAGTTATTATATGATACGACAATGAACTCAAATGACCAAGTTAAAATATCAGTGGAGGCCGGGCACGGTGGATCATGCCTGTAATCCCAGCACTTTGGGAGGCCAAGGCGAGTGGATCACTTGAGGTCAGGAGTTTGAGACCAGTCTGGCCAACATGGTGAAATCCCGTCTCTACTAAAAAATACAAACATTAGTCGGGCGTGGTGGCGGGCACCTGTAATCCTAGCTCCTCCAGAGGCTGAGGCAGGAGAATTGCTTGAACCCGGGAGGTGGAGGTTGCAGTGGGCCAAGATCACACCACTGCACTCCAGCCTGGGCAACAGAGCGAGACTCCATCTCAAAAAAATAAAAATAAAATCAATGGAACTTTTCTTGGAAAATATTCTAAAGCCTACAAATCAGGAGCTGGAGAACACTCTTGAAGCTGGGGAAAGTCAGTTCCTCTCCCCACTTGCCACCCCAATAAAGCATACAGGGGCTTCCAACAGAATTTCATCTGCATTCAGAAGAGTCCTAGTGAGGGCAGGCACCTCGGAGCCCATGAGTTTGAATACAAGTGACAAATCTTGCCCCCACATTTCCACACTATACTTAAGGTCTGACCTGGCCCAAAGGGGTCATGGGCCTGCTCCTTGGGAAGCCAGTATTCTTTGAATCCCGCTGATGGCCCTGGGCAATGTATGTTTCTTAGAACATGTTTATTGTAAAATCTCTTTAATAGGACTTCTTTTCACTATTGAGTTTGTCAGGCAAGTGCTTCCCTGTAGTTCTTAACCTGTGCAGGAATTTCTGTGTCACTGGCTACAACCGCTCTCAGTAGCTTCCAAATTATTTTTCGTAAGAGACTCTCCTTCATTATTTTCATTTGCTTATGTAGATTTCCAAATGGCTTCGGCAGAGAATGTTTATGGCTGAGACAGGTTAACCTCTGTGAGCTTCAATTTTGTCTGAAATCAACTAGGGGTGGTAGACACTGAAATACAGTATCTACAAAGCTCCCACTTATAACCAGCACACAGTTGGCGCTGAATAAAGGACATATCCTGTTACGAGCATTTCAGTGGGATGAATTCTGCAAGTAGGTTAGATGTGCAAAAAGTATGCAAAATCACGCCTTTTAGTCCCTTGTAAAACACTGGGGCAATTCACTAAAATCACTCTGCTTTATGCAGTGCGGGCTTGCATGAATGCCAAGAATTATCCTGCTTATTTCAGAGCTCTTAGTATTATGCTTGTGTCTTCTGGGGAAGTTCAGGGTCACACAGGCTACCTAAATAAGTCACTAATGGGAGTCATTGAAGGCTAAGAACAAGGCAAATGGGACAGTGGATTTAAAAAACCCAATCAATTATTAGAACAGTGCTAATTCACTGTAGCAGCTATGGGATTCCTGGGCAGGAGATCCTCAGACCAATGGGGTGTAGGTCTTGGTGGCTCATTGGGTAAACTCACCAGCAACTACAGTGTGGCAACCCCGACAGCGCTCTTTGCCTCTTAGATTTCCTACGCCAAACATTTAGTCTCTTGAAGTGTCCATTGGCTGGTGACAGCCTAATGATACTCTGCTATTTGGAGAAGACCAGAAATGATCGTGAGAAGCTTTACTTGAGGATATCAAGCACATGATCAGAATCTGTCACTGCCCAGAGTGAAGCAGATTCTTCTATGGGCCAGGCCTCCCTCAGCATTTGCTGGGTGTTACCTGCAGGCTTGGGGTAGGGGGAGAGAGCAAGAGGACCCCAGGCCCTTAAACATGACCAGCAGGTAGTGATAAGACCCTGAGGCTTCGGGGCTTTGTGACTTTACTAATTCAGAGCAAAGGCAAGAGTATGATTAAAAACAGAAAATCCTAAGTAACACACCAACCCAAAGAGTCTAGTACCTTGCAGGAAGGGTGGCAAACCCAGTCATTTATCACCTCCCATCATCCCTGCCACCCCATCATGGGGGCAGTTCCCTGTCAGCAGGGGTTCTGTTCATCCTCATTGAGAAAGGGTGGTTTCTTGGTGGTGTGAGGCCAGCTCTCCCAAGTCTCGGGCACACAGTGGTAAAAAAAGAAGCTAAAGGAACCCCCTGAGTTCAGGGGCTCTGTGAGGGTGCCGCTTACGGTGGTGTTCAAGACAAGGGAGAGAGGAAGAAAGAGCTGAGGGATGGAACGAGTTAATACAGACGAAGTGTGGTATCCTGTACCAAGGTTTGCTCAACTTTACCAAAAACAATGAATAGCCAACAAGTAATGGAAGGTCATGTGCACATACACATACTTAAGAGGTAAGGACTTAGTCTCATGGACATCTGTGTTTACTGCAGGGGCTCAGGGTCAGCTCCTACATGGCAGAGGTCAGCAAACTTTTCTGCAAAGGGCCAAATAGTAAATACATATTGACAGCCAGTCTTTGTCACAATGATTCAACTCTGCCATTGTATCCTGAAAGCACCCACAGAGAATCTGTATGAATGGGCATACTTGTGTTCCAATAAAACTTTATTTACAAAAACAGGTGGTAGCCAGATTTGGGCCACAAGCCATAGGTTATGGACTCCTGATATATGGTTTGTAAATACAGTGACCATATTCATACAGCTAAAAATGTTCAGGCCAGAATATGGGTGCAGGCAGTCCAAGGTGTGTGACTGCCAAGCACACCGGCCTATCATTCATTCACACATTTAGAAGGTTTCTGCCAAACATCACTGAAGTGATGGACACTGTGCCAGGCAATGAGGGGATGTGAGAGTCAAAGGAATTCGGGCCCAGCCTTTGAGGGGTTCACAGTTCATCGGCATTCAGGCTGTTCAAATATACGCTTAATTGTTCATCAGCCCATACAACCTGGGGTCCTGCTTTGGAACTCTGTGTGTGTATGACACACATATACCTAATATGTATGTATAATGTATATGACAGCATCTCTTGGAAACATGAAAAAGGTCTCATTCTCCCAGCAGCAGAAATAAAAAGCCATCACAGAACATGTTTGCGTGATGTGACTTGCGTTAACCTAGAATATTGATGCTAGATGGGTAGAAATGATATACTTGCTGTATCTTATGTCCTCATATTGACAAATCACTCAGAATCAGAGAGACCTGTCAGGGGATAAGAAATCTCTGAATTTGCTCTAATTACCAATGCCCAAACAGAATAAATACTGCATCACAATTACAGAGGAAGCATAAGGGGACTATTTAAGTTACAGAGCAGAAAGAACCCACATGGAAAATTGTGCACCGCTGCAGCAGCTGTGCATAAACGCTGAGGAATCACGAAGGTGTGGGCTTAGAGTCTGATTTCCTGGCTTCCCAGGCTCACCCCTCCAAGAGCCAAGGGGAAAGCTGGGCACAGTGAGGTGATCCCATCCCAATTTGGCTATGCACTCTCTAGCAGGATGATTAGGTTGTTCTTGCCAAAACCTACCCACTTAATAGAGATCAAAGTCTTCCACCTGGTTAGCTGAGAATGGCCCAATTTTGAGGAGAGGAGGTGGGTGACATTAGACAGTCTCTCAACAGCCTCTGCAGTCCTGAAAATGATCTTGTGGCTCTTCTCTGGAATACTGAGTGCCGTGTTCCCTGGCTCTGGCCAGATGCATCACAGAAAAGCAGGGCATTGTGAGCAGCAGAGAGAAAGCAGCGCTGAGCTGAGATCAGAAGCAAAAAGGTTGTTGCTGCCAAATGCTCTCCTGTGCCTTAGCACTCCCTATTTGAATGGCATGGAAATGTCAGCACTTCATTTTCTAATATTCTTGATAAATCAGTTTCGATGTCTCTCTCCACATTTATCATAACCCAAAACATTTTAAATCATTCCAGCCAGCTGGCTGAGGTCAGCCTCCCATGCACTTGGTTCTTCCATTTTTCCAGAGTGAGATTCAGGAGAGGGATAGGGTGGGGTGACCAGGCTCTCCACTCTGCAGGTCCTGAGATGCTGACCTTCCCTCTCCTGACCTGCGTGCACAGGCTTATTAACCCCTCTGGACCTCAGCTTTTCTCTGTAACAAACAGCTGAGAATACCTGCCTCTTGGGCTTCTCTTGGAGATGAAATGAATTATGGACAAAGAGGGTCTCAGTCCTCAGGCTATGTTTGCACTCAGTAAGTTACTACCTTTGAGGTTACTTTGCTACTGGGAAGCAACCCTCCAAGTGCTAAGATTCAGGGAGGTGAAGCCAGGGGAGGAGCTTGAACACAGGGAAGAGATTTTCTTGCTTTATTTTACAGGGTGGTGTATTTTGGGGATGGGGGGTGGTGGTGAGGATCACTAAATGGAGACATGAAGCTTTGTCTTGGTGGTTTCCAGAGAAAAGGACAGGACCAGTTCATTTGGTGTCACGGGCAGGGGAGCTGATGTAGCGTCAGGAGACCTGGATTTTGTTTTAGTTCACCCTGGCCTAGCCTCTGAGCTACATTTTTTGATATGAAAGGAACATGGTCCAAATGAGAGGAGAGGCCCTAGAGGCTCCTTTCTGCTCCAAGAACATATTCTATAGAGATGTCTGAGAACATCACAATTTCAGCCACTGCCTTATAATATTCATAAAAGTTTCGGGGCGGGGGGGAACCTCGCTGCAGATCTCCATCAATAAAAGTGTGCAATGATCCCACTGTTCTGTTTTCTTTTTCCTCTTGACACTTCATCAATTCCTTATCTCTCCCAGTACTACAAATGCTAGAGTTGGTCTCTGTCCTGCAAGGTTGCAATCCTTTGAATTGTTTTCAGGGAAGCCATTTTCTTTTCTTTTTCTGTTGAAACTAATGGCTTTTATTTATTTGCAATAGAATATTCAAGTTCGAAACCCCAAATATAAGTTATCATTTCTTTGAAATTTTGAAATGGGAAGCACATTTCATATTCTTTCTATCATTTTCTTCATTTAATTCACAGGGTCACAGCAAGCCTTTTTTATAGCTTATATTTATATAACTTTGTAAACACTACTTTTAAGTTCTTAAAAAATAATAAGGCTTTCCATCTCTAATATGAAAAATAAAGCAAAATATATTTGAAAGAATATAAAACACATTTCAAATTCTTGCTTTGGGCTTCATGTAGGTATCACACATACATGAAAATGTAATTTAAATAATCTTCCTGTGCAGAATGCCAAAATAGATTTCAAATACCTCCTCAGCCTTTTAAGTTGGTAGGTGAATAAAAGCCTCACCACCGAGCCACTAGGCAATCCAGACAGCCCATTTGCAGATAAAATGAGCAATTCAAGGCATGGCATGAACATTTATGGAATTTATGGATTTGTGTCCCAGAATTTGGATTTAAAAAAAAAATGAAATGCAAGTTCTAATTTTCAAATAATTTTAAAAACTCCATGCAATTCCTGCTAAGCTATGCAAAAATGGTTTGAGCTCTATTTCCCACTGGAGCTGAGGGAGCGTTCTAGTGAAATGAGAATCCCCATACAGATGACCTACAGAGGTCACCTATTTTGGGCACCTACAATGTGCCAGCCATTTGGTATTATCTTCTTTAATCTTTAGAGTAACAATCCAAGGTGGGAATGCCCTCCATGAGGAAGCTAGAGCTTGGATATGCTCAGTACCTTCTCCAAGGTCAAAAAGCTGGTAAGACATGTTAATGCCAGAATTCACATCTGGGCTGTCAGACCGGCCCACTCATCTTCTCTCTCCCCTGAAAATGGGGAACCAACATGAACTAATGAAAATGCAGGCATTTTTTTGGGCCGGGCGCGGTGGCTCACGCCTGTAATCCCAGCACTTTGGGAGGCCGAGGTGGGTGGATCACGAGGTCAGGAGATCGAGACCATCCTGCCTAACACGGTGAAACCCTGTCTCTACTAAAAATAAAAAAAATTAGCTGGGCGTGGTGGCAGGCACCTGTAGTCCCAGCTACTTGGGGGGCTGAGGCAGGAGAATGGAGTGAGCCCGGGAGGCAGAGCTTGCAGTGAGCCGAGATTGTGCCCCTGCACTCCAGCCTACGCTACAGAGCGAGACTCTGTCTCAGAAAATAAATAAATAAATAAGAAAATGCAGGCATTTTTTAAATTTTTTAATTTTTTTGCTAATGCAAGTCTGGATTTTCCCTTTTACTTGAAAAGGCTACAGAAGCTCCTACCCTCCCAGGCCTGGTAGGGTTCATGCCAATTCATCTTCTGGAGAAAGCATCTTTCCGGTGCTAGAGACAGCAGAGATCCCCTCATTGAGAGGGTCCCATAAATAAAGTGTATTGGGAAGGATCTGTAATCATTAACAGGAATCCTCTCTGTGAAGTAATTTCAGACAAATCAAGGCCATTGATCTTTAAGTCCAGGGATCTGGGTGCCAGGATGCAACGTCTCTCCTTGAGGAACCTGCCTGGGAACCCAGTTCACAGGCCATTTGTAATATCAGTGGTCCTTCAGAGGACCGTCACATGCCTGTCTGGCTCTTCCTTCCTCATATTGATGTCCACATCCATGTGAACAACAAACATTTGATACTGCATTGTTTGCAATGCAATATAAAAATAAACCTTAAAGATAGGCTGGAAAGAACATTCATGAAAATTGAGATCCTGGGGGAAAAAATGATCTAACAACGAGCATCCTTCAACCAAAAAGGCAGTAAAGTTTTTTCTATCAGTATGTCATTGGTTACAGCACTAGGTTATCCCCCTAGCAAAGTCTCATAACTGGACATCAAGAAATTTATAAATGATCACACCAAAATTTCAAGATTTTAGTCTTTGGCAACAAGAGCTCTGAGACATTTGTTTAAAAAGCAAATGCAAGGTCAGGCTTTTGAAACAAAGCACTAAAGCTCCAAGATGTATAAGTTCTCATTAAAAATTGCTAACTAAGCTTGATCTAAAAACACACATCAAAAGAAATTAAAGATAAAAGACTCTGTGGATATTTACCATCAGAACCACTGGCAAAAAATGACAACATTAATGCTTTCAAATTCGAACCTCTGTGACAGTACAAGAGCTGAAGAAATATGGGAGTCCTGAAGGAAAATTTGGTTTAATACAGTATACTCACATTCTTATTTTCATTCTAGTTTGATAGCCAGTGCCACCAAAATTCATTTTCATTAATTTTCAATAAATTATAGCTTAAGCTTTATCTCTCCTCCAGGAAAATAAGTTAATCAACTCGGCCTCAGCTGGAAAAAGTTGTTTTCCTTATTAATAGCTGCTCCTGGTGCCTTCTGGGCCAAATGACTTGTTTGTATCATTGTCATCATTTTGCAACTTAGTATTTCCCTGACTGCATGAATGAAGGAAGGAAAATGTAAGCTTTGCCCTGTTTATAATATAGCCAGGCAGTCCACACACAAAATAATAATTACTAGCTTTCCTGATATTTATGTTATGATTTTATATTATGAAAATATGATTAAAAGGCACTAAAGCTAAAAAATAAAAAGTCCTGCCTTAATAATAGTGTTCATCTCTGTATTTGTCCCTGTCCAAATCTGCATGTATTTCTGACAATAATAATGTCTATAAAATACTGATGCATTCCATTTTCTTCATCATGCATGATGGCTCTGTGAAAAAGGAAGCATACAAGTTGCTGGGACAGGGCTACAGAGAGGAGCAACAAAAACAAGGAGGCAGGGCCGGGAGCAGTGGCTCACGCCTGTAATCCCAACACTCTGGGAGGCCGAGGCGGGTGGATCACCTGAGGTCAGGAGTTTGAGACCAGCCTGGCCAACATGGTGAAATCCCGTGTCTACAAAAATACAAAAATTAGTGGGGTGTGGTGGCGGGCACCTGTAATCTCAGCTGCTCAAGAGGCTGAGGGAGGAGAATCACTTGAACCTGGGAGGTGGAGTTTGCAGTGAGCCCAGATCGCACCTCTGCACTCCAGCCTGGGTGACAGAGCAGGACTCTGTCTCAAAAAAAAAAAAAAAAAAAAAAAAAAAAAAAAAAAAAAAAAAGGAGGCAAATGACAGGGAAGACAAAGGGCCAAGGGAGAAAGAGAGGAGAGGGAGCCCGGCTGACCCCTGCGTCCCCTGGGACGCCACCCAGGTTGGAATCTCCCTGCTAACTGTGATGCTTTGCCACGATCCACCAGCATTGTTACCCTTTAATTCTTGATAATGAAAACAAGCATTAAAACTTCCCTAACAGCCAGAGCCTCCCCAGAATTATAGTGTCACCACATCTGGGGAGCTGCGAGGCCAATAAAAGTTAATTTGTCCACACCATCGAAAGAAAGCCACTGAGTTCATTAAGGGTGTTTCTTCCTGGAACACGTCCACCAGGATTGCTTCAGGGCAAAAAAAAAAAAAAAAAAAGGAAGGCTTTATCCAGACACGGAAGTGGGCCTGGTTTAGGTGCAAGACTAAGCTATTTATTTTCAAAACTGGGTGTCGGAAGCAGAAGACGACTGATCTTTTTTCTACTTGTTTGAGGAAATTTAAAATGGGCTAATATGAATACTATTTAGACAGACGCATCACAAAATTGTGAGAGTCCTATTTTCCCTTTCAGAAGCAAAAGGGCATGTTATCAGTTCACCCAAAAGGGCACTCACACAGACTCCTCATTCATTCACTCATTCATTCATTCACTCAAGCATTATTCAAAAGATATTTCTCAGTCATCTACTCTACTTCTGGCCCTGAGGTGGGCACTGAAAGTTTGCCCGCCCGGGAACAGACAAAAACCTCTGCCCACATTGTGTTGACCTTCTCGTGGAGGGAGACAGGGAAAGCGAAATAGCTACAGCTCCCGGTATACTCCATGGCGATAAATGTGGCGGAGAAGTCTCAAGCAGGGAGGGAGGGAGAGGTGGGAAGGAAACTGACTTTCACTGGGCATGAAAGGACCAGGCATTGCTGATGCACCTCAAGCCCCGATCTGCAGAAGTCACCAAGCTATCAGCTAGGATTGTGAAGAGGAACAAAGACATGTTCCCAGCCAGCAAAATGCCCAGTCCCATAGGACAGAGAAAGTGCATCTGATCATCAGATTCCACAGTGGCATGGTCTGCAAGAGAGCCACAAACAAGGTGCTGGGAGTGCTGCACTGAGGATGTGCTGTGCTGCCCCGGAGGGAAGAGAGAAGCCGGGCCCGGACCAAGGATGCAGGTTTGCATGCGGGTTAGAACAGTCCCATGGAAGGAGTGCTACTGTTCAGGGTTCTGTGACTCTGCTTCCTTAACCCATCAAGAATTCCTTCATTTTGGAAACAAAGGTCTTCTGGATTTTAAGTGTCTGGGGGCGAGACCTGTGTTTTATTCTTCCAAGCAACTGTTCCCCAGCACAGGCCATGCACAGTGCTGACACACAGCAAGCCCCAGATGAACTGGGACTGGCAGGCCTGGGGAGGCCGGCTCGTTATGTCGGCTCCTTTGTAGCAAAGTCCATTAAGGTCTATGATTAGAACACTAAGTAGAAATAACTAGGCTTGTTGAAAATTATCCTGACATGTTAAATGAGACCACATGGAGTTTACATGTACAGGTGATCCTTCCAGGGTTTAAATCTCGATTCCTGGCTTTAGGGGAATGGGATGTGTGTGATTCTGAGAACTTTGCCCTACCATGGAAAAAAAGTAAGGTAAAGAGAAATGGGATGAAGACAGACCCAACTCAACTTCTGAATTAGCTGTGCTCCAAACATCATTGCTAAGTAATTTGTGTTGAGGTTGCCAGGGTAGCCCTCAAAATCCTTTAATCTATATGGAGATTCAGCATTAGAATGCTATCAGATCTAACTATCATGTTCTTAGAGATATATTACTTCCAAGTTCTCACATGGGATGACAAAAATAGATCTCCCTTAAACTAATCAATTGGGACACAACTGTATACAAGAAACACTATAGAAAATGCATGTTCATATTCAGGGAGATTACACGGGTGTCTGAAAAAGAAGTATTTGCCCTTCCCCAGAAAGACATTCTAGACAAATGGAGAATACTGAGAGCTAATGGGATCAGCTTTACCACCTGACATATATCTGCAGGCGAAAGAGCTGGAGAAAAGAGAAACCAATCAGACAATATCAAATCGCATTAACGTTCTCGAAACCCATGAGTGGTGGTTATATTAAAGTAACTCTACCACAGACACTGCCTGTCCCATCATCAACGTCCTGAGCAGAAAACATGGGAGACAGTTTTCCAGAGTTTTACTTAACTGTCAGGAAAAAGCTGCTAAGTTTCTCTGGAACAGGGGTCAATCCAACCCCCATAGATCTGAGACAAAGACACCTTCTCAATTATATTTTTTCATTTGTTCCTTCATTCATCATTCCATGTACCCACAGATCTTTCTTGCCATCTCCTCTGTGACTGGCGAACAAAGAAAGATTAGCCTGCCATGACAACATGGCAAGACAGGTGTTCTGGCAGAGGAAATGGAGCAGAGGCGAGGAGAGTGGGGGAGAGCCAGCCAAAGGATCCGTAAAGAACAGCTGCTCCAGCAGAACTCTCAAAAGGTGGCAGCCGGGCAGCTGGAGAGGTGTCAACACTCACCCCTGTTCGACATCCCAAAAGCAGGGGAGAACAGAGGCAGTACTCCAAACAGCCTTGCCAGTATGGAGGGTCACAATTTGTGCTCTTCAAATTGCAACTTCAGTTTTTACCACTAACAACTTACTTTGTCTACTTGGAGATCCAAGGCCAGCAAGGATCTCATAACTGCTCAGCCTCACTTCAGCAAGTTGGATGCTGGCTGACAGATGGGTCCTATCAGCTACTGGGAAAAAGGGAACAGACAAACCATCACCAAAAGCCAGTACCGCCTTTGACTAATGAAGGGGTGATCCTGGGAGTTGGTTATGAAAATCAACTTCATATTCTTTTAGCAACCATAAATTGGCTGTTCCCTCAAATTCTAGCATTTAACAGCTCAAATGCTAAGACAATGTACTTGCGTTTCCATGAGTATATGGTGAAGTCTAAATCCACTTTAGCTGTAAACAGCTGACATCTAAAATAAGTACATGTCCGGGGCATAATCTGGCAAACTCCTGGTGAGACCTTAGATTCAGAAACAAGCCAAATCTACTGCTCAGAGTGGCTCTCAAACATAGGAGGGAATCACTGAAAACAGTGCCTTTACTACTTTTTGAAACTTAATTTCTCCCAGCAATAGTGGTGGTATCATTTTATGCCTCTAATTAATGTCACTTTGAGACTATTAAGTGAAAAAGCCCTTCAAGATGCTGACATAAATGATGGCTTAGTTATCGAGAAGAGACAGCTAGTGCACAAACCTGGGTAAGAATGCAGAAGAAAAAAACGGTTGTTGCATCCAGTAAGAAAACTGAAAGAACAAGAGAGATCAAACTTAAGAGAATAAATTAACGGCAAAAACATTTTCTTTGAGAGCAGAGACCATGCCTTTTTTATATCTGCAACAACCACCATCTCTAGCTAAGGTCCATACAGGTAAACCTAGGATACAGCCTCTGAATTGATTCAGTGTGACAATTGCCATACCCTATGTAATGAACATTTTGAAGACCACACTTAGAAGGTCATGCTTTGATTTCAGCACTATCCAACGTGCTGCTCCCTGACATGCTAGAAGCTCTGAACTGGCTGAAAATTAACAAGGCATTTAAAAGAGCAGCAAATCAACAACTGGGTCACTTGCCCTCCCCTGCACTGAGTACTGAACACATCTTCCAGGGAGGGGCCCACAGCATGCTGCTGAACTCTGCAACCAGACCAGGCACACACAAATGCCCCATCCAGTCACCCAGGAATGTGAGAAGAGAACTTTCCATTGAGAATTTAAGATCTTATGAAGGAAACAGTGTTGTGAGACTATGGCAGTAAAAACAGCACATTTACATCAATCCAATAACCCAATACTAGTACTGTAATTACTATTAGGTACTGTAAAATTAGTTTCCACTTGCTAACCATTCCTCTAGGAGATGCTTGTCACTTTCTCGGTCTTTGCTTCTAATGACAGCACAGTGAGAGACTTTTTTTTTTTTTTCTTTCCTGACCTTTTAACCAAACAATTCATGTTTTGTTATGATTGCCTCAGAGTTGTTAGTCCTGCCTCTCAGGCCCCATCTTCAAGGTCTCGGAGACACTAAGCAGAGCTTGGATATGTGGCCGGGAAGAAAGCTTGCAGTGATCTTTCTCTGACATTTCTCAACACCCTTCCTAACACCCAGGGCCCTGCTGACTTAGATCTCCCTGTGGTGTCAGCATGAAAGAGCAGATGCCGTCCAGCCCTCCCGTGCCCTGCTCCTCGGAGTCCCTGCCACCCAGGACGTGGCCATGGTGCGGCTCTCAGGCTGAGGCCGGCAGCCACCCTCCTCCTTTATCATTCCTGCAGTGGTGTCACAAAAACTGCAGCACCAGCTCTGCCATGGGCCTGCCCTTCTTTGTTTCTTTTCAAATGTCTACCCGTGATGCCCTCTTTTGCCAACGGTCCGTAAAAGGAATAACTGAAAACACGTATACCCCAAATTGTCACCAGTTTTTAAAATAAATATACAAAGGTGCATATATTCCCTCTTTTGCTATTGGTCCAAAAAGGATTAACTGAAGACCTGCATGCCCCGAATTGTCACTACTTTTGAAAATAAATTTACAAAGGTATGTATGTGTGTGTATTTACACACAAAAAAATTCAGGTATGTTATATACTTGTAAGTATACAAGTATATATATTTATTTATACATTCAGGAATTGCTGATAGTAACAACTGAAGAATTAGAGCCGATTATTATAAAGGTATAAGGTAGCTAGAGAAACTGGGGAACTGCATGCTGAGCTAAACCTGAGAGGTCCAGGCCATTACAGAGAGGTAGCCCTGACTAGAGCTCCACGCTGTGTTCTGTAAGCCAAGTTTATTTTCCTTTCTTTAAAGTAGAGCAAAGTCCTGTGAAGAAAGGTGGTTCACTACAAAACAGAAATGTAAATGACTCAAAAACTGGACTCCACAAAAACCACCTTGTAGAATTGGCTTGTCCAGATCCCTTCTGTTTCTAACAGAGCATCACCTTCTCTTTCATGCACTGTCGCAGAGTCTATGTTCTTATAGCTTCCCTATTAACAGTTCATGTCCAGGCTCCTCTAACAGGCAAGCCTACCTTGACCAAGGAGTGTTCAAAAGGCATCAAGCAAGGAGAGGTCCAGGGTCCCCAAATTGGTCCCTGGGATAAAACCCAGTTCTAGAAGGATGGGAGGCTAGAGGGTCAACAGAACAGAAAACAAAAGCACCAAAAAAAGAGAGCTCCTTGGACTTTTAACACTGTCCCTGGTGCTGAATGCGATGTTTTCCAAGCTATATGCATTGTTAAGAGAATACTTACAACTAACTGCCATGGGACGATACATAGTGAATGCCACAAAATCCATATCTACAATGAACATGCTTATCATTAGCACCCAAAGGAGTTCATATGGGGAGAAAAATGAAGACTAGAACTTTTCACAATTTATACCTGTCAGGGTTTTTGTCCACACTCAGTTGGAATTCTTTAAATAGGTAAGTGTGTTATTCTGGACTTATGAAAATACAAATATGGACTCTATGACTTGGCTACATCAACATTAACTGAACGCCCAGAAGGTACCAGGTATTGTATCACGCATGGAGTTACAAGCCTATGTATATATAATACAGGCTCCTCAAAGCAAAAGGGAAGAGTGCTTTACAAAGGTAGCAATTAATCTGCAAGACAGAAAATTTATAATTTGTGATCCAAATGTTCTTCCACTGCAGGTTTTACATCAATAACCTAAGCTTTCTCCTCTCTAAACTTCTAATCTACAAAAGATCTCCAGCCCTACTGTCACTGGAGAAGAATCTGCTCTAGCAGTTTAAAGTTTTTAGGTTGTTCTTCCTTATGGCAATGGCAATATAGAGAATCATTCAAAGTACTGTTTTCTGATGTGTTTCCAAGTTGAGAAGGAAAAAATAGGGAAATTCCATAACAGCACTCTGTGTTCCCTGTCCTGTAGAAATAACTTATCTGTTTCATCTCTATTTGGAGAACATATTCAGATGCTGCAGCCCAATTATTAATGTGACCATAAAATTATCAGTGAAGCCAAACCCTACAGCTTGGAAGCTTCAAGGACAATTAGATGGATTATGAAAGCAGTAAGCACAATGGATTACATAGTTTTAAGCCCTCTATTGAGAACACTCTCGTGCTTAATAAAATTTTAGCAGGCATACCCTGATTGACACCAGCTGCTGGCAGCTGCCTGTGAATTAACCACATGACAAGGTCAACACTTTAAATTTTATTCACAAATTAATCTCCTGCTGACATTCATGGACTCCAAACAACTGATTCCTTTAAACAAAAGAAAGATCCCAAACAAAACTTAAACAAAACCTCACCTTCATGGTAATGAAGTCCTAAAAATAATTCTCACACATGGGAGAAACATACATATATTTAGAAACTGACAGACCACCCACTGTTTTCAACTAGCTAAAAAAAGAATGACCACAGATATGTCTCCAAAGAAAACACAATGACTCCTTTGGTTCTTACCAACAAACGTCAGCCAAACCATTTCTCAGGAATTGGTGAATTGGGCTGGGTTGTAAATAAAAGAAGCAAGAGAAAGAAAATTGAGTGAAAATGATGTTATAGAAGGAGAGGATTGAGAGTAAAAGTCAAGAAGTGTTTCCATGTCATTCAACCACCTATAAGAAAAACTATAGTGGCTTCCCATTCAATTTAAAATAATGCCCAAAGGGCCTCTCATTTTATACACATGTCCTCATCTCTCCCCACTCTCACCTGCTGCATCTATTCCAGCAGCACTGGCCTTTTTTTCTGACTTGCAAACAGAGGAACATCATTCCCACTGCAGGATGTTAACACGTGACGGTCTTTGTGTTTGCAACATCCAACCCTGGGTCAACAGATGACTGACTGCTTTTTCATTACCATCCAGGTCTCACTAAAAATGTCACCTCCTTAGAGTTCATTCTAGACCAAAATACTGCTTCACAACACTTCCTTAACACTCAGCAGTATCAAAAATTAACCGTTCGCTCATTTATGCATTTATGTTGCCCTTCTGCCACTCCCACGCCACTGTGAGCTTTGTGAGGACAAGGACTCCATCTTATTCGCAAATGTCTCCTGTAGAGCCAGAAAAATGTTTCACACTTAGTATGTACTTAATAACTATTTGCTTACTGACCGTAATGGAGGAATATGTGCTTTCTACAAAGTGACTGCAGTAAAGTCTTTTCAGGAAGGGCTTTAGAAGAGCAATATCTCGGGCCAGGCATGGTGGCACACGCCTGTAATCCCAACACTTTGGGAGGCCGAGGCGGGAAGATCACTTGAGGTTGGGAGTTCAAGACCAGCCTGACCAACATAGAGAAACCCCGTCTCTACTAAAAATACAAAATTAGCCGGGAGTGGTGGCGTATGCCTGTAATCCCAGCTACTCGGTAGGCTGAGGCAGGAGAATCGCTTGAACCCAGGAGGCGGAGGTTGTGGTGAGCCCAGATTGTGCCCATTGCACTCCAGCCTGGGCAACAAGAGCGAAACTTGGTCTCAAAAAAAAAAAAAAAAAAAAAAGAAGAAGAAGAAGAAGAAGAAGAAGAAAAAGAGAAAAGAAAAGTAAAGAAAAGAGAAGAAAAGATTCAGAAAAGCAATTTCTTACTGAAGTACTCCAAGGTCCTGGAAGATTCCTCTTGTACATTTCAGGTGCCTGAAGCCTTTGTCCTCTCATTGTCAGGTTCATTGCCTATCCCAAGCTGCCAATTACATGTGGTGCAGAACACCAGCCCCAGCATACAAGCAAGGTGACAGGGAGCATCAGAAGCCTGGGGCCTAAGAATAATGAGATCCTGGACCTGAAGTGTGACTGTATGCTCCTCTGTAAGTGGGGCTAGCATAATTAGAAGGCTCAGGGCTCTAATGCAAGTGAGGCACTGGGAAACTTGGACACTGGGCAAGGAAGGAGTGTTGATGTTGATGAGGCTTGATAGACATTTCCCCTGAGGTTTAGGGCAGGAAGGTTCTATAAGCTTAGAATTCACACTTTCCTATGAGCACAAAAAGAGTGCCTTCAGAAAACTGTAAATATCCCTGGTTTCGCCCACTGTAAGAACCTAAAATTTGGATATGACTAGCACATATAGACAAGTACTAGGTACTTTCTCCTGACTGCTGGCTTATACCCACTAGCACAACACAATAGTAGAGCAGTACCTCATCTGCCACCCAAGCCAACAGTTTAACAACACATTCAGCGTGGACCGTGCCATTGCCAGCACCTGAGCTCAAGGATGGCACTGACTTCACTGTGCAAAATGACCTTGGTCAGCACTGAGCTTAGAGCCGAGCTCCAGTAGAATTAGCTGATGGAGAAAGGCTGTAAGTCTATATAGGGCAAGAGAGAAGGGAGAAGGGTGATGTCATCATGTGGAAGAGCCTTGCCATAGGGTGGACAAATCTGGAGCCAGGTGGGAAGGTGCAGGAGGAATGCATTCTTGGGGCTTGCCATGAGGAGGAAAGGGGTAAGGACTACAAAATCACCGTGTCTGGTGAGGAACAAGGGGAGGGGATAAGGCACAGGCTGTTCATCCCCCTCTCTCCTGACAAAGCCAACGGGAGAACGGAATGGCCTGCTGTGGGGTTCCAAAGGCACCTCATGTGGGAGGTGATGATGGAAAGACGATAGAGACAGCCATACTGTAATTCCAATTCTGGCTGAAATATGATGAATCACAGAAAGTGCCTGGCAACACTTTGGAGCAGAATATGGTCACTTGATCAACAAACTGCACATAACCATGAGGTCACGTCTGAGTTTTGCAAGCCCACTGAGACAATCACGGCATGTAGCAGACAATCCTTTTGTCAAATGTTGATGTAACAGACAATATAATGAGGAAAACAAAAGTTATTTTCAATTTAAAACCCATGATGCAGAGAAGTTTACACAGCAAAGGGGATAAAAAGTACTGACTAGCAATGTTGACAGAAGACCTTCTGTGCACACTGTTACTCTGGTGAGTAGCTCTGTACGTGGAAATTTGCCCCCAGAGTGTTTATAAGCTAATGCAGATGGGAGCTTTTCTCCTGCCACAAATTTAACATTCCGGTTATCATGTCTGTGCCTGGACACAAAATAATATCCAGAAAATACACATCTGCATGTTAAAAATGTCAGAGAGGAAAGGCTGGATAAAATAGGAGAAACTGTGAAGGCATGAAACACTCCCCAGCTGTTCCTACGTGGCTGGACCAAGAAACAGCCAAGGCAACTCCAGCCTGGTCCAGAAAATTCTCATCATCAACCCTTTATGTTTATACAACCTTCAACAATATACTACAGAAAGACCCCAAGATCATTATTATTAATTTTTTAATTAGGGGGGAGAATTAGCAACCTCCCCTACAAAGGCCAAAATCTGCCCGGCCTCAGGGGTCTGACAGAACTGACCAGAGAATAAAGCCAGGGAAAGTAACTCAGAAGTTATGGCAATGGGAGTAAGACATTCTAACATAAGGCTTGGCATTTTCTTCTCTAAAGAGCCAGAGAGTAAATGTTCAGGGATTTGCAGACCAAGAGGCAAAATTGAGGATACTAGAAATAGGTATTTTCATAAAAATTTTCACCATTTTATTTTCAAAAGTAAAAACTTTATTCATGGACACTGAAATTTGAATTTCGGATCATTTCCATGTGTCACAAATATTATATGCTTTCAATTTTTTTTCAAGTGCTTAAAAATGTAAAATCCATTCTTAGTTTGCTGGACAAAACCAGGCCCCGGCGGGATTTGGCCTGCAGGCCGCACTTTGCCAGTCCCAGTTGTAGCAGGACAGGTGGGGTAGAGCAAACATAAGCCATGGAGTCAGCATATGTGTATGTGGTTGGTTTTTCCTCAAAGTTTCTTTAAAACACCATAAATCTGCATTGAAACATCCCACATTCCCTGTGCTTATAACGAAATCATATTATTTACTTCATCCAGGAGCTTATGTTCACTTCTAAATTTAATTTAAATATCATCTTAGCTGTAGGTGTTGCATTGGTTTTGTACAACGAAAGCAGAGACAGGAGCAAACTGGGAAGCATGCATTAATCAATTTCCATGACCATGATGAGCTTGGCATTGGGAAGGCATTTGATTTGAGGCATCTGCTCTATAAAGCCAGTGACCCCCAGCCACCGCTTGTAATGCTCTCCTGTTCTTATCTTGTAGGCTTTCATATCGGACGGGGCAAGACACAGCTAATTGTGACACATGCAGGAACAGTGCATGTATTATCTATAGGTATGTTAACATTCTCCTCTTCCCACTTTCTTATTATGAGTGACAAATGATGTTTACCCACAAATGCAAGAACGATCTGGGGCCATGCTGGGATGATTCTATCAGACAAAAAGTGAAGGACCTTACTTGACTGTAATTCTAAGCTACCTCTAAATACCCCACCCCAAGTATAGAACCGTGGGATGTAGGAGAGCTTGAACCCATTTATCTTGCAAATGTATCTTAGTGGTTTCAAGAATTGGTATAAGTTTGATGGCTTGCTCCCTTGGAATCGATAGGTGTGAGCCCTGGGCTCTGTGTTCTGGAAAGGCTGTAAAACATAGGCCCTTCAGAGGGTATAGATCAAAGGCTTGAAAGCACACCGTATGTGCTAGGAATACCATGGAAAGACCTGGGCTGCTCACACCAAATGTGGAATTTCATTTCCTGGGAACTCTCGAGGATTGTGCTGCCTGCCTGTCTCCGGGCAGAATCCCTGCTCCAGAGCCCCTACAGCTGTTCCTTGTGGTTTTTAATTTGAAGTTTGTTTATATGACTGACATCAACAAGAATACAGCAGAAACTCCCAACAGGAAGAAGCTGTGTTTGGCCTGCATCAGTAATTTAGGATTTTAAGATATAGTCAAAACCTTCAGAAGGATGGCTATCCTTTTTTCTTTTCTTTTTGCAAATGTAATTTTTCACAAACAAAATATAAAAGCGGTGAGAAATGTTATGAGTAAGTTCTTTTTCTAAAGTTTAGACTGGAGAATAATTTTAGTGATCCACCAAATTATCAAAAAACAATTACCAAACCAAAAAACCCTCTAAAAAGTTATTCAAAGTTACTGTCCTCTGCATTAAGAACACAGACATGGGGAGAGCAAAGAGGCTTGAGGCTACACAATCTTCAACCCATCAGGGTTCTCTCCCAAGGGAAAGCCTAGACCTGGCCGTCCATGCCTCCGATCCAGACAGAGCATCCCAGATAGGGCCCAGGTTCCTTAAAAGCAAAAGCAAAGCTGGGTCACCTGGAGACCTTGTCTGGGAGGAGGCAGAAGAAACCACAGGTAGAGATAGGCACCGAAGGCCACATCAGCACATTCCTTAACCTCAGAGGTTCTGAACCAATGGGCCATTTGCAAAGTCTGGAAGGAGACGTTTTCAGTTGCCACAACTGAGGAGCTGCTGCCGGTTATGCAGCAGGTAGAGGCCAGGAATGCTGCTGACATCCTATGCTGCCTGCACAGGGCAACCCCCACAACCAAGAGCTATCCAGTCCCAAATGTCAATAGTGCTGAGGTTGAGAAAGCCTACCTTACTGAAACCACCCCCACCTTAGAGTGTTGTAAGAGGCACACACAAGCTGGTAAGGCCTCCTGGCAGCAGGAAGGGAGGAGGGGCCCCTGCAGCAGCCTGGCATGGCACGCCAAGCTGCTGACTGTTCTTGGCAATTGCCAGTGAGGAGGTTAAAATGAGGCATCCATGCAGGTCTTTTCTTCAACAATTCCTCCAAATTAGAAACTCAATGATAGCAACAGATCAGAGAAGTTTGCTTAATGGGAAACTTTTCACTCCACTCATCTTGCAAAAGAGAATTTTGAATCAACAACAAAGGGCTGTAACACTGACATAAAATGACCCTCCGTGAACATCAGTACGTTAGGAAGTGCAGAGTGTAGATGACCTGGCACGTACTCAGAGTTCAGCTTCTGTTAGTTTGGAAGCTAAAGCTCATACCGTCTTTAACGCAACCAAGCAACAGTGAGTCAAGACATCCAGGGTAGGTTCAGAGAATGAGCTGTTCAGCCTAAACCTACGTAATATTCTGTGGGTGATCGAAAAAAAATATATATATATATGTGAACACTGTTTAACCTAACTGAAATAATTTAAATGAACTTAGCTCTAAATCCAGAATTCACTCCTATAAAAAGTGACATTAAAAGTGACTGAATAAGTCTCTGAAGGACAGAAATCTGTCCTTTCAGGAATGACTCGAGTGGTCACTGTTTTGAACTGGCTCAAACATCACTCTACATGAATCCGAATACATCAGCCACTGGTCCACTTGCTAGAAGAACTGCGAGTGACCAAGCACCACAGGAATTTGCCAAGACTTAGGAAGACTCACTAGGTAGAGGGCGAGGCACTGTGATCGCTCTGGTTATCTCATACGAGCAGGGAAAATGCATGACTACTCATCGAGAACTTTTACTGCAGATGTGATTTTACAGACGGGTGATTTGGGTGGCATCTTCAGAAACTGAATAGAGATGTGGCCCTCGGTAGCCTGCAGACCCGACTGTCACCCCCTTATAAATGGGAGAGGCATTCTAGAAGAGGTAGTGTTTGAGGAAGAGTGGAGTTTTAGATCTTTCTTTCCTGATTTTTAAAATCACTCCCTTTGGAGTGGTCACAATGACAAAACATCCCTACAACAGCCAAACTTCTGCTACAAACAGAAGTTACACTGGAAGGCTTTTGGTCCCAGGACAGTCTGCAGAGTAATATTTCGGCTGGACTCCTGCTGCCTCCCAAAGTCTTTATTTCATTGAGTCCTGTCAATGAAATAAACTAGTGTGAAACTCAAGAAATGAACTAGTATTCAAATAAAGACTGCACTGTGACTACCAAGTGGAACATAGCTCATCAAATGCTGCTTCCTAAACTCCCTATCATGTTATAATGGAAATAATTAAAGTTTAACGATTACTCTTAAGGTGGTTATTATGTTGGATAAGAGTTTTCTGAGGTCTGCAGGAAGAGATGATAAAGGGAGTGAAAGTTCACTTCTGGTCCATTAATTGAAAAATCAATCAATGGGGAAATCATAAAAAATTGACACGTACCTAACTTAAACATGTTATTTTAATTTGAATCGCATGAATTGAAATCTCCCATTTGAATGATTTCAAGTTAGGGCAGCCTTTAGAGGTGAGGCCCAGACGTTTTCTTTGAATGTGGCACCCCCACTACAGTTTCAAATGATCTGCCATGAGCCACACCAATTTTCCTGTCTTTAAAGTGGAGCAAAGTCCTGTGGCAGAATCTGAGATCAGAATCCTTCTGAATCCATACTTGACCTGTCTCTACCTTTTTCATTGAATATTTTGTGGTACCCCACTCTTTCCAAAGCACTGAATCCACAGCAATGACTATCTTCTCATGCCTCAGTGGTTTGCATGACATTCAATAATCACATCATTTCAATAGTGAGTACTAATTGTATAAACAGGTCCAGGAACAAATCTAGCATCCTCTTGGTAAGCATGAACCTTGAGAAGTAAGGACAGAGAGTCACAGGACAAAGACAGAGAAGCCAGTTAGTTAAGGGTCCCAGCATCATGGGTGCACCACTTATGTCGTGAAAGGACAGGGCCATATGGTTAATCTAGCACATCAGCTAAGAGGGCTTATGTAATCCTATCTGACTACCAAGCACTGGTCTGTGTGATTCTGCCCTGGTGGCTGAGAGTTGCTGATACACAGGGTCACTTCCCTCAGGGTCCCACTGAGCAAAGAGAAAGGGGAGGGTGAGCAATGGGGATTGAGCTGGATGACCTCGCAGCTTGCGGTCAGTTCTGTGAGTCACCCCCAAATGTCAGAAGCTTAAGAATAGAAGTTTCTTCGGTAGAAAAGTGTTCAGAACCCAGTGAGTTCCTTGGGCAGGAGGAGTCACCTATTCAGGTGACTCAGTAGCAGTGTACATGGGTGGCCACAGCATCTCGGAAGTATAGACTCCAAGTGAGCCAGAGGGTGTCTCCAAATTTCAAAGGCTTTACAAATCTACATCCATGTCTTGTTCTCCCATGCAAACTTACAGCCAAGTCCTCCTTGAATTCCTGCATATGAATCTGTAGAAACACAATTCCAGCAGCAGGGGAAAGTATAGCTCAGGTTACAGTCCTTGCTGTCAGATCAAAGCCTGGCTCTTAGTTGCAAGGACCTGAATCCGGGAGTTCAGGAACTTTCCTGTGAGTCCCTACACCACCATTACAACCCACTTCTCCATATGCACCATGGGATGCCTGGAACACCCCGGGATTGGGTAGCTTAAAGGAATTTCAAAATAAATCTTAAAATGTCACATGACTGTGGTTGTCCCAGAGGCTTGAGAACACGTGGGGCCATCACAGCTGCCAGTGTTCACACATTGTAATGTCATACCCTGCTTTCTGGAAGGCCAAAAGCCCTGGAGGGAAATGAATTTGACCCTGCCTGTCTTGCATTTAAACACCACTTTTCACTCGAAACCCAATTACCCTCTCCGAGCAGCATAGCTATCCACCGTGTTTCCAGTAATGCCTGGCCCAGGGAGATGAAAAGGATACTGTGTTCAAGACCCGGCTGCCTGGGGCTTTAGCACCACAGGCCTGTAATAAATGGGTACCTTTGCCATGGGAGGCGGTACATATTTCTCTGTGAAAAATAATTCTGTCATGGAAATATAGAGGACTAGGGAAAAGCATCAAAAGGACAAACGGTCTTGATGCAATTTCAAGGCGGGGGGAAAACCACCAGTACGACAAGCGAAAGGTGAGAAACATCAGCCCGTGAGAGCCTGCCGCGTACCTGCAAGGTTAGGGCTGAGCTTCTCTGCCCTCTCTCTTGGGTGGGGTGTCTGTTCAGTCTCCAGGTCCTCTGGGGTTGCACTAAGGGATCATCAAGGTCCCTTCCAGATCTGAAATCCCAGGAGCTGCTTTTTACAATTATGCAAGGGATGTAACTATGGGTTTCAAGAGACTGCACAGAAGGGTAAAAGTGTGGAGAGTCACAAGGCATTCCTCAGCTGAAAAACACCTCTCCCTTATTGGCAAATCTATTGACTCAGAGCTGAGTAACACTTCTTCGGCAGAGGATTGATGGGCTTCCTCCTAGACCACTGAAACCCCAAGTACCAAACGTGATCTTTCTGACAAATTTTGAGATGGTTGACACAGCTACATCTTTTTCTAAGATGACAGACATCCCTTCGGTTGTGATGCAGACCGACTGTGCTACTCTAATTAAAACCATCTCAGCATGAAAGAAGATTAAAAGAGATTCCAGTTTCCGTTTTCTTTAGGAAAACTTTTCTGGCTTATCTTCCATATTTCTTGTCAAAATATGCCGTAATTATTTCAGAAAATGTTTTGTGGATAAATTACTAATATAATCTTTGCTCATAAGCAGCTGAAATTTCTTCTCTCCAGCCCTATTTTGGTAATTCTTTTGTCGGACTAATCTGATGAGTCACACCACGGATGATTCAGCTTTTGTTCGGATGTGGTTTCAGAAAGGAACAATGAAACATCATCGGCAAACCAGCCATTCTCTCCTTCGCTGAAATGGTTAATTTGTAACATAGTACTGCGACAAAATGGCCTGAATTCTAATGTGTACATTTTCATGAAAATAACATGGACCAACTGCAATCCAAGGGCTTTTGGAGATGAAAGCAAGATTTAAAACATAACAGGAATTCTGACTCAGATTCATTAAACAGCATCTCTCCCAGAATTTAGAATCTTCTCGTCAAGTGGTAGAATTCCTACCATCAGTTGCAAGCCCTGAGTGACCACATCCTCCCGGAGCACGCTGTGTCTGCTTCATTTCTGGATCATCACAGCCACCACACAAAGTGGCCTCAAGTGACACTAATAATTCTGCAGTGGATCAATGAGTGGGCTTGGAACCTGACTGGATGGGAACGCCACAAGGCTCCACACCACTTGTCTGACATCAGAGAGGGGGAGCTTGTGAAACGCATTGCTGTGTACTCCATGCTTTCACTGTTTGATATGATCCATGATGGTCAAGGACAGGTGGAATTTTTTTTTTTTTTTTTTTTTTTTTTTTTGAGACAGAGTCTCACTCTGTTGCCCAGGCTGGAGTGCAGTGGTGCAATCTCGGCTCACTGCACCCTCCTCCTCCTGGGTTGAAGCAATTCTTCTGCCTCAGCCTCCCGAGTAGCTGGGACTACGTGCGCGCACCGCCAATCCTGGCTAATTTTTGTATTTTTAGTAGAGATGGGGTTTCACCATATTGGCCAGGCTGTTCTCAAACTCCTGACCTCATGATCCACCCGCCTCGACTTCCCAAAGTGCTAGGATTACAGGCATGAGCCACCGTGCCCAGACAAGGACAGGTGGAATTTTAAACAACCACTTTGATAAAAATGCCTTAGCCCTTTCCATTTGGGGTCCTAAAGGGTATTAATTGAACAGGTGTTTTTCAAGGGACCTCCTAAGGACAAGTTCTGCACCAGGCCCTGGGAGACTGGGAGGAGTGTGAAGCTGCTGAAGACACCTCCATGCATGCCCCTTACCCTGGGACCCCGGGATGAGGGTAAGGACAGAGCTCTGGCGAGAGAGAGCCCTCTGTATGGAAGGTGAGAGCCACAGGTGCAAGGACGTAAAAGGCAGGCGAGGAGGAGGTGAAGGAAGCCAGGGTGCCCGACCTGGCAAAGCAGACTCCAAAGAAAACAAGATAATCGTGGAGGGAGGCCAGGTTAGGGAGGATTTGGATGGCCTCTCTAGAGCCCTCCAGGCTACGGCGTTAGGAACAACTGGCAGGAACTAGGAGGACAAACAGCCAGGGCACCCCCAAGGATGGATGGGAAACCTCGCGACCCGTGAACACTCCCCCTTAGACAGGCTGGAGAACATCCCAGTCCACCACAATCCTTGACGGCTTCTCAAGTAGGAAGCTCCAAAAGAAGGCAAGTTCCTTCCCCAAATGACTGGAGGATTTCAGGAAAGATGAGGAAAATATCTAACATTATGAGACTGAATGAAGAATTCACAAAAGTGATGGGTTGTATTTTCTCACATCATTCTTGGTAATGTATTACAACACCAATAAGACCACAAAACAGAGGGTGCAAAGAGTTCTAGATAAAATCACGCACACTGGCACTTCACTGATTCCGAGTGTATTGCAAAAAGAAAGCTGGTCAGGATAGTGCACGATCAAGACAGCCGGCAGAACCGGGCACCTCCTGACTAATGGAGACCTATTGTTAAGAGTGGTAATTGCATTTGTATGCAGAATCCGTGCCAATTCCAGCCTGTCCGGAGCCCACTTGGAGTGGAGTCTCTGCAGCCTTTGTCATTCAGCGATTATCTCTTCATGGAAGTGCCCTTTCCAGCCCTGCTTCAATGACCACCACTTGTGCATATTAAGTTCTTTAGCAGCATGAACTGAGGTGGGGGAAATTCGCCTTTTGCCTAATGTTTAGTGCTCTGTTCTTAGTATTTATGGTGAGTGACAGGGTAGGAAGATGAGAGAAAGGAATCCCTGGATAACACCTTACATACACAATGTTATTCTGGGGTAAGGAAATACTTTTGTTTAATGAAGTCAGGAAAAAAGAATGATTCTGACAGATCTCTAAATTCTTCTTGAAAATTCCCAAAGCTAATAATCCAAGTTTTTTCTTTTCTATTTGAAATCCAAAAATATATTATTTATGTCCCTCGAATATGTACGGATTTAGGTTTAGTCATTTTTACTAATGTTTAGCAATGCCTTAATTCTCTTATTTAGATGCTAGGAAACTTGTTACAGCCATTAACTGTAACTAAAACTGATTACCCATCTCAACATATTATTTGTGAAACAATTAGTTAAAATTTATTAGCAGAGAAAGGCTAATTATACTGATAGTCCCAGCCTTTGGTTATACCCCAAGGTCAAAGTTAAGGAGGCATTTACCAATGTCCAAAACAGCATGAGGGGACTACGCTGTCAGTTTCATGGGAAGATAAAGATAATTCATGTTTAGATGAGTATGGAGATTTTTCTGGGGGTAAATACGGGACGCAGTCCTGGCCACGATGTCTAGGGCTGGGTCGTATGAAATTCCATGGGGAATAGAGTGACTAGGGAATTCAGGGTGCGGGGTCCCCAGGGCAGGTTCTTCCTCACAGATAGGCGTCTTGAAAGAACCTGTTTGAGAAGGGACCTCCTGCAGGAATGCACAGGCTGACGTTTAGACCGGTCACTGGTGACACCAGATGACACACACAAGCAGCTAATGGTTTCCGTGTGTGATGAGAACTATCACTGCTACGTTTAGTGGAGATGATGCTCTCAATGGGTATCAGGATGGAGTGGGAGCTCCTGACCACATCTAGAAACCAGGGTTCCGGGCTGGTGGCCCAGGGAGGCAGGGTGGCTTTGTAGCCTTCACACCAACACTGGGAGCCCGGGACGTCACCCATGTCTCTAGACAGACGCACTCCCATCTTCAAAAGGAGACAGGCAGGCAAGGTGATGGCCCTGGGTCATGGGATCCCACTCAGGGTTGGGTTGGCCACGAGGGACTCACAGCAACCAGCTTAGAACAGGAGGACAACAGCCCTGTGTCATCTCCTTTTCAAGGCAGTTATAACACAGTTTCTGTCAAAAGTTGGAAAACTGGCTGTTCTTCACTGAGGTCAGGAACAGCAGTGTTCTGCAGGCTACGTCTCAGAAAGGACTGACTCCTCTGATTATCATGACTCGTCTTCCTGGCTTCCTAGGGGGATGGCATAAGATATGCTTCATAGACATGTGGCGGTGCTGTTAGTCATGGGGTGTCTTTCCTCATGGAGAACTTACGATGGGCAGAGGCAATCCAAATGACTTGGGTCTGCCTCTGCTCCTCGGTGGCACTATTTTATGGGATGCCAGGTTCTCTGACCCCTGTGCATCTGACCTGCCCTCAGACCCAGGCACCTAGATGAGGCTCAGGACCCAGAGCCGCAGGTGCACTCCAGAGAGTGCCACAGGTAAGATGGGCACCTAGGATGAGCTTCAGTCAAGCAAGTTCTCCAGTATGGTCACGGAAAACATCCAAGATGCATTTGGAAAGCTCAGCTCATCGTCTAACTCTAACTTTGGATCCTTCATAGTAAAATATACAGCTAGGATATCTGGCTAATGCTTTTTTAAAAAAACTATAATCATAATTTCTTGTTCATAGTATACCAGGAAAAGGGGACAGATCTTACAGTTTGAGTGTTACTATCATGGATTAGCCATTTATTCTGGTATTTGAAGCCCTACAGTGATACCATAAACATTGATTAATGCACCTACCATGTAAAATAGTGGTAAAGGAAGGATACAAAGTTACGGTGAATCATTTCTATATTTAAAGTGTTGAAAAGCCAGTTAACTACAAACCACTGATATTTTAAACTATTAGGATGAGATCCATATATATTTAATGTAGGTATATAATATAGAAATAGTATATAACAAATTCTATAGACAGAATAAATAGAATTATACAAATGTATAAATTTTAAATGAAAACAGAAAATAGGGCGGCAGCACTTTGCTGAGATTAGAAGTGAGGGGATTTGGTTCAGTTCATCAGTTTATTGTAATTCAACAAACAAATAGAGCAGGTTCAGAGCCAGCACTGTGCTAAATGCACTGCAGACAAAAGATGAATTAAACATGGTCCATCCTTCAATGAGTTCACAGACCTGGGGGAAGACAGCTACGATCCCACAGGAGACAGGCTCTCATGGAAACCTAGAGACAATGCTGCCAGAGCAGTAACTCATCCCAGAGGTGTGTGGATGAGGCAGGGGGGAGGGTGGACTTTGTTATTCTAGAAAATCCACAGAAAGAAGGAGTGACGTGTGACCTAGGTTTTGAAGGATAAGCAGGGATTTGAGAAGGAGTTTGCCAGTTTTCCTAAGGTGACTCTGGTAACTGGAGAGGGAGAGAATACAGAGAGTGAGGGAGACTAAGCTGTTTCAATGGCCAAGGAGGAAACTGCTGGAGTTCTGGACTAGAGCAGTGGAAGGTGGGCGGAGAGGAAGGACACCGGGTGTTCTGAGGGTAAATCCACTCGACCCAGGGATGCTGAGGCAGGAGGAGCAAGTTGAGCTTGATTCCAGGGTCTGCAGTCATCCAGGGAGATGAATGGGGGCTGCAGGCTGAGTCTGGAAGGACAGAGATGCAGGCTGGGGGAAAGATCTGGTTCTGGACATGCTGGATTTCCAGTGCCCCTCAGATATGCACACGGAGATGTGTTCAGAAGAGAACAACAAATATTTGGGGTCCTGGTTCTTCTATTGCCTGGCGAGGTGGCCAGGGTCACATCCATAAACCAAGGCCCAGAAAGGACTTGCCTGAATTCACCTCCCATGCAAGGGGGAGAGCCAGGCCTGGGATCCAGATCCCAACTTTTAGTTTCCTCTGGACAATGCTGGTGTTGCCCATGGCACTCACATAAAACCGGCCAAGTTGGCGCCAATGTCAGTTGACATAAATTGTTGTGCTTTGGGGACATGGCTGGTCCTACCCAAAGCTACACAATAAAAGCCAGCCCACATCCTGGTGCACCTGCCCTCCTGGGCCCAGGCCTTGTTCCAGGAGACTGCTGTGAGAAGTGGGAGCACATCTCAGCCATCACTTCACAGCCAAGCAAGCTCAGGTCCCCAAGGTGAGGTGATTTATCCACAGTGGTAGAGCCTGAGTCAGCACAGAGCCACGGTTAGCACTGGGGAAGACTCTGAGATCTAATTCAAAGAGAATTAAAGGCAGAGGCCTCTGACCTGCTGGCCACCGAGCCACATGGCCCTGTCGAGGCTAGAGACCCCAAAGACAAAGGGTTTTCTTCCCTTCCAGAAAGCAAGCTCCGGGGCACCAGATTGTCCTGCTTTTAACTCTTAACTGTTACACATGGACGACTGCAGAAGGCAACTTTAAAAATGTGTTCCTCTTAAATTATCTTGAGGATTCAGTGACAGCTTGCTAAAGAAACTGTGGCAGGGCCTGAGTATTTATAGGAGCATGAGACAAACAGAGAATAAGCTGGAGAAGCAAGAAGGATGCCGCTCTGCAAAATCACATGCGGCAGCGGGGAGAAGTGTTACTACAAAGCCTAGCACAGTCTCTGGGAAGAAAATAAAGCTTAGGTGCAGGCTGGAGAGCAGCCTGAGATGTAGGGCAGATTCTTCTTTCTTTGGAAATGTACAGAATAATCATGTTGTAAGAAAGTCCCCACACTTAAAACTTTCATTTTGAAAAGGGAAAGACCAACCAAGAAATTAAATCTACTCTCAGTTGCTTTAATCATGCATCACAGGGACTTGCCAAGAGCACAGCGAGGGCGACACAGCCCCAGGGCACAGAGTGTTTGGGTGGATGGTTCCCTTATCTGGAGGGAGAATGGAGGTGCAGGCAGCGAGAGGGCTACAAAGGTAAATCCCTACAGTCCCCAGGAATTCGTGTCTTGTCAATATCCCCAGCCATCCAGGGATCTTCCCTTCTCACCCAGCAAAATCTACAGCCTGTGTTTGACTCAGGTGTTTATAGGACAGAACACCCCGCACAGGTAAGGCTGGCCTGGCTCCAGCTGCTTCAGACTCATGCTTTGAATCTCAAGAATCAGGACTTTTTCCAGGCTGCTGCTCCTCCCCAGGAGTAAGAATTCCTCATGACATGGACACTCCCCTGCCCATGCTTTACAAACACCAGATCCCTCCAGCAGGAGGGCAGCAGCACCACCTGCAGCCTCCTGCCTCCTGAGCTGCTGGAGAGTGAGGCCTGGGAGGTTGCAAGGGGACTGTGCAAAGCCACAGCCAGAGTCCTCAGAAACCACAACAAGGTTTGGAGCCCCGGCTTCCCACGTGCCCGTGTGGCTGTAGAATGAGCCCCTGCACTGGAGCCGCCCTGGGAAAGCAGGTGCACACAGCACGTCTGGTGGCCTGGGACCGTGATGGTGCTCAGAACAAACATCACCCAGAAAACATCCAGCTAGACCTCCACCTGCTGTCCACAGGCAAGTGAAAAGGGGACAAAGTAACTCTCACGCTCCCCTTAGCACAGCGACTGTGGTAGCTGGTCACTCACAAGCAGACCCTGCTGGCCCCACCCATTCTATCCAAGATCTTACTGTAGAATCCTAGAAGACGGAAAGGAGGGGACCGTGGCATGGGAGCCAGGCTCCAAAAAGATCCTGGAGTATGTCTTGCAGAAAATGTTTCAGGATCTTCGATAAGTTCTGATAGAATAGAACCAGGCCACAGACTCCATCTGGAGTGGTTCTGACAATGCCTCCAGGCAGAGCCCTATTTGTCTGTGGCAAGGAAGGGGTCTCATTGTGGGAGGACACAGGGGAGGACACAACATAATTTTTGGCCAAAACAAAGCAGTCCAGGGCAACTGGGACTAAAAGTGAGGTAGAATTTGCTTTTTTTTTTTTTTTGTTTTAAAGACAAAGTCTCACTCTGTCACCCAGGGTGGAGTGCAGTGGCACGATCTCAACTCACTGCAACCTCCACCTCCCGAGTAGCTGGGATTACAGACATGCACCATCACACCCAGCTAAACTTTATATTTTTAGTACAGATGGGGTTTCACCATGTTGGCCAGACTGGTCTTGAACTCCTGATCTCAAGTGATCCGCCCACCTCGGCCTCCCAAAGTGCTAGGATTACAGGCATGAGCCACCGTGCCTGGCCAGAATTTGCCTTTTAAGACTCTGTTCTCATTCATTAATTCTAGCAATATTACGTAGGCAACTGCTAGGACCCAGCCCCTGCTATAGTTGCTGGAAACAGAAAGAGGATGACCGCATGGCATCTCTGATTATGGTGCCTGCATTCGAGAAGATGCATTTAGGAAGATGAAGGCAAGTAATATGGGAACGAATAATTATCTGTGGTTAGTGCAAAAACAAATAAGACAGGATGGATTGGGCAACATTTGGGAAGGTGGTCAGACAACAAGGAGGTTATGTGGACCTGAGAAACAGTGGGCCAAGGAATGCCAGCCATGCCATGAGCCCAGAAAGGCGTTTCAGGTGGGGAGAAAGTGATAATCATGAAGCTGGCAGCACCGGACAAAGATGTGGCCCCAGGTAGGGCAACCAACACTCCCACCACAGGTCTGCCGGGCAGCAGGAAGGGGAAGCTGAAGCAAGAGCCATGGGCCCTCCACCAGGCAGGCCCCCAGGCACTATCTGAACAAGCCGCTGTCTCAAATACAGAGGGAGGTCTGTGTGCAGGGCAGTCCCAGTGCCCTGGAACATCTACCGGCAGCTTTTCTCCAAGTCCACTACTCTAACCAGAAGAGCAGGTGTTGCTGCCTTTTGATCCATTTAGCTATTAAGACTAAAGGGACCTTTGTTCGATGTCAGCCAGAGTTGGCCAGACCGTTAACCTTCTGATGCTGCCTCCTCCAGTCAGGTTTCTGCTTCAGACTCAACCCAGAGACTCGGTGTGTCAAACTCAACCCAGAGACTTGGTGTGTCAAACTCAACCGAGAGACTTGGTGTGCTTCCCCAAGAAAAGTCCTTGAGCAGGAAGCAGTGTCCAGAACAATGCACATTATTCCTTCACACCTCTGCACACGTTGCCTGGCTGGTGCACGGGCGTCATCCCACACGCAGATCCACTGCAACTCACATGTGACAGATGGGGAGATGGGCTGGGGGGCGGACCTCAGGGTCAACTTGCTGGCAGGCGTTTCCAAGTGGGCACTCACAGACTCATAAGTGCCCTCTACCAAGGAACCTGCCTCTGGTTGCAGATTCCCAGGGCAGCATAATGGGGAGTGCAAACAGGAATCAACTCGACAGATAAAGTCGAGTCATTTTGTTAACAAGAACTCAGATTAGATTACTCTGTGATTACATGGTTCCTTGGTGTGATAAATTGGTTAATAACAGGATTCCCAGTGTAGTTGCTTAATGGGAATTCAATAATTACAGGTAGCCGAAATTGTACTGTTAGCCTAGGAGATGCTAGCGCCTTCTCTCTGTTCTAATAACCCAAAACCAATCTGGGGCTGTTGAAACGGTTACGATCTGGAGAACACACCTTCAATATTACCAAAGCACCTTGGTAGAATTACGCTTCTATACCTAACATACCGTATATTCACAGACTCGATTGACAGGCTCTTGTTTTCCTTGTTAAATGTCCAAGTTGAAGAGATCCCTAATAGATATCTTTATTACTTAGCTCTTGTTTCCATTATAAGATTAGTGATCAATAGATAATAATGGTACAATAATATTTAAATTGCATCTTACAGTTTAGGAGGCTCGTTCATGGGCATTTTTCAGTGGGGAGAGATTGTCACCACAATTCAGTAATTACGACAGCCTGGGAAGGAACTATTTTCTCCCCCTTGAAGTGAAAGAATTGAAGTTTAAGGAGCCCCCGACTCCCAAACCAGCATCAGGTGGAAGAGGCAGGGTGGAAACCCCATGTCCTTCTAGTGCACCACATCACGGAACTGAGGCCCGGATTTCATTAATGCAGCACAGCCTTAGACTGCACTTTTCACAACTGTCCTTAGAAGAGACTATGCCTCCATCATCACGTAGTCTGGATTAGCAAGACTTAAATTCATGAGATTTTATTCTACTTCCTATAAATTAGAGCATAACTCAAAGAGGCTCTTCGAAAAAAGGGAAAAGGATAACTTGTTTTGGGAGCAGGAGGTCACTAGCCATAAACTTCTCTGGCAATTTTTTTTTTTAATTTTTTGAGTAATATTAGAGTCACTGACAATGAGAAAAATGGAACAGTGGATTTAAAACATGAAATGGCCCATTAGATGGGTCCTGAACTTGTTTTAAAACTCCAGATAATATAGCTTGGCTGTTTCTGTCTTTCCAAAATGTCAAAATTTGTCTAGGATTAATGGTTCTCTAAATCAATAGGATTTCATGTTTATAAATGGTTTACGGTTCCACTGGTTATAAAATGTTATGAGCTCATGCATTATCATCAACGCTGAGCCTTTACTGAAATCTACTGACATTTAGTCTGGCATCCAGACCAGACATGGAAGGAGGACAGAGCGGAATCCTCCCAAGGCCTGGCCCAGAACGCAGAGGTCCCAAGGAGGGACAGGGTGAGTGGGAAGGGAAGCAGAACTCCTCAATGCAGAGATCATCACAGAAAAACGATGCATGGACCGGGGGTCCTATCCCAGCTGCCAAGCAGACCTGTTAGGACTCCAAGTTAGAAGATCAAATGTGGTCCTTTTCAAAGACATGGAGACGAGAGGGCTCTAGACAAGTTGACAGCAATTTTCGGAGAAATGCTGTAAGAAATAACATAGTTCAAAAATCATCTTTAACACCATCTTCTAATGCAAACATTATCACTGCTTGGCAAATGTGCTTCCACATTGGCTCTGTGCTTGCACGCCATGGCTTGAGTGATGGAATTTTACTTCTGTGTTGTCTTTACTGAACACTCCCCACGCTTCTCCCAAAGAAACTGTGGTTAGTAATGGCGGAGTACCGTTCAATGGTGTTGACTCCATGAACACACTATTTTCCCCAGCGTTGGGCACTATGGCCCTTATCAGATTTTCAGACAGATAAGCTTTTACAAGGAGAATGTCAGCCAAGGTCATTTCCTTCCAGAATTGTTTTAGGTGGGAGATCAGAGAAATAGATTTCTCTGATCTTGTGATACATTGCACAGGAACGGACCTTGCGTGCACTTGGTATAGATGTACTAAGGTGACCCCTGCCCACTCATACTTTTGGTTTTCTGTTTTACTCCATGAGGCCCATGTGAACAGACTGTGGACAAACAATGGGGTTATTCATATTTCACATTTTTCATTTCCACAAATACATACACCAACTGTGCACATTAACACAATATTAAAGATTCACCTACAGAAGCAAGTAAGTTATTTTCCAAAGGAAGTGAGCCTCCTTGAACTATTTCACGGGAGCACAGAGCTAAAACATAGTATATCGAATTGCTATTATTAAACCATAAAATTACATTACAAACACACACTGATCATGCCCAAATCTTGCTGACACTAAGAGGGATCTTCATATGGAAAAGATCAAATGCTAAAGTCTTCACTCTCTCTCTTTTCTAGTGTGGAGCTGGATTTTAAGCAGCAAGAAGACAAACTCCAGCCGGTTCTAAGAAAACTCCACCCTATTGAGGAAACTCAGGTCATACCTTCGCCTTACTCTCAGGAGACTTACTCCTCAACTCCCAAGCAAAAATCCAAAACTGAATCTAAAAAGCACGGAAGATGGAAACTCTGGTTCCTTTAACACTCACGGTGTCTGGAGTCTCGAGGCCGTCTTTAGAACCCACTGGAGTTTAAGTCAATACTTTTCCAAAATGAATAGGATCGAGGGAACTGTGGTGCCCATTCAGGCACCTCCCACTTCTCGCCCTGCGTACCAAAAAGGCCTTTGTACCAATAGATAATTAACAGAAGCAAGGTATTCTGTGTCACTCCTTGCCAGCTGTTCTTTGCAGTTCACTGATGTGGGATGTAAAATCTGAAATGAAACTTACGTAGTCAAAGATGATAAGTAAAAATTTTCCCCCACCCCCGATCTGCAAGTAATACATTATCAACCTGCGAGATGGCAGGCTGTCACCCTGTACACAGCTATAACTCATAATTATTTTCAAGCCTTGATTTTTTTTTTAAATAATGAGAAGAAAAAGCAAGCCTTATGTTTGCGAAGGACTTCATTTTTATGTTTCATTTTGCAAATAAGCAGGGGGCGAGTGCAATTTTCAGCACATCAAATTCCGGAGAAAGCACAATTTTTTCAAGTGGTCGGAGACCATGAATAATCTCTAAAATGTGACTATATGTATATTTGCCTTCATGTGCTATAGCGCTAAGCCAAGTGACCACATCTCAGTGTCACAACGACACCTCAAATTTAGCATCCTCTTCATCTCCAGACTTACGACATGTTTACTGCTCATTTTCCAAATGGCCAGCAGCCAGGAGTCCCCCAAAGTCAGGATATGCCTTTAATCACTGCAAGTAGACAGGGTCAGAGCTATTGGACACTAAGTTTTCTTAGATCTCATTTTTAATCTTTTGGTACCCAAAGGCCAAATAATACATTCTGGCAAGAATCTGAGAACATACATAGAGATACACGATGGATAATCCACCCACCAATAAATCACAGGCATTCTGTGCCATGGCAGACAGTGTTTTTGTGGATCGATCCTCCGAGACACTGTTAGCCATGGTAAGTGCAGCCAGACGTTATGTACAATTCGTTATGCTTTGTATTAATGGTGGAAGCCCTGACCATCTCAAAGAGAAACAGTGCGTTTAGTTTAGCTGCTACCAAGGGACAATGTCGCCTACATTTAACCTATTAGTAAGTTGTACTAAACAACATACTTAGGGGAAAGCTGTGAATCAAATGTTTTTAGGTATTTTTTAAATCAACAGTAACACTTAGAGTTCTCTCTTGATTACACATTGCAATGTAAATCTTAGTTCCTTTATTTTTTCACTCATTTCTTTGCACCTTTGCAAGTATCTTTTTATAGAAATCAAATCCCCTAGTCTATTAATGACTTTGTCTATCAATTTTTTGATTTTCACAATAGGAAGTAGGGATCTTACTTTGCCTTTTTTTTTTTTTTTGTACAACTTAAATTTTGAATAGTTTGTGAGCATACAGGAAAACCTAGTCTTGAAGTTTCTGTCCAGCAGTTTCACATCTAGTGGAGTGCTGACATGCACACCTCATTGACTAGATGCCAAACACACAGTGGCTAACCTTGGTAAAAGGATCTCACCTGCTTTTGTCAGATTGGAGCTGCTTCTTGCCATGTATTTTCCTCCTGACTCAACAGCAAATCTGTTTTAGTTCTAAGTGTTTTGATTCTACAAGGACCTAGTGATCAGTAACCAGATCGGGCCTTGAAAAAAAAATGAAGAGTATGTCGTGTAAACATTCTTCGGGGGCCAAACAACACTGCAGTTGTATGCTTTAATTTAAAACACACATGTGCACACACACATCCTCTGCGGAAACACTATATGAAGTTCGAATCCCTGAATATCAATAAAAGGAACTGAGAAATATTTTGGTGCAAGAACAATGAGGAAGTTGATCCTGTAACATGAAGGAAGTGTAACTGTTTCACGTAGACTAAATATTTAAAAATGGGTTTCATGTTTTTTATACTGTTTTTAACTAAAGTTATAAAAATGTTTCCAACAAGTTCTCTCTCCTTATGTTTTAAGAATCCCAACTATCTCAGTAAATTGAAATAAGGGTATTAGCAGTTTTCTAATTAGTAACACAAATCTGTCTAAACAAGAGGACATCCTAGTACACAAAATAATGTCACTGTTTCACACCAGTCTAGACCAAAAAAAAATAAAATTAAAATGTTCAGAGTCAAAAAGGAACTTCTGAAGATAAATTAATTCATCCCTAAAAATTAAAGTGTGTTCAAAATAGAAAAACTATTGTCAAAATCATTTCATAGTTTAATTGCAACACGTCACTAACAGATGGTGATTCTTCTCTTGGAAAGATTCAAGTAAAAACGCTGATACAAAAGCAAGGTAAAACGCACAGGGTTCCCTTATGTAGATGTACACATGGCATTGCATATAGAGATTAAATTATTATACTTGTCGTTAAGTTCTTTATTAATTTTTAAATAAAAAAATCAAAGATGTTTTATGTGGCTATTAAACTTATTTCATGGCCTCAAAAATTGGGGAACATAAAAGTAATCTAAGAAAATAATAATAAAGGAAGAATGTTTGGGCCGATAGGCATTTCATCCGGTCTGCAGAAGACAAGAGCATCGTAAGGCCTGGGCCTGACCCACCAGCCAGAGCTGGCCTGGCTTGGGGAGGGAAGGGACTGACGCTTGCCCACCTATGCACCCTGGCATGGAGTTTCACCACCGGAACACATGGTGGCATTTTAGGATGCACACAGGCTCATAGCAGGAGGTATATGAGGTTTAATTCTTAACCTCAGAAGAAATGGCTAAATACATTGAGTGTTGCCACAGTACACTGTGGCATGTAAATCTTGCCTCCATGGCCCAGGGGAGGTAGCTTCTCTCTAGATCTTCCATTGAGCACATCCCCAGCCTCAAGGGATCAGCCGCCTCCTTCCTTTCTTCTTCCCCTCCCTAGTGGGAGATAGGCTGAGCGCCTACCTCTCCTGCTGACACTAGCCTAATACTAACCCATCTGCACACGTGGGCTGGTGTTTGCCTCACCTGGACGGCCTAGGAGAGGAGAGGCCACAATGCTTTTTCCCAGTATCTGCAACCACAGAGTCCATGTGCAAGGGAGAGGGCACTGCAGACCGACACTCAAGGCTCCTGCTACCATCGCATGTTCTTCAGGGAGAAGAAGGGGATTCCTCTTCTGACACATGCAGAAAGGGAAGGAAGGCCCAATGCACAGCCCAGAGCAGACAGAGGGAGGGTTCTGTCTCATTCTATAATCATTTCTGAGCCAACTATTGGTGCTGCCTCAAAGGTCCTGTTCTACAGACACCCAGATACAATGAAGGGTGCCCACCAGTCACTCTACAAGTGTGCAACTCACTTCCAAGAAGCAGAAGTCCTGTAGTCCTGCATCTGCTCCTTCAATCTCTGACCCTCCAGCAGAAGATAAATGGGGAGGGGCTCAAAGTATGGGAAAACCTTGCTACCTTGGAAACAACTTAGGCAGTTGGCAGCATTTCCCATGTACCCTGAGAGGCAGTTAGTTATCTACAGCCACAGAGATCTGAGATGTGGCTGGACTACTGGGTGTAAATGGTGTCACAGTCATGGCCCAGCCTCAGGCAGACCAACTCCAACCTATAAACAGTCACAAGGAGGATGGCCTGCAACACTGTTTTCCTTGGAAACCACATGGGCATATCAGAACCAAGATACACAACTCTTAATTAAAACTGTGAAGACAGACCATCAAATACTGGCCTTTCCTAGAAGACAGCAAGAAAAGGAAACAAGAAAGAGGCATGAACTTTTCTATGTCATGGTGTTAGTAACACCATGGCCTGTTTAGAAAACCTGTCACTGGTGGACTCATTCCTTAGCATTTTTATCAGCAAGTGAAAGTTGATTTCATTATGAATCAGGGCAGTTTGGCTGCAGCAGTGTCACCTAAAGATCACAGCAGCTGCTTCCCACACCAGCACGTCTTCTTTGACCTACAGAAACTCTATCACTAGCATATTTGCAGGCACTGCATGTGCAGCCACTTTATTTACTGAAAGTAAACAACTCTGTGGTACAAAGATCAGAAAGAACATCCATTTCATGAACTGGCATAAAGTCATCATGCTACAGTGGATCCTATACATTTTGGTCAATGACAAGGTCATTTTAAGTTGCGCAAAAATTAACTTAAGGCAGTCTGGTTTTGCAAATATCTTTGCTGTTTGGTATGAATATGTAAGGATTGCAGAGCATATTGTGCCCATTCAACAATGTGGTTTTTACTTCTTCTGCAGTAAACCCATAGCTAGTAACCAACCTTGAAAAAATACCAGGGTCACAGGAATATGAAAACAAACCTAAAATTGCTGTAGCTGCCCCAAAGAAAAATGAACTTATAAAACCATTGGTGCACACACACACGTTAGGATGATTTTCTGAAAGCAGGCAGGTTTATTAGCAAACAGTACAATTATAGACATTTTTATGATGACTATACAAAACCCAGACACTGTCCATTTGAAACACAACATTTTTTTGCAGATGATTTTAAAATCATTTTTAAAACACATTCATACTTAAACTCTATTATAATGAACATCTCAAAATGAATGCTCATGCATGGGGATATAACATCTTTGTGAAAATATTTGGTTATGAGTCTTGGGTAAAAGGCACTATTCACTGGGAAACCAATTCTATTAATACCATTTTCCAAATGAAGGAGCATGTCAGGCCCTTATCAATCACCCATGCTCAGAGAAAGCACTGGGTTTTCACCAACAGCAAATTCCCCACCAAAGATGCTGTTGTCACAATGAAACACACCCTCCACCATCCCATCAATGTCCCCCTGAGACAGTGTTTAGAGTGGAAACAAAATAACTTCCATCACTTGTGTCTAGGGAGTCAGGATGCTCCAGTGGTGACAAGAGTTAAGTGGAGAATCCAGGCAAAATCTTCCCCTTCCCTATGCCCACTTCTGTCAATGTTCAAAGGGAATTTTTCCTTAAAAGAAGCCCACATTTTCATTTTCATGAATTAGTAATTTCCAATCCCCTCGTGTGTATCCAGGCCAAAGAAAAATGTTTAGAAGTCCTTCTCACTCGATTACATTTTTAAAGGACCCATTAAAAGAATGTAAATCTGATCATTTGAAAGAAGCAACAGCAGCGCGTATCACAGGAGACGGAAATGTTACTCATTTCAACAGCTCTCATCTCAGCCTGGAGTGCTTCTTACTCTAGGAAAAACACACACCCAATGGCTGGCCAGCCCACCTGCACACAACACAACAGCACCTATCCCAGCCGCGGTCACCTGCTCAGATCCGTGTGTGATGAGGAAAAATGCTGCTTAATGCTGAGGGCTTAGAAAGCTTCTCAAAAAGGAAGGCTGAAATAAATCCTGAAGTCTGACTTAATATAAAAATAAGTATTTCACTCCATGCTTCTACAGCATCAGACTACATCAGAGTAAAGATAAAATGACCTTTTTGTTCTGTGGCAAGGTTATTGCAACGCTTCTGTCTCTGGGCATGTGCTAGGTATTCACATGGTCTACAATTCTGCAACTGCCAAATAGAGTTGTTTTGGTTTTTTCTTAAGGATGTAATACTTCGGATCATAGCACATTATTATCCTAGGCACGAGACGCATTCCAATCACCCATTTCAAATATAATCAACTAAAGCAAACAATATACAACTGACTGCAAAGTCGAGTTTTTGTAAAATCCCACAGATAAAGAAAAGCCTTATATTGCATATCCCAATTTATCTAATTAAGTGTGAAGTTCCCCAGTTTTCTATTCCTTACATTAATAGGGGGAAGCTGTCAGGGCATAATCACATTCCCAGTTAATGCCTTATTCCGATGGAAAGAGGCCACATTTCTAGTACTGTTGTTGACAACATCATGGAATAAATCATTAAGTAAAGTATATTAATTTCAGAGTTCTTTTTAATCACTTTAATTTTTAAAAACTCATTTTCAGTGATTACTTAGAATTTTTAAGCTGATTCATAGTTACATAATTTCCACTATATTTAGCAAAAATGAGTAACACATAAAGGCTGAAATCTCTAAGATATAATGGAATGGAACAGCCTACCCAAAACAGACCTATGAACTATTTTCTACTCTTTTTCCACTCTAGAAGGTCTACTGATTAAGGTTTTTGTCCACCTTGTCAGGGATACTTTTTGCCTTGATCTTCCTCTAATCTAAATTCACAGAGCAACGACTTTAAAAAGTTAATGCACAAATCTACATTTGATGCAAATTGGAAGAGCAAGGGCAGGCATCCTAAACAGGGTAGCATTTCACTCACACTGCTCTGTTGACTCCAGAGAGGGGGCTCGTGGCTGGTTGGGGATTACAAGGTCCCACTAAACAACTCGAATTTTCAGTGGCAAACACCCTTCTTGAAAACATCTTGATGTTGTCATCACTCATTAAATGATTATAGCTTATTCAGAATTTTTTTGAGAGTCCTTTCAAGACAGCTGCATTTTATAAAAGAAACTCCAAGGATTTTTTTTACTTCTTTACAGATCTTAGAGATGGTGGAATTGGGAGGAGTCCGTTTAAGACCTCTCTCCTCTTCCCACTTTGAGGCTTCTGTTTGGGAAGATCAGGGCTGTGGAGGATGGTTCTGGAGGTGGGAAGTTTGTTCTACCTCTTCCATTCCCGGACAGTGCTTAGACCCCTATGCCAAATGCTTGATATCAATGTGGCTCTGGATAAGACCAAGCATGGGTCCTCGCTGTCACACCCCCTTCTTAGAACATGCAAGGCTTCTTCCTGAGGAACTCCTCAGGGTTCCTTAGAACACAGGGGTTCTTCCAAGCTGGAGCATCCCAAGCCCTTCAGGAAATGGGCACCTAGCTTGTGGTCTGGCCCTTCTAGCAAGGAGATCCTAGAGTTGGACCATGGATACGACATGATAGAAAATAGAAAGGTGCTTATTTCCCTGAACAGCTGTCTCCCTAAGCAGGACAGGGATCTAGGAGCAGCTCAGTCCTTTCGATGACTTCTGAAGTGGACCACGGCCATCAGCATCGTGTGCCTGTGTCTTATAGAAGGGACTGACAGCATACATGGGAACCAAATCCAGGCTGGAAACAAGTGCTGCCATGCTAGCTGTGGGATCTTGAACTGTTTCTTGTCTGTCTGCAGGGCACTGTGAGAATTAAATGAGAATCTTCCTGTTCATTATAGAGTGCATAGCACGTAAATGCATGCTCAGTGAAGAGGTGCCATTATTACTACCACACTTATTATCATGCCTGAGATAGGAGAAATTTCTCAAAGACATCCTGGACCACATGGTCTGAGAGGAGATATCATTCCCTGCAGGGTCTATTCTACCCTTTGATGAAGCTGTGAGCACATCTTATAATCTCTCCACATTCCCAGCTTCCCATCCAAACTTTATGAGCTTTTTCTGTGCCCTCTTCCCTCCAGTTTAACTGTTGACCAGTGGGCTACAAGTCAAGTGAACACACACCTAGCATAAAGACCCTAAATAAGGCTGGGCATGGTGGCTCATGCCTGTAATCCCAGCACTTTGGGAGGCCGAAGCGGATGGATCACCTGAGGTCAGGAATTTGAGACCAGCCTAGCCAACATGGTGAAACCCCAACTGTACTAAAAAATACAAAAATTATCTTGAGTGTGGTGATGTGCACCTGTAATCCCAGCTTCTCGGGAGTCCGAGGCACAAGAATCACTTGAACCCAGGAGACAGAGGTTGCAGTGAGTCAAGATTGCACCACTGCACTCCAGCCTGGGCGACAGAGCAAGACTCTATCTCAGGGGAAAAAAAAAAAAAAAAAAAAAAAAAAAAAAAGAAGACCCTAACTGGAGGCAGGATTGTGCCCCAACTAGAGACAGGACCACACCCCCTAACCAGAGACTGGACTGTGCCCCCCTGACCAGAGACAGGACCTCCTAATCGGAGAGAGAGGACCAAGACCCACTAACCAGAGACAGAACCATGTTTCCCTAAGCACAGGCAGAACCATGCTCCCCTAAACAGAGACAAAACAGTCTCATGAGACCACCTGCCTCCACTTCTACCCTCTCCCTCATCTGCCACCACCCCTGCATGCCATCATGTCATCCCCAGCCTCTCTAAGTCCGCCCATCCCAAGAGGGTCTTGGCAGAACCACACTTGGTTCAAGTTCAAGCCACATGCTCTTTGCTCTACATAAGGCCCTTTCCAGTTCCACTCCTGAGACTGTGCAGAGTGCACCTGCGGCACGACTCCAAGAAGACAGGAACGTCAGACGTCAGGGGTCAACGCTGGACATCAGGGGTCAACGCCAGACCTCAGGGGTCAACAGGTGGCTCGTGGAGTCACTGCAAATCCTTCTCCATGGGCTCAGTGCCCATTCCATATTAATGTGTTCCAAATGTGTTTCAAGACTATGAATAATTATCATGGAGAATAAGAAAAGGCAGGCAAATTTATGTTTATGTAATAATGGAAAAGTCTACTGTAAATAAAGCCAATTTACATGGAAACATTTTATTTCCTGATTCATACATGTTGTAATCCAAACTTAAAAGTGTTTAAGTTTAAACTTTAAGTTTAAACACTTTAAAAAGGAAAATGTGAGTTTAAGTTTAAACTTTAAGTTTAAACACTTTAAAAAGGAAAATCTGAACCTCACATGTGCTGAAGCTCTAAGACATGAACTGTTTCACTGGATGGAAACACACTAAGGCAGCATTTGTCCATCTGTGCGACCTGTCTGTGACGCACACGACACGGAGTCCTCTGTGGTGACACCAGACATAAAAACGCAAAGGACCCCAGTGCTCCGTTCTGACTATGCTGTCCAAGAAGACGCACATCACCTCCCTGTTCACACCCCAGATATGCAACAAGAACAACGGTCACGCACCAGGAAGGACCAGGGTGCCTTCTCTGATGTCAAGGGAAAACTCCAAAAGGACGTTTTCTCCTTTCAAGTCATTTTTTGGAAAGGATCCACCAAGATGACTTAAATGATAACATGTGCTAAATATTTTAAACATTATCCAGTCTATCTTTGATGGGCATTCAGGTTGGTTCCAAGTCTTTGCTATTGTAAACAGTGCTGCAATAAACATACGTGTACATGTGTCTGAATAAAGAAAATGTGGCACCTATACACCATGGAATAGTATGCAGCCATAAAAAAGAATGAGTTCATGTCCTTTGCAGGGACATGGATGAAGCTGGAAGCCATCATTCTCAGCAAACTAACACAGGACCAGAACACCAAACACCACATGTTCTCACTCATAAGTGGGAGGTGAACAATGAGAATACATGCACACAGGGAGGAGAACCACACACACCGGGGCCTGCTGGGGAGTGGGGGGCAAATGGAGGGAGAGCATTAGGACAAATACCGAATGCATGCAGGGCTTAAAACCTAGATGATGGGTTGATAGGTGCAGCAGACCACCATGGCACACGCATACCTACGTAACAAACCTGTATGTTCTGCACATGTATCCCAGAAATTAAAGAAAAAAAAAAAAAGGAAAGAAATTATAACCCCTTGAACCTCAAAAAAAAAAAAAATTAAACGAGATCTACTCATGCATTTTTTGCTGAAGGAAACAGACTTAAGGTAAGGGGGTGCAGAGGACAGCAGTGAACCCTGGGAAAAGGCACCATGATCAGAAACTTGATGGACTGTCTAAATTAGTAAAATATTCTTGAAAAAAATGAATAGGCTCCTGCCTAATTACTGTTTAAGAAAAACACCTACAATACATTAGAGTAGACAATAAAATAACTAAGGTGAAGAATCTCAATTACTTTTTAGGGTCCTTCATAAAATTTTATTAATGGCACCTTAAGTGTAAACACTATGGAGAAACTGCCAGAAGAATGACGACTCAGCAGAAAATACATGTCTTTTGCTATAAGTAAGTAATGAGAAAACAAGAGCCAAATGTTTCCATCTTTAAAGTTGGTTTGCTTACCCTTCAACTTTGACATTCATTTGGAAAATGAGGACATTTTATATACCAAGCTGTATCTCAACTGCTCACTACATTGCAGTATAATAAGCTATGTTCAAACAGCAGTTGGAGAAGGATGCTGTCAGCCCCAGTTAAATATCCAAACATATGTCACCAAGCACTTACAATGAGTTCAGAATCTCGTCCCATGGAAATGACGGTTCGGTTCACGGTCCGGAGAAGTTTCTCCATGATAATCTGGACGTGCCTCTGGGTTGGCCCCTGGGGAAGGACACACCAATGAACACCAACACCAGAGAAACATTAACATGCAAGCCCCAGTGGTTGTCATTGAATCCATTTACCCTGTAAAGAGTAAATCAATTATAACCCTTAATGAGATGAAAAATGGCCCTTGTCAAAGGCAAAAGCTCTCACAAAAAAACTCAGGGGTTTTTATTAATTATAGTCCATTAATGATAATTTGTTACATATATAATCATAGTAATTTAATTTAAGCAAACCTTAAAAATAAAAGAAAATCTGTTTAAACAATATAATGTTTATGATCCCTGATTAGCCCACCAATTAGTTTTCTAAAGATATTTGGCCATCTGTAAATGGAAGGCAGGCAGATAACAGTCCTAGATGGTTCTGCACGTCAAATGCAAATAACTTAAACAGTCACACAGGATAGAATGTTTAAACAGCATTTAGCAAACTATCTAAAATTCACACTGCTGTGGCATTCAGTAAAAATTAACTCTTTTATTAGTGTGGGATGCGATTGTTGATTCTTCTTCGTGAACTATGAATCTGCTTAAACACATGCTCTAGGCCCTTCCCAGCATCACCACCTCCTCTGTGAGCTTTGGCCATACAAGCTCTTACCCCAAGCTTTTCTCCAATAAAAACAGGGAAGAGCCTGAAGTGGGACCACTGGAGGCTGGCCTTTGGGTGAAGGCCTCCAAGACCTCTCCAAAGGCAATGCCCCTGTAAGAGGTGAGGTTTCCAGCATCACCAAGAACAGATTTAATCCGATCTTTTTCTTCCAGATCACTAATCAGGCTCTGAGAGAATGAGCCAGGGCTACAGCGGAGTGGGTGGCCAGGTATATGGGCGTGGTGACTAGGAGGGATTTTCAAGGTCATGCAGGAAACGGCCAGGGACAAGCCTTATCTACTTAGAAATCCTGGCCACTCTGTCCAGGGCTAGGGGCAAGGACAGACAAAGCCCTGCTTTCACCTTTCCAGGCACACCTGGAAGATCAATAGCATCATGTGTGTGCTCCAACAGGAATGGTATGTTGGGAGTGAAAGGCACAGGGTCAGACTTTTCCATATGTGCTGGCACAAACTTGCTTTTTATTTTTTCTTTCATTTTCTAGAGACAGGCTCTCACTATGTTGCCCAGGCTGGTCTTAAACTCCTGGGCTCAAGCGATCCTCCTGCCTTGGCTTCCCAAACCGCTGGGATTACAGGCGTGAGCTACTTCGCTGGGCTGGCACCAACTTCTGATTTTTAAAAAAGTCCCTGAAAGAAGCATACAATTTAGAAATGCAAAAGGAATAGGGTAGGCCAGGTGCAGTGGCTCACTGGGAGGCCGAGGCAGGTGGATCACGAAGTCAGGAGTTTGAGACCAGCCTGGCCAACATAGTGAAACCCCGTCTGTACTAAAAATACAAAAAAATTAGCTGGGCATGGTGGCAGGCACCTATAATCCCAGCTACTTGGGAAGCTGAGGCAGGAGAATCACTTGAACCCGGGAGGCAGAGGTTGCCATGAGCTGAGATTGTGCCACTGCACTCTAGCCTGGGCGACAGTGTAAGACTCTGTCTCAAAAGAAAAAAGAAAAAAAAAAAAAAGGAATAGGGTAGAGCTACAAAAGCAAAGCACTGACCTAGGGGAAGAGAGCCTGAGGGGAGGAAAAGAGCTGCTCTTCTCCTTACGACTCCCTCAGCATGCCTGGCTTTATTTATTTATTTATTTTTAACTTTGTGCATGTATTACTTTAATAAAAATAAGAAGAAAGAATGCAGATAATTAGCCAACTTTAAGCATCAAAGCCTTTTTGTCTGACCTTAAGGATGAAAATTTAGGTCCTGAGAGACATTTCGTCGAGAAGACACAGGAAATAAAGAACAATTTTCAATGCAAAAGGATAAATGTTGTAATAATCACCATATATACATAAATAAAAATAATTTAAGGGTGCAACTCTACCGAGACAAAAAGAGAGGCTAGACCTTAAAATCAAGACCTTTCATTTTTAACTGAATAAAGTTGTACTGCAAGGCAAATGGCAGGTTCAGGCAAATGGCAGGACGTCACGCACAGAGCCAACACTCACCACGTCCTTCCTGTACAGCACCTCCAGGATGTGGCTGAGCAGCTGACAGCAGGCCTCCAGGTCCTCCTGTCTCTCCAGATGGTACTTGAGCTGATCGGTCATCATGGGAAGCAGGATCTCTCTGCAGTCTACACAGGACACAGCATTGCCAGTCAGTGTGAAACCCACCAAGACGCAACTCGTGTTTGCTATAAGCTTGTCTGCCCTTTCAAGCAGTTTGCATTCACGTTGTGCAACACGTGGAACTGACATCTGGAGGGGGGTCAATTACTTGACTGTGAGAACACCGTGTCTGCTGTTATTGTAAATAATTCACATACAAACACACTTCCATGCATCTATGTGTGTATCCCAGGTAAACAGATAATAATTTGCAAGCATACATGATATATATAAACACACACACACTTATATCCCACTGTGTGCACATAAATGCAGACACAAACACACATGGGTTTTTTGTTTTTTGTTGTTGTTTTGTTTTTGAGACGGAGTCTTGCTCTGTCGCCCAGGCTGGAGTGCCGTGGTGTGATCTCGGCTCACTGCAAGCTCCGCCTCCCAGGTTCACGCCATTCTCCCGCCTCAGCCTCCTGAGTAGCTGGGACTACAGGTGCCTGCCACCACGCCCAGCTAATTTTTTTTTTTTATTTTTAGTAGACATGGGGTTTCACCATGTTAGCCACACACGGGTTTTTTAATGAATTTTCTCTAACTACAAATTCACTAATTTGCAACATTAAAAGAAATACTTCCTACAACACAAATTATTTGAATTGCAGCTTTTCTCATCTATGCCAAGGTGAGCCAAAGTATGATTTCCTTCTCCTAGGTAGAAGATGCCAATCTTGGAATGTGGCAATTTAAGGCACACAGAATCCTTCTCAAGACAGCTTCCTGGAGTGGGCTGAGGAGGAACAGGAAATGAAAAGCAGGTGCAGAGGCCCCACTCTGGGACGCATGGCTATAAAATGAAGGGATGCCATGGTGTAAGGATCAGAGGCAAAGCAGGTTTGGGTTTCCATTTGTTCTTTCAATAAGAGCAGAGGAAGGATGTTCAGAAAATAACAGAGCAACAGGGAAACAGATACAAATACAATGAAAGGTGAAATGCAATCCCTAATTGTCTCTTCCAGTTGGGAAATCCAGCTTAGCTGGAGCATCATCCACTCTCCAGCATGGACTATCTATTTACAACACCAGTTCTGTGTTTTGACACTAGCCCAGCCATTCTTGTTTCCTTTAAACGCAGAGCACAAGAGGAGACAGCAGTGCTCTAAAACCTTAAACAGACTTAGCCGGTTTTCAGGATTTTATATTTTAAGACTTACAACATTAAAGATACATTAAAACATGTTTTGCATTAATGTTTCTTTTATATAAGAAAACTATAAGCATGCAACATTGGAATGGTTCCTCTAAGTACACAGAGCACACTTAGAACTTTCCCAAGAACTACACTGTAATGAAGGACTGGGGAGCAGGCAGAGAGAAACAAAGACTGAGAAGAAACACAAACCCCTCTACTCCCCTGTCTCCAGCGGATCACATGTGGGCGGCTCATGGCCAAGGCCTTCCCCAATTCCATTTTTTGTTGATTCGCCAAGAAAGGAGTGAGAGCAACTCCATTTTTACAAGAAGTTTTGTCCAATTAATATAGGAAAATAAGAATGTACCTGTTAATTTCACAATGCCAGTAGTCAACACTTAGGCAGAAGAAATGTATGACGTGCTAAGAGCTGCACATCTTCTGGAAAGAGGCCAGGTCAGCCTCGAAGGCTGTGGTGTCTGGAATCCCACAGGAGGTCAGTGAGGGAGAGCACAGTGCCAAGATGGGCTGCCCGTGTAGGAGACTGCCCTAGTGTTAGAGCCACCCGAGAACAAAGCCAGTCTAAGAGAAATGAACAAGAAAATGACCTCATGGGAGTGAATCCAGCCTGGAAACGCTAACACATGGGACACACTATTTCCACAAATACCCCCAAATCTCAATGCCTTTCCTATAGAACCTCGATGTTTACAAACTACATCCAACTTTAGTGACTCTTGAGCTGCTGACCTTAACCACAACACAGCATCCGACGTAGGGTTTAACTCCAAATGCTCTAGCCCAGCTGGCTGGAATGCTTCCTCAGCACACCCTTATCTGAGCCCCGCCCTGCCAGCACTCTTCCTCGTGGTGCCCACCATAATATCTCCCAAATGAGTCCTCTTGCCCTTTGGCTGGAAACACATCACACACTGTGCCAACCTCAACATGGGGAGAGCCCTGGCCCAACCCTGTCACTTGGTCATCCCTAGCACTGCCACCATTCTGGAAAACAAGCTGAATTTCCAAGAAACCTCAGAGGCAGCAGTTAGAACCACTAAGACCTGAGCAGGTAATGACAGCCCCTGACAATGTGACTAAGGAAAAAAATGACTACATAAGCTTAGAAGCCGTCTTCTGAAGCAAGCTTAGGACGGACCCAAGAGAGGGAAAAGGTCTAACGGACCAGCCAGTACAGGCTGGAAGGAGGGTGTGTCCATAAGTGATTCCAGAAAATCAGAGGAACATAGCACTGGGCTCAGAAACAGCAGAGCTGGCCCTGTAGGCTCTGGTACCCAGATGTCCTGGCCTAAATTCATCCCTCACCGCACCATTTATCTGTCATGCTGGGTAGGCAGTTGTGATCTGTGCTATTCTCAGAGCTAATTGAGTGTGCTGGTCTCATTTGTTAGAATTACTCTGGTGAGAAGAAAGAGGTGTCTGTCTGTTCATCTTTGGCTGGAGGATGCTATCAACCATCTTTGGTTACCTGGTGGTAACGTTCACCATCCACCCCACCTGGAGGACTGCGCTACCTTCACCTGTTTGCTATCCAGCCTCTCCTGATGAGAAACAACAAAACTTTTAGAAATGTCACTGTCATTTTGTCCCAATACAGACATTTCATTCACTAAGCCCCCAAGAAGATGTAAAAAAAAAAAAAAAATTGTTATAACCATCCTGATAGACCAGAATCCAACTGCACCTCAGCCTTCATGACCCAGCCATCCATGGCCAGTCAAGATCAAGTGGGGAGGTGGGGCGATGTCTACTTTAACTGTCGAGACAAAATGAGATGCTGCTTGAGGAAGGACTGTGTAAAAAGCCATCCAACATGCCTCAGTGAGAGGTCTCCCCCGGCACCATCAGCATCAGGAAACTCCACCCCGACCCCAAAACAGAACCAGGTCACTGAGGAGGACCAGGCTGGCAACGAGGCTCTTTCCCTAAAGGCCAAAGGTCAGTCTGCCCATGCCAGGGATTTCAACCATGCCTCCAGGCAGAGGGTCACACAGGCTATGGCACCTTACAGTACCGTCCGTCACCTGGTCCACAGCAACCCATCCCAGGCCCCCAAAGAAAGGCAATTCCCCAGAGCCACTAGGAGAGGGTGGGAGGACCGAAGCTGAAGGCAGCAAAGCCAAGGAGTGCACCTCCCTGGTGACCTGTGATCTGCTGGCCTCAGCACAGCCCCCACTGGACCCAGGTACAGGAAGGCCTCCAATGCCCCGTTATCGGAACACTGAAATACTGATTGCTTTAATTATCTGTTCCTCCTTGCTGATATGCAATCTCCATAAGAGCAGAAGCCTTCCTATTTTTCTTAAATGGCATATCCAAGCACATAAACCAAGGCCTGATGATAGTGGTGGTATGAGTGTGTGTGTCTTGGATTAACTTGCAATTACGCACATGTGGTATCAAACTAAAGTCTGCAGTTAAAAGCAGGTCTGCCACTCTCAACCCTCAAGAAATGGTAGCTGTTAATAACAATAATACAAATATCAGTATACAAAGTCAGCCTTTTCAACTAAAAATATACAAAGAAAACTAAAGCCTTACAGCTGCACTATCCAGTACAGTAGCCACTCAGCTGCCTTCCCCAAAAGCAAAAACATAAATTTCTTAAAACCTCATTTTTTAAGGGACTTCTCTTACTCTATATTTCTGTCTACAGATAGGTTTTTTCAAGAAGTGGTGGGAGTACACGTTTTAAGTAACAGTAAGACTCTTGAATTTTGTCTTAAGATAGCAAATCAAGAGCACTGAGGAACGTATACTACAAAAACAGACAGATGGACAGACAGACGGACAGATAGACACACACACACACACACACATATACATATACCCTACAATGACCTATCTTAAAGCATGAACAGCTGTCTCTGGCAGCCAAGGAAGAGGAATCTCCTATCTTCCTATGGACAACACACCTAAATGTCCTGAATACTTTTCCCATGGACAAAATGTCATTTCTACAGGTTTGGCACTGATAGTCCCATTAGTTCCAAAACAGATGGCCTGGGAAGCCAACAAATAATCCACCAGGAGAAAAAAAAAAAAAAAGGAGGAGGGGTCTTATATTTTAAAGAAAAACACATCATCTTTTGAATACTCTGGAACAAACACTTGACCAGAAGTCCAGGAACCTGGGTCACTTTATGGGATTTGGGGAAAGCCTTTTAATCAGTTTACCCACACGTATAAAGAAATAATGCAATCCCCCCTGCTGGCTCTTTGCTTTGTATCTAGAGCGTTTAAGAGTTACTTAAACTCTCTAGGTCTTAATTTTTCTAATGTGCAAAATGGGGATGCTGTTGGTCGTCTCCCAGGTTGACTGAGAACTAAATGATACGATGTGTGTATTTAGCAAATATGAGCCTACAACAAATGGTGGTTAACAGAAGGTATAGTATTATACAAAGTCAGCTGTTCAACTAAAAGGACACAAAAGAAAACTAATACCTCAGAGCTGTGATACCCAACATGGAAACTTCTGAGCATGTGAAATCTAATTAGTGCCATGGAGGAAAGGAATTTTTAATGTTATTTAATTGTAATTAATATAAACTCAAATGTAAAAAGTGCTACTTGATTTACTTGTTAGAAACCAATGTTTGGAACAATTGGGGTATGTGAATCTCATTTTTCAAAGGTAAATTATATTCAATGATGAAAATAAAGATCAAGTGTCTGGTGAAAATTTCACATCCAAACAGAGATGTGCTGTAAGTGTAAAATACTGGACTTCAGAGACTTCATATCATAAAAAGAATGTAAAATATGTATCATTAGTAATATTTAGAGAGAATTCACGTTGCAGTGATGTTTTAGACAAAATACATTGCTAAAATTCATTTCATCAATTGCCTCATTTTTTAAAATGTGGCAACTAGAATATTTTTAATTACATACACGGCTCACATTCTATTTCTGCTGGACAGCACAGTCTCAGAGAATGCTAGAAAGCCGATGTTAAAGACCTTGTATGTGACTTCTCATTTTTATGAACTGGCATTTATTGTAAGCAGAGTCATGGCCACAGCTCTCTCTTATCAGACACCCTGTCACACGTACGTGACTCCAGGACCGCCAGTGCTTGTCAGTGCTGACTTAGGCTACGGTGACCTACGAGGAAGCTAGAATCAGCTGGCACAGCTATCCTGGTTTCCTCTGCCATGCACAGAGCTATAAAGGTAGCCAGGCTCCATGCAAATCAGCTGTGAGGATCACACCAGCCACCCTTTCACGGCCCTTCCCCAGTGTGATCCACAATGATTACAGACAGCAATAATTCAACATCTGTTCATCCTCAGCTGCAAGGGCCGAAGCCAGGATGATTAATGCTCTGGTAATGAGGACAGAGTAAAAAATATTAATCTTTATAAAAGGTATTCAATAAGCATTATCAGCTTATAAATGCCCAAGCAGAATATCTGACCATAACCCCATTACAGCTCTACATTAAAGCAAGATGCAAATACAAGAATGAATTTGTCCATTGAAAACATTCATTTTTATGAACAGAGTAATGTACTTCTTAATTTTTAGTTTGGTCACATTAAATAAATGATCCATAAAGTGCATTTAATAACTCTGTGTTACATAGAACTGAGATCCAGAATAACACTTTTCCTAAGAATTAAACAGTAAGAATCATATACATGGGGGGTGTTTGCTATTCATCTTGTATAGTCAATTGTCTTATTTTCCAACCATCTAAGAATCCTGGACCCACAGGTTTCAACATGTTCACGTGCTTTCCTCCCTCCATTCAAGTCTTCAAACAACAGAAATACAGAAGACGGTGCCGACACTGGAAGGAATCGCAGAGCCATCTCCTTAGCCCCACACTTCACAGATGTGGGAGCTGGGAGCTGAGTGAAGGGACCTTCAGGACTGCACCTCTACGCACCATCGGAGTCAGAATTATTAGATGTCTATTCCGGCCGGGCGCGGTGGCTCACGCCTGTAATCCCAGCACTTGGGAGGCTGAGTCAGGAGGACCATGAGGTCAGGAGATAGAGACCATCCTGGCTGACACAGTGAAACCCCATCTCTACTAAAAATACAAAAACAAAATTAGTCGGCCACGGTGGCAGGCGCCTGTAGTCCCAGCTACTCAGGAGGCTGAGGCAGAAGAATGGCGTGAACCTGGGAGACGGAGCTTGCAGTAAGCCGAGATTGCGCCACTGCACTCCAGCCTGGGTGACAGAGCGAGACTCCGTCTCAAAAAAAAAAAAGCCTGATTCCTCAGCTGGAGCCCCCAGAGTAAAGGACCCATGCAGGTACACGTGTGTGTAAACCTGTATGATTCAGGCATTTTTACATAACAGACGCAAAGCAAATTTTTCAAGAATCATTCTAACCTAACAAGTCATGAAAGTTAGCAGTACCAGAGAATAAATCAACATCAAGTTACCCTTGGTAGGTCACTTTTCCTTTCTGCACCTTAGTTTCCTAGTCTGTAAAATGGAGTAAACACAAATGGCCTGTACAGTGTTTCTGTTCCAAGCTGCCCGACAGTACCTTTTACGTGTTCTGACTGGAACAGGGCCACTGGGCAGAGGGCTGAAATTGTTAGAAATGCGGTAATCTGCACTTCACTCTTGAGGTATTCAGTATCATGGAATTTGAAATGAAAAGGTGACAGAGCAAGTAAAAGGGTGTTGGAAATTGGAAGGAGGGGGCACAGTAGCACGTGGACTATTGAACAACAGGAAAAAGAAGTTTGTCAAATATATGTTTTCTGGACATCGGCACAAGGCTTTGTAAAAAAGCGAGCCATCCTTTAAAGGAAGGCAGTGGGGGAGCAGATATTTTGTATCTTTTACTCTGGAAAACTAAGGATTAAACTTCCATTACTCTGTTAGTAACAAGTTGTCAGAGGGAAGAAATTAAAGAAGAGCCAATGGAGAAAAATTGCAAATGAGTCCCATTTATCAGTAGATGAAAAAATTGGCAAGATGCAAGAAAAATGCAGAAAACACTGTGTGAGAAGAATTGGTCAGGCAGGAAGTCTGTTTTCTAGGTGGAAGGGGGTACATCAAGGATGTGGCTTGTGTTAAGTTCAGAAAGAATTTACAGGGCTGTCAGTCTGCAGGCAGGATCTCACCACATGGAGGATGAGAAAACTGAGAGAGAATATACAGGGCTGTGGAATGGTGGGTATTTTTTAAACCAGGAGAATAAAGGTAGCAAAAAAACATAGGTCTTGGCCCATGTGGTCCTGCACAAACTCCCCTCCTGGTTGCTCTGACAATAAAATACATATGTCAAAACCCTATATTGTGTTGCAGTTCATCTTAGCGGAAGGACTGTGCACCCAGGGAGGAGTTTATGCCCAAGAAAAGACAGAGGTCCTAAAGCAGAACCTAGGAGACTGCATGCTGACCTGGGGCTCTTTCCACTGTCCCAGGCTAGTTACTGTAGACAACACATCATGCAGTTACAGAAATCAGCTACCAGGAGCTAGAAGAAATCATGTACTAAAGAGACTCAGGGACTTGCTTTCCTGGTGCCCAGTGTGCACATGACTAAATACAGCACAACCAACACAGTCTCTTCTCAGATCGTTCTTCTTGCATTCAACATCCAGCAACAGGAACAGAAGCCCACCCAGAAGTGACAGCAGAACTCAACAGACGATGATAAAGTTTACACCAACTATACCATAAACTGTTGGCACCACCAATTTGATCACAGATAAAGGTCCCACACAGAAAGAAGAGAAAAACTATTAAAACTCCATGAACATATAAGCACAACACTGTATACTTTATACATTTAATTTATTTGTATGTTTATTTATTCACTTATTTGTATTTTGTCTTGCTCCATATGGCATTTGAAGTAAATTCAGTTTTCAGAATGCATTACTCATATGGTGGGTGTGAAACAGTTTAAGAAAAGAGTGGGCTGATAGATTTGTAAGAAGCCACCTCCTCAATCAGCACCACGGCGGTGGACAGCTCCCTGCCAGGCTTCTGGCTGAACTCTGGTGTCCTTATCTGAGCATTGAGATAATCACTCTTTTCCAATTCTACATTTTTAAGTAGATGACTCTGAAGACTCTCAAAGGAAGCAAACTCGCTAATCAATGGTTCTGAGCACACGGAAGATATTCAATGAATTATGATGGAATTGAAACAGAAACAATTAAAAACCTGAAATTGAGTTCACCCTCCTACATTCAATAAGTCATTTCTAAAATCCTGCAGTGTTATAACAAATGGTCTTTTCAAAAACATATATAATGAAAGACAGAGAATGATATACAGAATGAGGGATGAAAAAGGTGCAGTATTACAGATAAAAAGTTTTCTCAAGGCATGAAAGAAACAGAAGAGAAAATGATGTTTACATTCCACCATTATTTAAAAGAATCAGTCTTCAGGGTTCACAGCTGGTACCGTTCATCAGAAGTCATCAGCACAACTATCTAATTAAAGTACTGCAGAATGCTATATGAGTGGTACATTAAGTGAATGTGGCAAAATTGACCCCAACCCCAATTTTTCCTTCTGCACAACATCTATCAAGTTAACAAAACTACTGCAGAGTAGCTCCAGGTTTAAGATCCCTTTCGATATATTTCTATTTTCCACAACAGTAAAGCTCAAGAGATTTTATTTTGGTTTTTTTAATCAAAAATGCTTTTATCAAAACATTAAGAAGGTATATTATGGGTTTGTTTTAAACACGCAACTTTTCTATAATTTAAGGCATAATAAGTTTATTAATAGGGTAATTTTTGAGATATAAATTTCTATCATGGATCAAATCACAATGATAATAGTGTAGAAATCTGACTTCAATATTTCCTAATAGCTAGTCCCAGTAAGTGTCTGGGATTTTGCCCTCAGATTTCAAAGGGCTGCTGTAACTAATGTTTCCACCATTAAAAAGGAGAGTTTTACTCTGCTTGATAACTAGAAGAATCATTCACCTTGAAAATAAGAATAAGGAAAATAATTTAAACTTACCAGGCTTACACTTTCAAGAAGCTCAAAAATGAAAGCAAATGAAGTTTGAAAAGACTCATGAACACTGTCTACAAGGAGCCTGTTTGCTATAGTGAAGGGAGGAGCCCCAGGAGAGCCAGGGTATGAGGGAATGGCCTCTTTCCCATTCCTACTCACTGCCAGAGTCCAACCACCAGAAAAACAACAAACAGACAAACAGAAAACTACACAGAGCAGGCTTACAGAAAAGCAATCTATCTAGAGTATCCAACTATTTGCAAGACCAAAAAGGGGTAGCCTTACCACTAAAATTTACTCTCAAAGTCTCATACTCCCATCCAAAACAAACTAAGTGAGGACAAAATGATAAGTACACAGTAAGCTCCAAAGAAAACCTGTCCACTGCTTTGGCCACTATAGAAATGGGAATATGGAAAAATTATACCTTGCAAAGCAAATAAGTGACCCAGTGTTCATTGAAACAAGCTTCCCAAAGCTGTCAGATTCAGAAAGGGGCCAGTGGGTGAGAGAACATGTTCCAGGAGGACTCTCACCTCCACTCAAAGGCTTCTTACAAGTATAGCCAATGCTCTTTACTAACTTAAAAGTCAATGTTAGCTCAGCTTGATTCATTTTATTCCAATTTCTATAACATTAATGTTACACAATTTTGTGAGCTTAAATCCTAAACGTCAGTGTTCTAGTGTTTAATTACACTAAAACTTTTCATTTCTATAAGATTTAAGCTTTAATTTTCACAGCTTTTGTCAGCTATGTGGGCAACAATATAATCACATGGAAACAAAGCTACAAATGCACAAATGATGAAGCTTTGACTTTTCCTTCTCTTTGTATCTATCTTGCTTTGAAAATCTGCTCACTCCACACCACAGATTATATGCAAGAGTCATCTTTTGGTGAAGCATGTAATCTATCAACCAGCTTTCAAGTAGTCAAGTCACATGGCGAGACAAAGCTTAAAGCCATCACAGCCTATTGACTCTCACACACACTGCCCATTCACTGACTCACACACAGTATGCTAATGCATCACAGGCCCTCTACCTCAGCAAAGGGCCAGGGGTGGGAACATCCAAGGTGGATGCCTTATCAGCATGGGGATCAGCTCCTCTGCACAACCTCTTCTTAGGAACACTGTTTGCCCTCTGTATTACCACCATACATTTAAAATGACAAAAAATGGAATGCTGTGATGGCAGAGATTTGCCTCAAAATATCTGGGGGACGGGCATATAGATAAGAAAAGATGGACTGGCCGGGCGCGGTGGCTCATGCCTGTAACCCCAGCACTATGGGAGGCTGAGGAGGGTGGATCACGAGGTCAAGAGATCAAGACCATCCCAGCCAACACGGTGAAACCGCGTCTCTACTGAAAATACAAAAATTAGCTGAGTGTAGTGGCATGCGCCTGTAGTACCAGCTACTCAGGAGGCTGAGGCAGGAGAATCGATTGAACCCGGGAGGCACAGGTTGCAGTGAGCCAAGTTCGTGCCACTGCACTCCAGCCTGACAACAAAGCAAGACTCCATCTCAAAAAAAAAAAAAAAAGAAAGAAAAAAAAGGATCATGAGTTGATAATTTGTGGAGCTGAGTGATGAGTACACTGGCATGCATTACTCTCTTCTCTCTGCCCTCCTGTATATTTGAAATTTTCCATAGTTTTAGCCAAAGGTATAGCCAAAAGGTATCTTGAATGCACAGATCTGAACTGCACCCCCCTCCTATTTCCAGAAAACAGGAATGATTAGATCAGATGCAAATAGAAGAGCATCTTGATTTTATAAAACTGCTCAGAGAAGACTCTTCACACCTCAAGTCTCTCACTCTTCTCCCTCTCCCTTTGCTCCTGATGTTACTCCTCCTCTAAGACCTCTCCTTTCTCCCCTATGATCAATTCATTCAATGCTAAGACAAGGAAAGATTGCCAATTTCCCCATGTGAATCCAAACCTTTACCTCCCTTCAATCAAGTCAACTACACATGTGTGTAGCTGGTCCTGCTTCTTTCTCTGTACTGCCTCCTGGTTAGGAATACCCATAAGCATTTCATTCATTCAATAAATATCCATTACAGGCATGCTGAAGCCAGGCATGCGCTAGGTACCAGCAGAAGAGCAAAATCTAGATGAACAAGGCCCAGCTTGGAAAGTTCTCATCCTATGGAAGGCCTACAAATAAGCAAGTAAGAAATACAATGATTCCACATGGGGGGCGTGCCATGAGGAGCCATGAGGTGGCATGTAGGGGGCTTTTTAAGCAGGGCAATCACAGGCCTCTTGGAAGAAATACTCTGTGATGGTTAATTTTAAATGCCAAATGACTGCACCACGGATGCCCAGAGAGCTGGCTGAACATTATTTCTGAGTGTGTCTGTAAGGATGTTTCCAGCAGAGATTAGCATTGGGATTGGGGGACTGAGTCAAGCATGTCCATCCTGCAGAGTGTGGGTGGCCATCATCTAATCCTTGAGGGCCTGGATAGAACAGAAGGGCAGAGGAAGGCTGAATGCTCTGTGAGCAAATGGCCGCAGTGACGCAGGCCTGGTGTCCTCATTCAGGCCAGTCCCACATGGACTGGACCACACAGAGCTGTCTTGCTTTGACAAGCCCAAAGACGTGCCTCCTATGAAGCCCAACAAACTCAGGATGCACCTACGGTTTCCATGTTCTCCAAGAGAGAGAAATGGGGAAAACAAGGCCAGAAACAACCAAGGCACTGTAAGGCCTGGCCTACTGGGACCCAGACCTGGCAACGAAAGGCTTTTCTGCAGAGGAACAACACCAGTTTCAGAATTCACTGCCAGCCTCTTGCAAACAGATCTACTTGTCATTATATCAGGCGGAGATAAAAAGAAATGTTTTAGTGCAAAGCAACCAGTGGGTCTCTTTCAGTGAGTAAGGCAACACACAAGCTGAGAAGCAAAGACTTGGGAATCTCACTTCACCCAGGGAGCCCCCACGAAGGAGCCTGGAGGACACATACAGTGACACATTCTGAACACATCCTCCAGAGGATGTTTACTAAGGGCAAGTGCATTCAGTGGCACATGCAGCTAAATCCAGTTATACCAAGTTCTAGAAATCTGAACACAAAGAGAGTTCATTTGACTGATTCCACTGGGATCAGGAAACAGGACAAAAACAACCACATTTGTACAAATTAACAAGAAACAGGAAAAAAGCATGAAAATCAGATTCAACATGTCTCATCAGAAAACAGTTTGGCTTTAAATTGTTATACCAAAGGTGGCACAGAATATTTTGCAAAAGTAATGACATCTTTTGTAAGAATGGACCAACTGGAAGATTTCTGGTGATAAATCTCTCCTGACCAGGAGGTAAGATGTCTGTTGGCTGCTTTGAACAAGCAGAGAGCTTGCAGATGAGAAAAACAGGTTGTTTTAAGAAAAACGCTTAAAACTCAAAGACAGTAAATGGGACCATTTTCACGTTGGCCAAAGCATTCCGAAATGCTTCTAGGCAACCACTAAGCATTTAGAAGTACATTTGAGCTGCCAGTTACAGCTTAGACAACTTCTACTGATGGGGCAATTCTGGGGCTGCTTGTAAGACACGAAGCTTCGGGCTAATTTTGGTTCATTTAGCCCACAATAATTTGGGATTCATATATTTCATACAACCTCATTTACTACATTGGGTACAACTTGCTTATACTAAGATCAAAATCCTAATTCCGTACTTAAAAAGATGACAGCAGGTTAATTATTTCAAAATATTACATGACCTGGTAATTCCATATTAAACAAAGCTAAGCAGTTATTCACATCCTGCATACTTCCAAAACAGGACTTCAGGCTGTCTAAGATAAAAGGCTTAGAGAACAAGAATGAAACAGAAATGGGGCATAGGAAAGAGGGACAGAACACAATTACAAACACCTAAGCTAACAAAATCATCGAATATAAACAGTAAGTTTCCTTCAAGCTTTCTACGACCTAAAGAAATGAGCAAGTTTTAATAGAGGAAAAAATATCTGGGGTCAGGCTCGGTGGCTCACGCCTGTAATCCCAGCACTCTGGGAGGCCGAGGCGGGTGGATCATTTGAGGTCGGTAGTTTGAGACCAGCCTGACCAACATGGTGAAACCCCATCTCTACTAAAAATACAGAAATTAGCTAGGCATGGTGGTGGGTGCCTATAATCCCAGCTACTCAGGAGGCTGAGGCAGGAGAATCATTTGAACCCAGGAGGCGGAGGTTGCAGGGAGCTGAGATTGTGCCATTGCACTCCAGCCTCGGCAACAGCGCAGGACTATGTCTCGAAAAAAAAAAAAAAATCTAATTGAATCTTTCATGGCTTACATCCTTATTCAAAGAAACTAAATGACATACAGAACAAAGTTTTGCAACAGAAATTTAAAAATATATGTAAATATATCCTGAAGAAGATCTTCGTTAAATCAACACTTAAGAAAAATCAAGCACAATTCATCGACAATTTACAACAATTGTTATTCATGGACGGTTGACACTCATTGACAGCTGTTAATTTGATGAAGATACTGATGACGGTAGTGCTGGTGATGCAGTATGTCGCTGTGTGTGTCTTGGCATTGAATGGTTAGGAGCATCAGTAACCCACCTAATAAGACCCAGATATAAAATTTTCGGAGGATTTTACTTGCTGTGGTACAAAGCTTATTCACTGTAGGAGGAAACCCTGAAGCAGGGTGCCTGGCCATCACCTCTATCATCAGCCTTTCCTTAAGCCCCCTAGAGTACCCAAGTCTTGGAAAACACCTGGTGAGTGGGCAATTCAGTTTCCAGTGAGAAACTGAAATATGGACAGTCAGGAATAATAGCTCAATGGAGCGTCATGTGCTTTGAGTCCCAGACCATGGTGAGAACTGACTTTCTTTTATGAAAGTAAGAAGTGGTTTCTGACTAAAGAGAGAGGTCTACATGGAGGGGCTGCAGAAAGTCACCCACTTCTTGGTTTGATGTGTTTTTTTCTAGAGAAGAACACTCTCACCTAAATGAAGTCAACATTTTCTTTCAATATTAGCCTTAGCAACACGTGTACACTCTGGTGCATTTTATAAGGTTAAGCCAAGAAAGAAGATTAAAATTCGCATCCCAGAAGGCACAAAGGACCAAGCCAAGCACAGAGTGTGTTCCAAACCCAGCCCGTAACTTAACAGGGACATCCCAAGTCTGGGATCCGTGAAAGCACAGGGGAACTGAGAACAACACCAAGAATGAGGACAACAGAAAATGAATGGAGCAGCCAAATGTCCAGGCACAAATGGAATCGAATAAATCCATGCTTCTCAGTCAGAATGTCACTCAACAGACTTCACATTTGCCTCCAATAAATGAGGAAGTTTGTGGAATTATGCAGAGGTTTTAAGCTTTCAATAAAACTGCTTGACAAGGGTAAAATATTAATTTAATCTGTCCAAATAGAAAAAAAATGATTACTAAAAAGGGCAGGGAGATAACATAGGGAAATATAAAGTGTTCTGCAGGATAAATGAGTTGAAGAATCATTGAAATTCTTATTACTTTGAGTAGGATTTGAAGAAATGCTGTCAAAGAATGCAAAGTTCAGAATAAGATAAAACCATTACTTTCAGATTTAAAGAAAACTCGAATTCTTTTCCTTGCAATCATCACAATGGAGCGAAGTGATTGCCTCCCCAGGACAGACAACCACATATCTTAAAGGCTACAATGTATGCTGATTACCCTAGGACTTTGGTGTATACCTAAATTACAAACTACGAGCTTTTGCCTTCATTTCTCAATGATCTATTACCTGCATTACATGTCAATTACCCTTCTCTTGTAAGGGCTAAATCTTCCTGTCTTGTAATACAGCAGTTTTAATTGGTTGCAGCCTCTACTCCTTTTGTCAAGAAGAGGCAATTCAGAGGGTCAATGTCTTCAGAAAATAAATAACAGGACAAGTGAATAATTCTTGGGGTTCCACTCACCATGCTGTGTGAAGAGGTCACTGTGGACGATTTCGATCAAGCAGTAGAGTTTCTGGATGGTCAGCAAGCCCATGGGAACATTGAGGATGAATTCAGTAAACATTTTGCTGTGAGGAAAAACACAAGGGAAATAATTTTGAGACACATAGCAAAAGGATCCAATGTTGTTACAATACTGAGATATAGGTCATCACATGGTCATTAATGTCACCAGTATGTTCAACACAGCCTCTCATGCACTATGGGGTCAATAACTCATTCCAAGAAATGATGTTTTGAAAGTGTTCGTTTTCACTTCACAATCACTAACGTGCCTATAATCCAAAAGACAGACAATAACAAGTGTTGGTAAAGATATAATGAAATGAGAACAGTCACACCAAGCTGGTGGGAAGGTAACACAGCACAGCCACTTTGGAAAACAGTTAGGCATTTCCTCAAAATGTCAAACATAGTCACCATCCACTTCCAGGCATATACCACCTCCCCGAGAAAAAATGAAAACATATATCCACACAACAATTTGTCCATGAATCCAAGTGGCATTGTTCATTATACTGAAAAAGTAAAAAAAACACGAAGTCCATCAGTTAATGAATGGATGAACAAAATGCAGTATAGCCACACAATTCATTTCCAAAAACAAGGAGGCACTGATGCTAAAACATGGAGAAACCTTGAAAACTTTATGCTAAGTAGAAGAAGCCAGTACAGAGGCCACACGTTGTATGATTCCAGCTCTGTAAAATGCCCAGAAAACACAAATGTGTAGAGAGAGAAAAGAGATTCGGGGTTACCTGGGCTAGGAAGGAAAAATGACCAGAAATGGACACTGGGATCTTGCTGGGGTTATAAAAATGTTCTAAAATTGGACTCTGGTGATCACTGCACATCTTCGTAAATATACTAAAAACCACTGAATTGAACCGTCTACAATAGGTGACTTTATCGTTTGTAAATAATACCACAATAAAGCAATTTTTTAAAAATACACTTTTACAAAAGGCTAACAGACCTATGAAGAAATTTTAGAAGAGCTCTTGTTAGTAACTACATAAACACAAATTAAAATGGGCAGATACGGTTTCACCAGTCATACTGGCAAGGTTCTATAAAATGGTAATTCCCAGTACCAGCAATATTTTGGGAAAACAGACACCAACGTATACTGGTAGAATGTTGGTTTTACCTTCTGGAGGGGGACGAGTAGATAAAATCTACTGAAAATCCTTTAAGAAAATGCAAAACCAAGTAATGCCATTTCTCTTTTTATCCTAATGATATAAAATAGGAGCAGAAACTACAATTAAGCTACAGGAAATTTTATCCTAGCATTTTATAATATATTTTTTTTAAAAAAACTTGAATACAACTCAACAGCCATCAGGTAGCACAGTAGCTAGAGGCCTGTTCTTTGTATTCAAAAAGCCCGGGTTGGCCTTGAACCACTGCCATTTACCAGCTGAATTATCATGGACAAGTTATTGAGGATAAAATTCGGCTAACAATAGAACCTATGTCATACCATTGTTGTAAAGATTAATGGACTAATACAAGTGCTTTGTGCAAAACCTATTTTACATGGTGAAAGCACATAATAGATGCTGCGTCTATTGTTGCTGCTTAAAGATAGGCCAGCATGGGATGGATCGGCATGAAAGTTACTAACAATGATGATGCAGAAGATGCCCTCGTGGCATGGGAGAGGAAGATGTCTTAAGTGCAGGAGCTGATCACAAAGAATGGTGACTTTTCTTTTTTTTATTTTTGAGACAGAGTCTTGCCCTGTCACCCAGGCTGGAGTACAATGCCGCGATCCAGGCTCACTGCAATTTCTGCCTCTGGGTTCAAACAATTCTCCTGCCTCAGCCTCCTGAGTAGCTGGGATTACAGGCACCCGCCATCATGCCCAGCTAATTTTTTGTATCTTTAGTGGAGATGGAGTTTCACCATGCTGGCCAGGTTGGTCTCGAATTCCTGACCTCATGATCTGTCCCCCTCGGCCTCCCAAAGTGCTGGGATTACAGGCGTGAGTCACCATGCCTAACCAAAAAATGGTGACTTTTTTAAGTGTGTGTGTACGTATGTGTGTAAGGGATCCAGCACTTTCTGATTCTTTTGGGTAGTGGACTTAAGTTTGAGTTACCCTCTTCTGTCATCTCTTCTGTTTATTAAAACATGAACCAATTTTCTAAATAGAAACAAATATGTATGTGATTTTCAATGTCATTTTTAAAAATCAGTGTAACAGGCATTGAGGAGGAACACAGGGATGCACAAATCTGAGAGAGGCCAGCAGCAGCCTGCATCGGCCCTGGCCAAGCAGGTCTTCCTAGGACCTCCAAGCACACGGCTCAACCACAAACTGTGAGCGTCAATGATACCCTCCATCGGTGAGGGGCTAATTTGTGCGTACAGTGAGGACAGGCCCGGCTCAAGCGCAAACTGAGAGTATCGACGATACCCCTCCGCGGGTGCGGAGCTGATCTGTGTGCACCATGAGACAGGCCTAGAGTATGGCCACAGCCCACACCAGTTGCAGCTTTCTCTGCTTCCTCTCAGTTTTTCAAGACCTGAGCTACTAAAATATGAGAGAGCCCTGGAAGCACCTGCACGGGGAGGGAGGTTGTTAAAATCAAATGACCAGGCCCCACTGTGCAGTTTCTAATTCAGAAGGTCTGGGGAGGAAGCCAAAGTTTGGCTTTCTCTAACAAGTTCCCAAGGGCTACCGGAGCTGCCATTTTGGGGCCCGCTCTTGGAGAAGCATGTGCCAAGGAGAGGACTCTACAGCGCGCCAGGTGGGCAGACACCGCCCGTGAGCCTGTGTGTTTCTCCTTTTCTCATGTAGGACCTGCTAAGCTTATGACCAGCACTGTTGGTGCCCTGGGAGCAGAAAATAAATGTTTCCCTGCAGGACACTAAATCCTAGGGAACATCAGATTCACAATGATTCGTGGGGGACAGCGCCTCCCAGAGAGCCCCTCGCCCTTCAATTCCAGGGCACGAGTGACCTATGGTAGACATAAAGTACAGGAAGGATAATCATTTTTTATTCCGTTTCACCGCTCAGTGGACAGATGGCCCTTTACTAATATTTAGGAGGGCTTCATTGGCCGGTAAAAAATGGTGTCTTCACCCACAGGTAGTTTATTGTGTCAAATCAAAACCAAAACAAAAAGTAGTTGAGGACTGTGCTATTGAATGTCTGGGGTTTAAACGACTGTGCATCCCTGGGGTGGGAGCGGTGGCGCACGTCGGTAATTCCAGTGCTTTGAAGGCAGAGGCGGGAGGGGTGCTTGAGGCCAGGAGTTTGAAGCTGCAGTGAGCTATGATCGCGCCACTGCACTACAGCCTGGGCAACAGAGTGAGACCCCTATCTCTTAAAAAATAAATTAAAAAGGCTGTGTATCCCATTTGCTCACAATGGCACTTTCAGAATGCAGTGATACCAACAGATTAGGAAACAAACAGCACACCTGGCCACTGAGAGGCGGCAAGTTAGGGAGAGAAAAGGAAGGATTTGGTGTCCAATCTCACTCCTTGGTCTGAAAGCCCAGTGACCAGCTTTCTCAAAGTTTGTTTGTGGGGTTTTCTAAAAATTATTTTCTTAGTAACTTCTGAGTCTTCTGCTTGAGGCTCAGGGCCCCTCCCAAAGAGGAGTTGCCTCTATTACAGAAGCAGAAGCCGGCGCAGGAATATTAAAGCTCCTATGTCAGGATTTTTAGGTGCTGAAAACAAGAGCAAAACCAACAACCACATACTGAAATTCAAACCTCAAAGTATGCAAAATGCCAAATGGACATTATATACCAATTAGACTGTAAACAATCTTCTTAAAAAATGTTGTCATAGTTGACTGGTGATACCTTTTCCACATAATGTCATGATTATCAAAGAGTCACAGACACCACCAGCAACACATGTTCCAGAATGATCCAGGGCACTGACATATGGAGACATGAGGCAGAACCCTGAGCATCCCATAAACTAAGCACACTGAGAAGGAGGTCACACACGGCACGTGACAAGCATTCGCCTGGGCTGCATACTTACCTGAGCTCTTTGGGATCAAACACCAATTTCACATCGTTGACGATCGTTGGTAAGTATTTCAGTGCTGCCCCCTGCAAATCAAGAAACAAGAAGGCTGAGCAGCATGCAGGTTAGGGAGTGTTCATACCAATTTGTAATCCTTATGAGAAGAACCGCAGAAATACTGAGAAGAGAAAGATCACTTCCAGATGAGGGGCTGACGGCTAACACGATGAAAATAGAGCAAAGAACAAAAGTCATCAGGCGCAGTGGCTCACACCTGTAATCCCAGCACTTTGGGAGGCTGAGGCAGGCAGATCGCTTCAGCTCAGGAGTTCGAGACCAGCCTGGGTAACATGGCGAAATTCCACCTTTACAAAAATATACAAAAAAAATTAGCCAGGCATTGGTGGCTTGCACCTGTAGTCCCAGCTATTCAGGAGGCTGAGGCAGGAGAATCACCTGAGCCCAGGAAGTAGAGGTTGCAGTGAGCCGTGTTCACAGCATGGCAATCCAGCCCCGGCAACAAAGCAAGATCCTGTCTCAAAAAAGAAAATGAATCTCTAACCTACAAAGAATGCTCAAACAATGCTAACTTCTCACAGGTTGTCCTGACACATAATAAAATTATTATTAACAGAAGCCAACACTTATCACCTGTGGCCTAAGTGCCTATACTGTGTGCTAAGCATGCATGTGATTTTCTCCTTTTACCCCTGCAGAGCTCTGTGAGGATAAAGCAAAATGAAGACCTGTCCCCCTCAGAATAATCCTCTTCCATTAAATTCACTTCAACTCTTCTACATTCAATGATTAAAGTCAACTGTCTTTGTTCCATTCCAAAAATGTTTTCCTGTATATCTGCATATATTTTAATTATGAATCATTTTGTTCTTTAGTAATGTATCTTCTAGAAAACAAACACCCTCAAAAAACAGAGTAATGATATTAATGATAGATCCTGTCATGCTGCACACTGTGCTAGGACCCTTGTATATTTGATCTTTAATTCTTACAGACCTCCTGTATTAGTCCATTTTCATCCTACTATGAAGAAATACCTGAGACTGGGTAATTTATAAAGGAAAGAGGTTTAATGGGCTCACAGTTCCACATGGCTGGGAAGGCCTCATAATCATGGTGGAAGGTGAAGGAGGAGCAAAAGCACATCTTACATGGCAGCAGGCAACAAAGTTTGTGCAAGGGAATTGCGCCTTATAAAACCATCAGATCTCAGGAGGCTTATTCACCATCATGAGAACGGCACAGGAAAAACCTGCTGCTCATGATTCAATTACCTCCCACAGGTCCCCTCCCACAGCACATGGGGATTATCAGAGCTACAATTCAAGATGAGATTTGGGTGGGGACACAGCCAAACCATATCACCTCCTATTAGAAGGTAGCTGAGTAGGAAGGAGGAAAAAACCAACAATGGAGACATTAATTACTTTGTCCCTGTTCACAAAGCTAGTACTGAACTAAGCTAGAATTAAATTCAGTCGGGGGAAAGTCAGACCCTGAGTCCCTTTGCTCTCTTCTGTTGGGAAAAGTTGCCAGATTTTAAGTGATCTGACTCTGGCTCTGCCACCTTCTACCTGTGTCTTTAAGTAAGAGGGAAAATAACATTCACGCCAGATACTTCAAGGAATTGCAATAAAGCTCAAAATCAAATTGGAAAATGAATAGGGTAACACTTTGAACACTGGAAAATACTACGCAATTACAGAAACAATTTTTACAATTGTTCTCCAAAAGCAAGTAGGCAGAAACTCACTTCAAAAGTATTCCCCTGAACATATACAGACGGTTGATGGATTTGTAACAAAGGTACACAGTACCATGAGCAAATAAATAAACTTCATGCCCTCCTCTCTCACACTGTACAAAACTCAACTTTAAATAGATCACCGATCTTAAATGTAGAACTTCAAAAACTGTAAAACTTTTGGAAGAAAATACGTGTGAGTTTGGGCTAAGCAAAGATTTCTTAGATATGATACAAATAGCACAATGTGTAAAAGAAAAAATTGATAAATTGGACTTCATCAAAATAAAGAATTTCTGCTCTTTGAAAGGTACTACTGAGATAACAGAAGATGAACTACACAGGGAGAAAATGACTGGAGATCATATATCTGCTAAAGATTAGTACACAGAATACACAAAGAACCCTTAAAACTCAATAATGAGAAAACAATCTTCCCCTCCCTGCAAAATGGGCAAAAGAGATGAAGAGGCAATTCTCCATAGAAGATAGATGGATGGCAAATAAGTACTTGAAAAGACACTCAGCACCATTACTCATCAGGGAAATGCAAATTAAAATGACAATAAGATACAAGCAACATCTATAAGAATCATGAAAACAAAACAGAATTCCTACAACATGCTCTTTGTATAACACTGCTAGTCTGAATGCAAAAATAGTTCAGCAACTTTAGAAGAGAGTTCAGCAGTTTCTCATAGGTAAACATTCATAATCCGTAGCACCCAGCCATTGTACTCCTGGCCACCTCCTCAAATGAAGTGAAAACCTACATTCACAAAAACTGAAGGCATCCTCATAAGGTTAACAAGAACTCTGGACAGCAATACAGTGATAATTAAGCACGGAACAGGCTGCACTTCAGCCCACTTACTCGTAATCCAAAGTCACGCAGCACTAGATACTGGTCATCTGCATCCCCAACGTTCCTGCAGATAGGATTTCTGACATTAGAATCATAAGTCTTTTGTTTAAGAATTGCTTAAGGTGTTTCTCAGATCCTGAATTCCAGGGAAACTGCTGCTGCCAACTGGTTTGAAAACCCCCGACAGAGGAAAGGAATCAGCAATGCAATGCAGTTTCTTCATCTCCCTGTCCCTTCACCCCACGCTCTTCAACCCACTTAGGCCTGCTCCGAAAACCTTAACAATACCTAGCCCCAAACTCCTGCAGCAGACAATATGAGGTTTCCTCCTTCTCCTGTTTTGGCGGTCCTACGATTAAAACTCTTTCTCTGCTGCAACCCAGAGTCGCAGCACATTGACTTGGCACGTACATGGGACAGGAAACCTATGACGGTTACAAAACCCTTATGTGGACGTCTCTAGCAGCTTTATTTGTAATCTCCAAACACTAGAAACAACCCAAATGTCCCTTCAAGAGGGGAATTCATACAATGGAACTCGACGCAGTAACAAGAAGCACCAACCACTGTTACCTAGAACACAGATGCACGTGAACGACACAGTGATAAATAAAACAAGACATATGCAAGAGGCTGCATCCCATGTGACTCAATTTTCATAACATTCTGGAAAAGGCAAAACTACAGAAATGGAGAGCATGTCAGTGGCTGGTGGGGAAGCGGGCAGGGGAATACAGGGGGCTCAGGGGCCCTCCCGTGGGATGAATGCATTATGCCTTTGTCAAAACTGGCAGAGCTGTACATTAAAAAAGAATAAATTTTACTGTATGTAAATTGTACCTTTTTTTTTGAGACTGAGTTTCACTCTTCCGCCTGGGCTGGAGTGCAGTGGCACAATCTTGGCTCACTACAACTTCCACCCCCCGGGTTCACGTGATTCTTCTGCCTCAGTCTCCTGAATAGCTGGGAGTACAGGTGCCCGCCACCACACCCGGCTAATTTTTGTATTTTTAGTAGAGACGAGGTTTCGCCATGTTGGCCAGGCTGGTCAACACCCAAACCAAACTCCTGACCTCAAGTGATCCACCCACCTCGGCCTCCCAAAGTGCTGGGATTACAGGTGTGAGCCACTGTGTCCAGCCTATACCTTAATTTTTTAAGTGACTAAGAATATATTACCTGGGAATATTTCCATAGCTATCTGGGATGGGAAATGACTGAAAGAATGGCAGGCTGGTGTCTCAACTCTGGTGCACAGGTCAAGTCATTTCAAGTGAGTTCATGTTGCCTCATCTATGACGTAAGTATTCTGCACCTGTCAGACAAGTTTCTAGGTGCTGGGCTCTATGGACACATTACATCCCCATGGCAACCTGATGAAGGAGGCCTATTACTATCCCCTTTCACGGAGGAGACAGTGGAGACATGTGAAAGTGAAGTCTTTGGCCCAGGTCAGCACTGCTGGGATTTGGGGTTGGTCTGTGCAGCCCCAAAGCTAATTTTGCAAAACCGCCACACTTCAACTTCACCAAAAATAGAGTAGAGGATAAAGCAACTTTAGCCCCATAAATCTCCACTCCAGAACGATCCATGCTGTTGTTCACCTCAGTGTTTGCCCTGTCCTTCAAGGCCCACCAGATCCCAACCGTCTGCTTTGGGATGCAACTTTTCAAAAGAGCACTAAATCGTAATAATTTCATTCTGATTTCAAATGTTCTGCTTCCACAACCTCAGTGTTGCTTTGAAAAAAAACAGAAAACATTTATTGTGACATTTAATAGCCAGCGTTCACACAGGCTGATTGCTCAGTCTCCCGGTCTCTCGTTTCGCTTGCGAACGCCCAGAGGGTGAGGCACGAACTGGCTTCATGCATTTTATACTGTGCCCAGCAAAGCATCAACCGCCTGTAGCAAGTTCATAAATACCATTTCACCAGGGTGAATCGGCCACAAACAAGACAGGCCTTTATGGCCCACCTGCTGCTGGCTCCCCTTGGGCTGCCGGACACTGTGTGAATCGGGACCGACAGACCGCCAAGCGGGGCGAGGGCTCCCAAAGTCTTCCCTGCCGTGGTCTTCCCGAGCTCCTAGCATCAAAAATGTCATGATGACACCCTCAGAGAAGGGGTTGTGCCCCCTGAGGCGGGGACATGGAATGCCAGTGATCCCAAAATGCTGATTAAACCAGAATTCTGCTTAACCGACCAAGATGATTTTGTGTCTTTCGGTAAATGAGGTTTAGCAAGAACTGGGAGGAACCCGCATCTGCTATCAGTCCTGGGTGACAGAACAAAGACAGGACAGAGAGAACGGAATTCAGAAGAAACATGAGGAGAGGCACGTCTTACACTGTGGGTCCACCTGTTCTCCTGAAGGGCCGGGTTTCCTCTCCTTCTCCACTCTCCCCTGTGGCTGACTCAGTCTTTCTTTGCTCTTCTCAAGCCTGACCCCCACCCCTCCCATCTCATGTCACCACCTCCTTCAGAGAAAAACAAAAGCCACCACAAGAAAGGAACTCGCTAAGCTTCCAACCACCCAAACCAAACACAAGACTCCAGCTCCCAACCTCTGCCCCTGCCTTGGGTTTTCGGGGCACCTGCCTGCCCTGTGGGGCTCCAACCTCTTCCCCTGCTGTCTGCTCAAGGCCCTCCTGCCCTTTGTCCTCTCTCTCTCCTCAGAGCCTTCAGTTCTCACCCCTCTGCCTCCTGCTTTCTATCATGAAGCCCACACCAGCCTCTCACCCGGAAAAGCAGCCCCAGGCCCTGCGAGCCTCTGCTCCATCGGACAATACCCCACAGTGTGGGCAAGGCCTGCGTCCACTTCCCACACGACCCCTCCTCACTCCCACTGCAGCCTGACTCCGGCCCGCACCACAGCTCTGTTCCTGCCAAGGCCACGATGACTTCAGGCTGTTCTCAAGTGGCCTTTCTGATGACACTTTGGCCACCTCACCTCTGGGGCACGCGTGGCCCTCACTCCCAGGGTGGCCACCTGCCTCTCCACCCTCCTTCCAGCTCCCTGCGCAGGGCCCTGCTCCCCCAGCCCCTTGCCTGTGGGTTCCTCGGGGTCCCTCCACATATCCCACAAGGGACCTCACCTCCTGCCATGCCAATGACTCCCAATTCTGATCCATCTCCAGGGCTCCCCTTCCTCCTGAGCCCAACACCCACACCCCACACCCACCGGGGTCCACCCTGGCTGACCCTAGACATTGCAAACTCCCCCTGCCTTGGTGGAAGCCACCGCTGCCTCGCCTTCCCTAGGGATTCCAGTGCCAGGCGCTGCACCGCCAAGCCCCAGCTGCATGCCACAGGCCTGGGCATCACACCGGGTGTTCTCTCTTCCTCACAGCCCCCTTCTAGGCAGCGACAGAGCCCTCGGTTCAGGCTGTTAACTCCCCCCGGAACAAACAGCACCTGGGCCGCACGGCTACTGCCTCCCATTGGCTTTGCTGCCACAGCCTCCTACCCGCCCTCCCTGCCTCCACGCTGACCCCTCAAGGACACTCCTCACTGGGCAGCCAGAGCAGCCTTCTGAAAATGCAAATGGAATTTAGATACTGTGGCAACGTCCCCTGCTCATGGGACACAGGGAACCTATCCCACACCCATGGAGGGCCATGGGCTCTGGCCCCACCACCCCAGACTCACCCTTGGTACCTGCAGGACTCTCTCCCACCAAGCCGAGCCTCTTCCAGTTTCCCAGGTGGGCCAGGCCCCTCTGCCAGCTCAGAGGCTTGAGCACATGCTATTCCCTCTTCTGGAGTCACTGCTCTGCCGCCCCACCCAAGTCCACCCCAAACACACAGTTAGACTCTGGTACCCCTCAGTCCTTAGCTTAGACATCATTTCGTCCAGGACACACAGGTGCCAGGTTAGGAATCAGATATGGTTTGGATGTGTGTCCTCTCCATCTCTCATGCTGAAACGTGATCCCCAGTGTTGGAGGTGGGGACAGTGGGAGGTGTCTGGGTCATAGGGGAGGGTTTCAGATGAATGGCTTGATACCTTCCTCGCAGTAACCAGTGAGTTCCCGCTCTATTAGTTCACGTGAGAGCTGGCGGTTTAAGACAATGGCACCTCCCTGCGCTCTCTCTTGTTCCCTCTCTTGCCATGTGACACGCCTGCTCCCCCTTCACCTTCTGTCATGAGCAGAAGCTTCTGGAAGCCCTCACCAGAAGCAGATGACTGCACTATGCTTCCTGTGCACCCTGCAGAACCGGGGCCAAAATAAACCTCTTTTCTCTATAAGTTACCCAGGCTTGGGTATCCTTTATAGCAACGCAAAAGAGATGAATACAGCATCTAGAGACATTCCTATTTGGACTGCAATGGAAGGTCAATTTGTCCGTATTCCCCATAGACAATAAGCTCCTCACAGGTAAGGACAGAGACTATTTCAGTCTGCTTTGTCTCCTTCTGTCCTCACAGAGGACATTGGGAAGTCGACCCTCCATGACTCCCAAACTGACTGCAAACTTCATATATAGTCGTGACCTCTTTATTTTCAAGAAGCATTCCTCTCTCTGCATTCAGCCACAGAAATCACCTCCTTAACTAAGGGAAAAAGTTGTCTTCCCCATCCAGTTTGATTAGCCAGACAAGGACAAGATGCAAAGGGAACTCAGATTCCTTCCTACCACAGGCTCTGGCTTTCCTTGGCAGGAGGGTTCCATTACCCACTATTGTAAGAGCCACACCTAGCTTGATTCATTTCTAATATTGGTTATTTGTCAGAGTTTCAAGTGTTTTGGATTCTGCTTGTGCTTGCAGGAAAAACCTTCAGTTTCCTCTGTGGAGTCTGGCTGCTTCACTAAATTCAGGTCTCTTTCGAGTGGAAACAGCTCCTGCCTCAATAGCTTGTCAAGACACAGAGCACCCAACAGACGAAGCAGGGGACATCTGCCCTGTGGATAGATGGTGCTGCGTGGAATCTTATCTGCCGAAAGACACCTCCAAAAATAAAAATCTATGAATGCATGTGGGGGACCCTAACCAGCACCATCAAAGGAAGGCAGCACCATGGTAGACAAGGTCAGGGCTCTGGGGTGCTGTCCGGGCTCCTCCATCACTCGCTATGTGAATTTGGGAAGGTAGCATTTCCTATCGGGCTTCTCATGGGCAAAACAGTGGTGATCAACAGGGCCTGCCTCAAGGGGCTGTGGGAGAATGGAATGACGTGTTGTGCATGTGATAAGCTCGACTCATTGCTCCTGCTCAACAGACGTTGGCCACAGCTACCAGCAGCAGTGGCGGCAGGACAGCGTGTGGACCCATGCACGTGTTGACATGGAAAACCTCCTCAGCGTGCACATCTCTCAAACCTGAATCTTCATTCGGTGCAAACTTCCATTTGTAAAGTGCCATCTTCATTGTGGCAAATACTGAGTAGAATCAGTTCCCAAATCACAAAAAAGATCAGGGTGATAGAAATTGAGGACATTGAAGATTTTTCCTGTTTTTGTTTGCCTTTTGTTATTTTTGTAAATCAGTGAAGATCTTTATTTAAATAAAACTGTGCTCAGAATGTGCAAAGCTGTTTTGAATTGTGGGTGAGAGGCCAGGATGCCAGTCCCTCAGCAGGTATCTGCTCCACGGTGCCTCCCAGGCACTGGCAAGGTTCCCTGCAGCAGAGCGGGATAATCACTAATCAGTTCACTGGGGGTGAGGGACGAAAGTGGGAAGGAGGACAAAGTCCGTGGGATGTCCCCAAAAGACAGAGCTGAGTTTGGAGTGAGGCCCACTTATGCTCCCCAACCCCAGAGGTATGAACCATGGACCATGAAACTGTACGAATACACCATTATGGCCTGGCCCAGCCAAGAACAGAGAAGAGTACTCTATACACAATTTAGAGGAAGTCACTGATTTTAGCTTTCTTTACTCTTCGCCTGTTCATTAAGTTATAAGTGAACTTACCAAATAAATGTTTGCTATTTAAGCAAGTAATTTCTTCAGATTTTATTTTAAACTTAGGTAAAATAACTTAATGGCAGTTTAAGTCCTGGCTTATGTTATTCTATCAACTTGGTAAAGCTTTCGTCTGTCCACCAGTGGGGGGACGGTCTGATTCTACCTGCATTTAGTCCTCGGACCAATCAACACGTGTGCAGGACCCACTGACACACCAAGAACACATACCTGGGTCCCATGCACACTCAGGCATGAGAGAGGCCTAAGGAGAAACTGAAATTACCACCAAATGCATAAGGGCTCCCAACCATTCATTGAGCACTGATGGAAAGCCAGCAAGCCACAGAAAGATAACACAAACAAAATCAGAGAGAATCACAGCCAGTGGTAAAACTATTTCTATTTATATTAAGACAGGCAGGCTGCTGAGTGTCCCTCTTAAGATTTGGTTCACCTCTTAATATCCAGGCAATCAGGAACTCATCGTATTCAGCAATCACAACTCTTGGGAGGGAAACTGAGGTCAAAACTGAACCAAAAGGACAAGAACACACTGAAACCAAAGCTTTAGAGGGAAAAGAAGAAACAGGAAAGGGCAGAAGAGGCTAAAAGTTTTCTAATTGCTGAAATACTTCAGGTTAAAGAAATAAAATAATTTTTTTTTTCTCCTTTCTGAGATAGAGTCTCACTCTGTTGCCCAGGCTGGAGTGTAATGGTGTAATCTTGGCTCACTGCAACCTCCACCTCCCAGGTTCAAGCAATTCTCCTGTCTCAGCCTCCTGAGTAGCTAGAATTACAGGTGTGTGCCACCATGCCCAGCTAATTTTTGTATTTTTAGTAGAGACGGGGTTTCACCATGTTGGCCAGGCTGGTGTTGAACTCCTGACCTCGTGATCCACCTGTCTTGGCCTCCCAAAGTGCTGAGATTACAGGGGTGAGCCACCATGCCCGGCCCAGAAATAAATTTTATACTCGTCTCTAAGCAAATGTAATTGTCCCAGATCTCATGAGAATGCCAACTTAATCCAAACTGAAAAATAAAACAATAAATGCACTTTCCATCTAGTATCAGCTTAAGGTTGTAAGTGTCTCTCTGGCTAAAAATATTACTGATGATGATGATTAATAGATGCTATTTTAGAATAAAGTTCAGGCTACATTATTCAGTATAATTATTTTAATTAAATCCATTAGCATATCTTTATATAAGATTAGAAGAGTTATGGGTGATACAAAATAAGTTTTTCTTGAATAATGTATGAAGCAATTATTAATTTACATATTTCTCAAGAAAACGCACATTAAAATGATTCCACTTGGAGGTTTTGAGCTAAAATATATATGGTCCACAAATCCTCCTTTTAGACTTAAGTGTTCTGTCTTTGGAAGATTTGGGGAAGAGCCAAACAGCCTCCGGAAAAACAGATAAACTTGATAGGGGAAAATGCACCAAGACCAGTTCTGCCAATTGGTGCCCCTCGACCCACTCTGCGGACTTGATCAAACAGGACAGATGGCTGGACGTGATGGTCGGAGGCGGCTGAAGAAAGGAAATCCACAGCACTTTGAAGACACTCAAGGAGGCATCTCTATGGTGTGTGTGACAGCAGTCCAGAACAAAAAGAAAGACGATGGCAACAATTGCTTCAATCCCTTATATCTTATTAAATTAGGACTGCCTACATCTTATGTATTTTAAATCCAAAAATACTTTTTGTAATCAATTCTCTTTGTAATCAGCTTCCTTAAAGCTGATTCTGGTTTTTCAGATAGCATTCCCCATCTCTACCACCAATGCTTCGGTTCACTCAATCCCAAATGTCAATTTAACGCCTGAGGGACGTTGTTCCCACAAGTATCTGCGTGTTTCTGTATCACAAAGCCCAAACTGAAAAAAGTACAAACTTCCTGAGATTCTTCAGTGAATCCAGTTCAAGTTCCTACACAAATCAATTTGTTATGCCTTCCTTGAAGCATATCGATGATGAGGAACGGGTCTCCTGGGTTTCTCAGGGAGAGGGATATTGATACTGTCTTCACTGTGCAGGACTGCTCTCAGCATCTCTGGATCCTGTCCATTAATTGCTCACACACACACACACACACACACACACACAGCTTCCTGGCCCACGTGGTTGTGTCACAGATGGGTGCCTGGCACACAAAATTCCTCGGCCTTTGGGTCAGCCCAGCAAGAGCTGGGCCATGGCTCCTCTCTGGCCACAGGTAGCTGTGCCATGCAGCAATGACCGTTTTCTCTGCCTTCAGCCTTGGCTAAGTAAATCCCCTGCACTTCTCTCCCATATCCCTTCTCTAACAGTAGTCAGAATCACTGTTCAAATGAGCAACCGAAGCCTGCACCTGACTCATCCTTATTTCCCCAAAGCTAGGCACACAGGAGAACAGAAGAAAATGTGGTCAAGGATGGAATAATCTATAAAAGAACAGGAAGGGTCAGAGTAGAAGCCACCAGGACTCAGGGCATCAGGATAGGGCTACAGTGATGCCTTGCAGATGACTAGCTAGGCAGCAGAAACCACGTAGCAAAAAGCACGAGGCGTGAAAAAGAGAAAGACTTAGCCAACCTCAGCACAGACAGCAAGAACACCCTCTTCTGCTCTCTGCTCTGGAGCCAGGGTGCTCTCCTTAACCTCCCACAATCCACTTGCCAGGAATTAAGTCATTCTAAATAGGAGCATTACCGTAATCTAGGCAAGAACAAATTTGAATTAAATTACTGAAGTATTCTTTTTGTTTTTTCACTTGATACCAGCACAGTCATCTAGCTAAAGTGGCTCATGGAGAGGGCAGAGAGCCTTGGAAGAGGCCTCCATAGCCCCCAAATTGGTGAAAACTGGTCACCTGTCTAGACAGCTTCCAGGAGGCAAAGCGTGACTTCCAAATGATGGAGACTTTCTGAAAAACACTTAAAATTCAGAAGTCGACAGACAGGAAAACGGTCCAGTTCCACAGTATCTTAAGGGTCTGAACTGCAGGAAAATAGTTTTGCAAACAGTGAGTGGGGAATGAAGCACATCACACTTGTGTTTTATTCATGGTCTGAATAATCTGACAAAATGGAGCCCTTCGGGAACAGAAGTGGGTAGAAGATAAGTGTGTGCAGGACAGCAGAGGAAGAAAGATGCAGGAACGAGGCAAAATGGCGCAGAATATTCTGCCTGTCCAGCGTGCACCCGTCCACCCTCAACCACCCTCCAGCTGCCTCGCTGTCCCAGGCTCTAGCCCACCCTACCAATACTCAGACTCACTGCCATCGAGGATGGCCAGGGTACACAGACACTCACAGGTAGAGGGAGCAGGACAGGGGAAGGGAAGGCTTTGGGGTAGAGCAAAAAGTGAATGCAGAGTGGAGCTCAAGCCCCTGGCTCCCCACCCGCAGGCATACCCCTTCCACTCCCATATGCAGTGCATGGAATTGTGACCCTGCCAAAAAAATTTCAAGACCTAACCTGTGTAATATCATTTAAATATCTGTCCCCTCCAAAATTCAAGTTGAAATTTAATCGACATTGACATTGTAACAGTTATTAAGATGTGGGATTTTTTGTTTGTTTTTCTGTTTTTGAGACAGGTTCTCACTCCGTCGCCCAGGCTGGAGTGCTGCGGAATGATCACAACTCACTGCAGCCTCTACCTCCTGGGGACAAGTGATACTCCCACCTCAGCCTCCCATGTAGCTGGGACTACAGGCAGGCAAAGAGGTAGGAACTTTAGGAATAATGTGATTAGGCCATGAGGACTCAGCCACATAGGGAGGACTGGGTCATTGTAAAAGGGAGAGTTTGGCACCCTCTCATCCTCTCTCACACTCTCACCTTCTGCCATGGGATGACCAGGCAAGAAGGCCCTTAATGCTAGCACCTTGACCTTGGACTTGCCAGCCTCCAGAACTGCAAGCCAGTAAACTGCTGTTCATTATAAATTACTCAGGTATTTTACCGAGTCTCAGGTATTTTGTTATAGCAGCACAAAATGGACTAGGACATTCTGGTGCCTGTGAATACAAATGAACTTAGAAACAGAATCTTTGCAGATAAACTCCAATTAGAATTACAGTGGGCCCTAAATCCAATGATGACTATCTTTATAAGAAAAAAAAAAAGGCCATGGGTGCGATGGCTCACACCTGTAATCCCAGCACTTTGGAAGGCTGAGGCAGGAGGATCGCTTGAGCTCAGGAGTTCAAGACCAGCCAAGGCAACATAGCGAAACCCAGTCTCTACCAAAAATACAAAATATTAGGTGGGCGCAATGGCACGCGTCTGTGATCCCAGCTACTTGGGAGGCTGAGGTAGGACGATTACTTGACCCTGGAAGGTGGAGGTTTGCAGTAAGCTGAGATCATGCCACTGCACTCCAGCCTGGATGCCTGTGGTCCCAGCTACTCGGGAGGCTGAGGTAGGAGGATTACTTGAGCCTGGAAGGTGGAAGTTGCAGTGAGCCGAGATCACGCCACTGCACTTTAGCCGGGATGACAGAGCGAGACCCTGTCTCCAAAAAAAAAAAAAAAAAAAAGAAGAAAGAAAGAAAGAAAGAAAAGAAAGAAAGAAAGAAAGAAAAAGGAGAGGGAGATTCAGATGCAAAGCTGCACACACCACAGGAAGGCAGAGGCAGACACGAGCATGATGTAGCCACAAACCACAGCACATCGAGGACTGCCAGCAGCCCTGGACGCTGGAAGAGACCAGGAAGGATTCTGCCCTACAGCCTTCTAGAGCCTTCAGAGAGGGCACGGCCCTGGTGATGCCTTGCTCTTGGACTTCTGGCCTCCAGAACAATGAGAGAACACACTGATGTTGTTTGAAGCCCCTCGTTTGTATTGTGACAGCAGCCCTGAGGGACGAATACATCACCCCACCCCATGAGACACTTAAAGCAAGGATTCTCCCATGACCTGGGGAAAGACTAGGATTTCCTTCCATTTTCATTCTGTTTCTGACCAATACCTTTGTAAATTGTAATAAAAATGAATGTCTGCCGGGCGCGGTGGCTCACGCCTGTAATCCCAGCACCTTGGGAGACTGAGGCAGGCGGATCACTTGAAGTCAGGAGTTCAAGACTAGCCTGGCAACATGGTGAAACCCTGTCTCTATTAAAAATACAAAAAAATTATCCAGGCGTGGTGGTGGGTACCAAGTCCCAGCTACTTGGGAGGCTGAGGTAGGAGAACTGCTCGATCCTCAGTCTCAAAAAAAAAAGAATGCCTAGAAAACCAAAAAGCCACTTGGATGACAGAGCAGCATGGGATGTCAAGGTTCCTCAACTTTTCCTCCCAGTGTCTGTCCTCTTCTCGCCATGGAGAAGCAATCGGACCCATGTGTGGCACAACCCTCACTCTCCTGCCCTGAGTGGCACAGAGGGCGGCCAGTGCCAGGCCCGTGGTGGGCACACAGGGAGGCTGGGGCCCTGTGGCGGGAGCGATGCCTTGCTGAGCGATGACAGAGCCAGGACTACAATGACACCTTTCCAGGATCAAATCCTGACCTCTCCTCCCCGATCCAGCTCATCCTCCTCTGTGCACTGGGCACCTTCTCAGCTCCCAGCACTACTGCTATGGCCACTCCTGTGTCTACGGTCCAGCCAGACCTGACCAGCAGAACTTTCCGCAGTGATGGGACTATTCTACAGCAGCTCTGGCCAGTACAGTCACCACTGGGCACAGGTGTCCATCAGGCACTTGAAATACAGGTAGGGTGACTGAGAAATGGAACATTTAGCTGTATTTTATTTGAATTTCAATAGGGCAGTACAAATCTAGACGATATACTATGGCAGCATCCCTAAGTCTGCTCTTTTTATCCTGAAATTCATCCCGGCCCTCAGGTTCCCCGGTACCAACTTGTCATGCTTTCTCCCAGAGGATGTACCCTGTAAGCATGAATGGGCCCCCACAGGGCAGGGGTCTATAGAGCATGCAGTCGGTGCACAGGAGCTTCCCTGAGAACAGGGTCTGTGTGTTTTTGGTCACTCTGAGACTCTTCACCATCCTAGGTCTTACGACTTAGTCAGCTGATTTTGCTTTCTTCAATTACGAATGCTGCATTTTGACACGCTCTTCTCTGGGAAGGGACACAGATTTATGGTGATTTCTGAAATCTCAAGACGGATTTGCTGTCCTGTGATTCTGACCTCAAGCATTCCCCTTCTCCCTCCCTCTAAACAACGCTCTCTCCTGCTCAGGAGCAAACACAGCATGAGCTTTGATTCCTTGGACCTTGATCCCCAGTGAAGATCTCAGAGATCTGAAAACGTGAAAGATAGCACCTGTGTTCAACCTACAGCTAAAGGCACAATTCAAAAAGGAAAGAGGGAAAGCGATCCAGACCAACCTTCACAACTCACTGAAGTAATGCAGGAGAGGTCCATGTAGATAGAGCAATAAAACGAATATCCTTTCTTCAGTCAACTCAACAGAAACAGACCCAGCAGTTTCACTCCTCGATGTATACCCAAAAGAATTAAAAATAGACGTTCAGGCTGGGCGCAGTGGCTCACGCCTGTAATCCCAGCACTTTGGGAGGCCAAGTCGGGCGGATCGCGAGGTCAGGAGATCGAGACCATCCTGGCTAACATGGTGAAACCCCGTCTCTACTAAAAATGCAAAAAAAATTAGCCAGGTGCGGTGGCGGGCACCTGTAGTCCCAGCTACTCGGGAGGCTGAGGCAGGAGAATGGTGTGAACCCAGGAGGCAGAGCTTGCAGTGAGCCGAGATCACACTACTGCACTCCAGCCTGGGCAACAGAATGAGACTCCGTCTCAAAAAAAAAAAAAAAACCAAATAGACGTTCAAACAGAAGCCTGTACAGGAATGCTCATAGCAGCTCTATACGCTACAGCCAAAAGGTGAAGTAAGCCAGGTGTGCATCCAGAGATAAATGGATAAACACCTGTGGTCTGTCCATACAATGGAATACTACCGAGCCATGAACAGTAATGGGGTGCCAACACATGGATGAACCCTGAGAATATACTAAGTAAAAGAAGCCATATACCAAAAAAAGCCACATATTCTATAGTGCCATTTATATGAAATACGCAGAAGAAGCTAATCGTAGAGACAGAAAACAAATTCGTGGTTGCCAGGCAGTGTGAAGGGGGAAACAGAGTGACTGTAACGGCTGTGGGGTTTCCTTCTGGGGTGACGGAAATGATCTAGAACTACCTAGTGGTGATGTACTGTAAATGTACCCCATGCCACTGAATTGTTCGTGTTAAGATGGTTAAAAGGATTAACTTTATGTTATATGTATTTTACCGCAATTAAGAAATAAATTATTAACAGGAAAAAAAAAAAGTCCCATTCTCCACTGGAAAATGACACTTCTTGGAATAGTCACCGGGTGACCTTTGCATACTGATAGCAAGTCACCGTCTGTCACTCACACTGCAGCAGACCATGTGACTGATCCACACAATGGTCTCCAGCGGCGACCGACAAACACCTGGGAACCATGATGGAGCCTCAGTCTATGTTAACACGGCCCTGAAATTAGTCACCTTCTTAATGAGTTCCGGTGCCACTGCCTGGTACCCAGGAACAGCCATGTCTTGCCAAATGCAAGCCACTATCAGTGCCAGTGCCTTCATTAAGCAAGGTTTAATAGAACCTGCCCAGGAAAAAAAATCCCAGGAAGCCAGAAAGGAGAAGCATCCCAGTGTCCCGAACAGCAATCACTGTCCAGAACTGCCGCCCACACCTCCCACCCCTTAAACAAGCTCCTGCTGCTTCTCTACAGTTGCTTTTCAACAATCCTTCAGCTGTGTCTCAACAAACATTTTACATCATGTGATTTAAACATGAACATCCAAACTAATAAATGTTTTAAAAATGTGGTCAGATATGTAGGACAGGGAATTTTTATAAATGCCACCAAAAAAGAGAAAGAAAAGTTTACAGTTATGGAACTAAAAGTATTGCCACAAGTCAGACAATCTTTTCTCCTCCAAAGGAAAAGCTAGTTGGGGAAGACTAAATGGCACGGTGTCCACACGCCAGCACTGGGCAGCATCTCTCCTGGAGACAAGAGCATCCACCACCCAGGACTCGAGGGCTCACTCCATCTCCACGCCCTGCCCAGGGCCTCATTCAAACATCATCCATGGCCTGGAAAGGCAGAGCCAGCCTGAAGCCTGGACTTGGCCAGGGGCAGTGGGCAGGGGCAGCCCCCTCTCCTGGGGGAGGGAGGCTCTTTCCTATTATCTTAGGTGTGGGGGTCAGAATCCTCCGTTTTCCTGAGGTCCCCAGGAGAAGGAAGCAGTAAGTCACTGAGAGTGGAGATTGAGGCTGGAGTGAACAGCAGAATGGAAGGAAACAAAGTGGGTGCACAGGAGAAGCCAAGGAAAAAAAGAAGGAAGGGGCTAGGTGGAGGAGGCGCAAGAGGCCCGAGGGGTAGGGGGTCTGAATCCAGATGTGGGGGCCTCCAGGGAGTGGCCATGGGAAAGAGCATCAAGAAACACACAGAGAACAGGGGCAAGAAGCAAAGTCCACAGGAGAGACCAAAAGAGGCTGACCAGAGACAGAAGACAAGAAGGCCAACAGGAGCAGAGCTGAGTCACGGGAGGGGTCCAGGGACAAGGCACTCCATCAAGGGCAGTGCGGGCCACCGTGTCCAGGGCTCCATGTGTATGGGCAGGGAAAAGGATGGCAGAGCCGAGGTGACACAGGGGAGCCGCCTAGCTTCCTCAGGAGTCTGGAGGTTAGGTGCTGGTGGCTGCGGCATGGCTGCGGGTGAAGTCTGTGGGGAGTGACCGAGCTATGGATGGTCTTGGGTGTTAGGGAGAGAGGGTTCCAGACCCCTGGTGCACTAAGTAGGGAGGCTGGGGGCATTTCTCTGCAGCGGTGGGGCCGTATCACCAGGAAGCCCCTTAGACTCTGAGGGGTGCTGAACTCCTCTGGATATAACCTTCCAAATACAGGGCTTTCCCTTTCTTTTTAATCTCAGTTTTGACCACTGAGGGAGGCGCAGTCATACACCAACTGGCAACCATGGGATTCTAAGTCCCTTTCAGGCTGGGTGACTCTGAAGTGCAATACAATTAAACATGAGAATCATGAAAAGGTCAGCATAAATGCATTTAAATGGAATCCTCCCAAAACCCGGCTTCCAGTTCATTTTGAGGGGCAACATTAAAATAAATATAACATACCTTTCACATTCTCTTTCCCACATAGTTTAAACACATTGTGAGTTACTTAAAAAGCACCATAATCATTGTTATTTTCAGAGACAGTAACAGAAACAAGAGATTAATTTCAATAAAAGCAAGAGTTCAGAGACATATATCCAGGACAAACGAAACAAACACAGTTGAGGTATCTACCATGCACATAACCACTAGGCAGCTGGACAGCTTTTAATAATTTCTAAGGGTATATCTAACACAAGCACGGGAATGACATCTCTGCTTACAATCAAGAAAAAAATGGTGTTTTGTTGCAGAAGAATGTGCCTGCTTCCAAAATTGACTGAAGGCAAGAGAAAATGTCACAGAAGACGACGGTAAACAGTACAATAATAAGCGAAAAGGACAAAAGCATGCACATCCAATTTATAAAAGGTTTGGTGTTTGATGATTTCACAGTGTGCCCAAACATATGATAAAGAAAAATATGAGGCCCTTGGTGGCAGCGAACTGGTTATCAAGTTAAATAAAATTACATTTATAATTGCCACCATCAGAAGAGAAAACCTGCTGCCTTTCACTACGCATTTGTAAAAGATGATTTAGAGCAAATCAGAGAAAACTTAGCAATTAAATACGAACGCTGGCAAGAAAATAATTACATTTATTGGAAAATGAATTGAGACGATCATCAGAGAGAATTAAATAATTCAGCTGTGGAGCTTGTAAGGTCTAGAATTTGATCAATACAATTGTGTATAAAAATAAAGCTATGACAAAGGAAGTCCAGGGTGAGAGTCCCCATGTAATTCCAAGATGTGTATTTGTAGCCAAAGTTTCCTTATCTATTTAATGACCAATTAATACCAAATTATTTTGGTTCTACTTCGGGTAAATGGTCCTAAATGATGCCAATTCCTAGTTCTACAATGCTACTTACATTTCATCAGAGTAACCTCATCAAGGCTTGGCTACTACCCTAAACTGCACAGGGACACTTCAGCAAGAGTGGGGGATGTTTCTTGAGAATGGGGACTGTGGTCTAACTTTAAGGAGTCTCCCTCGCCCACCCCAGGTTAGCCGCTGACTGTTTTCTGGAAGTGCCCGCAGGACCACAATCTACCCTAAAGGCTCCGGGGACCAACACTCTACCCAATATTCTCCCCAAGATAGGTCCACAAAGCAGCACCCCTCTACTCCACTCCCCTGCCCCTGTTAGCATCAGCGTCTGAGCCCGGCATGAATTTCTGTGACTCAGTCAAAACTAGGTTCAATGTCATAAAACAGTGAGCCATCTAACTGGATTCTCTAAACATCACAGAACTTCTCAGCATCCACTTGAGAAGCTGATGCTCCCTCTGCTGCATGAAAAATTATAAGCCCATCTCCTGAAAACTCACATTACTTTGCCAAGTATAGTTTGAATTCAGCACACACATATCATGAAGAAAGTCACTCGTTTAGAAAAATGCCCACTTAGATATTTAATAAACCTGGTGCTCTAAGAACAAGCTGCAGAGTGCTTTTCCTTCCACCAGCCTGACCACATCCCCTGGCCTTCTGGAGGCTTATGTAGTCCATGAACCCCTCTTCTACCAATCCCGCTCTATAGAAATGCTTTCTGTCCCTATGAGTGAGGTGACTCTGGATTAAATAAGAATTGCATTACAATGAGAAAATGTCAAGTTTTGGCCACCTCAAGTATTTACACTTTTATAGATACAGATAAAAGCCAAGTGCCTACTAAAACACGTTATTAATTTAATTATGCATGCCTATCTAATATTCATGTATAGGAATATTAAAGTAGTTTCGTCCACTCTCCATTTCATAAAACTATTTTACACTAACTTTTTACATGTCCCTTTGACGTGAGTGTCTCCATCATCACCAAGACCCATTTTCGTCATCATTTTACGTCAATCTGAAGTGCTTAAGACACGGGACTTTTTAAGAACCACAGAAAAATTTTTCCCAAGCCACAATCACCCATTTAAATAATATTAGCAGTTTTTTTTAATTAACTGTTATATACATATTCATGATCTTTCATGATCTCTGCAATGTAGCCAATTATTCTATTTTTAAAGTGACTTTTAAAAGGTTTATTTATAATGACATCCAATAATTATGTTCATGCCAGCAAGAAAATGCCAAGTTCATGTTAAATTTCTTTGCTTCTTTTGTATTCATTCTGCCAGGTAACTTCTAAAATCATGCCAAACTAGCATGGAGGTTTCAAGCAAATGTGTTTTTGCATTTCAGATAAAAATGTTATAAGGACTCAAAGAGAAGGTTACTCAGCTCCTGGGGACTAATTTGGGGGGAAATGTGGGAAGTCTACATAAGTGGGTGGTCACATAATGAAGACTAAGTTCCCTTCCTGCACCGGGGGTGGGGGGATGGGAGGTGGGGTTTCCAGGGCTGGTTCCTAAGACCTGCAGAGCAGTTTCATCCAACAGCAGCACAGAACAGGACTGTAAGGGGCGGGGGGTGTGTCTCCCTCACTGAATCCCTCTTGCATCCCCGCACCGAGTCACGAACTCCTGAAGAGATGAGGCTCTAATACCTTTCCAGCACCTCCCATAGCATCTGGCCTTCAGTTGGTGCTGGAAAACATTTGTTGAATGAAAGCAAGTATGAATAAAATCACCAAAGGCTTTAAAAAGGCACAGTACCCAGAAAGAAGTCATGCCTCCCAAATGCCTGTGTGCAGCCTGCAGTGATCCACAATGTCCCACAACTGGACTGTGATACAATAAGAAAAATGGTGAAAAATAATAATAATGGCTTCTATAATTTAGATCTGTTCTCTATGAAGAACTCAGTTCCCTCCTGCTCTAAGAAGGCAAAGAGTTCCTTTCTTTTTCTTTTTTTTTAGATGGGGTCTCACTCTGTTGCCAGGCTGGAGTGCAGTGGCGCAATCTCGGCTCACTGCAACCTCCGCCTCCTGGGTTCAAGCAATTCTCCTGCCTCAGCCGCCCCAGTAGCTGAGACTACAGGCACCCACCACCATGCCCTGGTAATTTCTGTATTTTCAGCAGAGATGGGGTTTCACTATGTTAGCCAGGATGGTCTCAATCTCCTGACCTCGTGATCCGCCTGCCTCGGCCTCCCAAAGTGCTGGGATTACAGGCATGAGCCACCGCGCCCGGCCAAGAGTTCCTTTCTTAAATAAGAGGACAGAGATAATAAACAGCAGTGGGTATTTGTTGTTTTATCCCTAACTGATGGATAATGCAATTCTCTACTGTCTCTTTGCCATGATGAGAACATAAGGTCAGCTGTATATTACTGCCACCTGTACCCCCTGCCCACTGATAGAGCTCCATGCCTAGAATATTGCCTGGCACATACCAGAGGGCTCAAAAGTATCTGGTGGATATAATTTGTTTAGTTGGCACTGATGTGGTTTTTAATATCTACTAGTTCATAAAAGCCTGCTTACTGTTGTACAAAAAGATCGAGGAAGCCACATAATGAAGAAAGCAAAAAGATAAGGATTCTTAACCTCCCTTTCTTCCCCTCCAAATTCCAGGCCCAAGGCTTCTCCATTATTACAGAGGCCAGGAGTTGAGAGGAAGAGGTGAGAATCAAGCTTTGGGAAGACAATGGGCTAAAACGCAGAGATTCAATCAGAGGACAACGAACAAGACAGGAATAAAGGCAAGATTTCCAGTCTTCCATGCCAACCCAGGCTAAGGTGGTCTCAATGCCACAGTAGCTGCCCTGGGCTCCAGAAACATCTCCCTCCCATCACCCAAGTCTTCAGGAGGTAAGATGCCTCAGATTAACCCCCTTTCACAGAGCCAGCTCTGCCCATCAACCAATCCCCACCCTCTTCCTCACATTTGCTGGAGTCTCTGTGCCTTGGTGGGTGGAGGACAGGTGGAGTGAGAGCAGCAGGAGCATCCCTAGGGTAAGACCTACTCTGCATAGAATATCCTGTGAAGTTTGAGCTCCATTCCCTCATGTAAACCCGTTAGAAAGGTATAGCAAAGTACATTTTGTGCAGACATTCACTTGTGTTGTGTTCCACTTGACAAGTGACATAGGAAACAATCAATGGTATCTCAGCCTCCTATTCCCAGGCAGGCAATTGTGCCTTGTTGGACAGAATACTGCATCTGAATGGGGCATTACCAGTGTTGGTATTTTCCCCTGCAGACTACCAAAGAAGCGCTCAGACACCCTGAGGACAGCCACGACCCCAGTATTGCTCCCAAGCCCATTTAGGGAAAGGGCCTTTTTCAACATGCTTAGATTGAATGAGAACCGCTTGCTGGTGAGAGAGGGTCTTTGAACCAGATGTCTTTGCTTAACAAAAATAAGGTCAGAGATTACTATAACGTGGTAACTACAGAACTCTTGAACACAAGCCTGGTAAAGAACATACACACATTTAACTAGAAATGGCTTTATGCATGATCTTCCTAATTGCAATATGAAACAATCACTCACCAACCAAGAATTAACTAATTATGAATCATTAGACACCTGCAATTATAAACAGGAGATTATGGGTGAAGGATTTAAGGATAAAGGAGGTAAAAAAATAACAATTCTTTAATCATCAAATTGCAGAACAATATTAAATAATGGGATTTAGAAGGATTTAGACCCATTACAAATATTAATTTTTTAGGGATAACAAGAGATGGGAAATTATAAATATTTTTACATCCAGAATCTCATCACTACATTTATGACAAGTATCAGCAGCACAATAATGTGATCAGAAGATGTCAAGCAATCCTAACCCTACGTTAAAGCAAGGTAGAGTGGTTGCCTGTAATTTGTTTTCTCTCCTGTGCCATAATATACTAAGGGGGCAGAAAGATTACTCAGTTCTGAAGCTTTAAATGGCTTCTTAAAGATTTTAAGCAAATTTTAATGGGTTTTTCTTTTTCTTCCCTGTATCGCAGGAATTTGTTGGGAAGATTAAAAAATCACCTTAGGAAAAACAGAAAACAGAACTCACTAATCATCTTCCATTTAGCCTTTTATATGAGTAAATGGGGAAATCATTTATAATCACATCCATTATAAAGAATTCAAATTATTCCACTCTGTTTTATTATCTATCAACAGGAAGCATACTTCCTCACTATGAAGTTCAGTTAGTGAGTTTCTTAGATGATTAACTCATATTTTAATAGCCGAAGGGTTTCTCAAATCAAAGCAGTAGGTCAGGAGCAAAAACTAACAAAGCAAAGGGTGGGGAGATCGCTGGCACCCAAGCACGCCCTCAAGGCTCACCAGACAATGCCCCACCAAGGAGCCAGGACTGCTCGTCCAGCTTGGAGGGGTCCTGGGAAGGGAGGGCACCAGGTATTTTACATCTCCTCAAATGCCACAGCAGGTGCATTTTCAAAATAACTTACTGATCTCCAGTTCACTTATTCATTTGTCCAGAAAGTGTTGGAACCTGTGGCATGCCAGGCAAAATGTTCAATGGCCAAGAGCATTGCCCTGCTAGAGAAGACAGATCTGCAAATGACATTTGCCAACATGCCTCCTCTATGTGTTTAATGAAAACATGGTGTCCTTTGCAGAGGACTCTGGGAGTCCAATGGCACAGAGGACAGGCCACCAGGACAAATCTGCAGAAACAAATGGCCTCTGCAGTGGATATAGAAGGCTGACTGCTGACAGGCAGATGTCCTGGAAGACAGGAAGAGAACAGGCCTTCCAAGGAGAAAGATCCCTGCTCACAAAGACATGGAGACAGCAAAGCACAGCATGGCCAGGAAAATGAGCAGTCGTTTTGTGCTTGGGGCTGTGTACAGAGACAAGAAGGGAGCCAAGGGAGTGTGAGGAGGGAATCGGGCTCCCCAGGGCTAGGTGTGGGGCACGGGGAAAGGAGACGAAGGCCCAGGGACAGGTTCTGTCTCCTTCCCCTCCAGCCAGACAGTTGCTGTCACTCTTGATCCTCCCACATAAGCCTCTGCAACCCTGATATGGTTTGGGCTGTCTCCCCACCCAAATTGCATCTTTAATTGTAGCTCCCATCATCCCCATGTATTGTGGGAGGGACTCGGTGGGAGGTAACTGAATCATGGGGATGGGTTTTTCCCATGCTGTTCTCATGACAGTATGATAGTGAATAAGTCTCATGTGATCTGACGGTTTTATAAAGGGCAGTTCTCCTGCACACGCTCTCTTGCCTGCCGCCATGTAAGACATGCCTTGGCTACTCCTTCACCTTCCGCCATGATTGTGAGGCCTCCCCAGCCATGTGGAACTGTGAGTCCCTTAAATTAAGCCTCTTTTTCTTTATACATGACCCAGTCTAAGGTGTGTCTTTATTGGCAGCGTGAGAATAGACTAATACAAACCCAGACCCGGGCAGACACCAATTCTCAGGACCTGGACAGACTGAGTATGGCTTAATATTTCTACTTACATAAGAAGGAGAAGATGACTGTGAGAAAGGAAAGCGTTTGTTTCCTGAGTAAGGAAATGGTTCCTGCCAGGAAAACCTCTTCTTTGTTACTACAATTAACCTTCCCCAGCCTGAGGCGCCAACAGTCATTCATGGTAATAGAAAATAGGAACTAACATGACAAAATCCTGTAGTTTAGGGATGGATCAGAGAGGAAGTCAAAGAGGAAAGGAAAGCAGGGCTCATGTTCACCCTCTTTGAGGTCAGCTGCTTTCGCGTGAAGAACCACCACATGTATGAGCATCGCCAGGGGCCAGCAAAGGGAGATCACTGGGGTGGCGAAATGTTCCAGCTCTTGATTACGGTGGTGACGAGAGGACATTTGGGACATTTTCAAAATGATCCAAAATCAGATACTTCAAATGGTTCTATTTTTTTGTTCATATAAATTTTACCTCAATAAAGGTGATTTTTTTAGAAAGAACTCGTAAGGGCCACGATTCTATTTGTCCACGGCAAGACAGAAGAAATAAAGAGACTGCCTGTTCTGAACCAGGACACAGGCATTTTCCCCTAGCCTTGAAATCAGGCCAGGAAATCCACAGCAATTGAAGCCACCATTACTGGGGAGGAAACAACTAAGGTTATTTGCTTATGACAGGGCAGAGACTCACCAGGAAAGAGATGAAAGCGGACAGAGGAGTGAAGACAGAAACACACAAGAAACACACTGACCCTTTGGGTTGGATTTCATGTAAGGAGGGGACCCAGGGGACACACCACATTCTCAAACTTGAGAACAACAGAAGCATTAAACGTATGAAAGGTCATTGTCTACTCCTAAAGGCAGGAAGTCTCAAACAGGCAAAAAAAAAAAAAGCCCCACATACAGGGTCCACAAATTAATAGGCAAGAATTATTACATGTCCTCTGCAGAGGACTCTGGGAGTTCAATGGCACAGAGGACAGACCACCAGGACAAACCTGTAGAAACAAGTGGCCTCTGCACCAGGTATGGAATGTTCCAAATCAGATACTTCAAATGGCTGCATTTGAAGTAAAACCGCCAGCAGTCCCTTCCTCCAAGAAGGTGAACATCAGCTGATAACTGCTCATCTAAGAAAATCGTTCTATCTTCTAATAAAAGGAAATAAAATGGATGGGTCTTACAGTCTCTGAAAATAGTATTTATTTTGCCAAAATACAGCACCATGGGTTCAGGAACATTTCAAATAGAGATGACATAATTAATTCATAGAGAAAGCAAAACCTCATTTAACTACCTTGGAAGGTCAAGAAGGTTGAGAGCAAGATCACACCAGGCTCTGAGGAGGTTAAGAAAACAATTATGAGCTAACGACTACACACTGGGGGGCGGAGAGTACAGAGGCAAATTGCAGGGTGGCTAACTCGGCCCTCGCTTATGACAAATAAAAGACCAAAGGTGTCATTTTAAAATATTAAATTATTGAACAGGAAAGTCAAAATTCAAACACAAAATAAATAAAGCTGATTTATAATAGCCTGGCATTCAAGACAGGCTGAGAGGCAGACTCAGGATCCACTGTGATAGATAATTTTAAGTACCCAGGCAAGGTTTCCTTCCTCCTCCTAGAGCCTGTTCAGCTCTGCACGATGTCATGAGCCAGGTGTGCCAGGAAATACCCAAAGGACCACAACCACACTACCCCAACAGCTCCAGGCGACGTGACATTTTCTGCTTGCAATACAATGTGACTGCAGTGAAGCAAACCTCAGGAGGGCTGGATATTAAATAGTAATTACAATACAAAAGCAAATATCAATCAAACCCTGGGGTACAGGAGGGGGTCGGCTATGGGAGGGGACAGGTCAGTGAAAAGTCTGAAGAATGATAAATTTCCAAAAGATGAAATGCTACTCATTTTCAAAGGAAATTTTTCAAAGGAAATTATCAACCCAGCTTAGCATGATATTGGCAAGAACTCAGAATGTCTCATCCAGAGGGAGACTTGGAGTCCATCAGTTCTAAACTCCTTGGTGGAGATCTGGTGGAAATGAGAGTTAAGAAGGACTCATACATACTGTGGTACCTGAAAAGACTTAATTCTCCTAGGAAGTATGAGCATGCCATCAATGACTTAATCCTGTTTATATTTTTGCATTCCTCTCGCAAAGCCTCATTTTCCTAGCTGTAAGAGGTGAATGGCAGCCCAACCACTATGCTAATTACCCCAAATTATGAATAAGGAGGATATAAATGAGACCTTGCTCCACTGAATTTAACACAGTCAAAAAAAAATGAGCTAGGGAAAAGATTTATTTATTTATTTTTTATTGGGACAGAGTTTCATTCTTGTCGCCCAGGCTGGAGTGCAGTGGCGCAATGTTGGCTCACTGCAACCTCCGCTTCCCAGCTTCAAGCAATTCTCCTGCCTCAGCCTCCCGAGTAGCTGGGATTACAGGCATGCACCTACACGCCCAGCTAATTTTTGTATTTTTAGAAGAGAAAGGGTTTCACCACATTGGTCAGGCTGATCTCGAACTCCTGACCTCAGGTGATCCGCCCTCCTCGGCCTCCCAAAGTGCTGGGATTATAAGCATGAGCCACCTCACCCTGCCAGGAATAGACTTTTACATATCACACAACTGGTGTGCTAATTCTGAGAATGATTAAAAGACAAAGGAACAACACTTCTAAAGACTGACTGCCACATGACACACTCAACAGATTTTTTTATTAGTCTGTCTCTATGCACACTTAAAAGAAATTACTTCCCAATGCAAGCAAAGGTGAGCACTTTGCCCTTTTCAGCCTATGCAAGGTTTTCCTTGATGTTCACTGCCTATTTTAAAGAGGTAACCACTTTGTTTGGAGAGAGAGAAGGATTCCAGAGAGGAAATGCAGACAGAATTGCAGAACAGAGTTTAAATCTCTTCCTTTCTTGATGGAAACAAGAAAATACTGTGGGATAGAAAGTTTCAGTCTGAAGGAGTCAGAGTTGCTGAGGCAAATGGGATCAAGAGGTTCAGATTCCAGACGGGAGTATGGAAGAAATATACCCAACACCACCGGTAAATGCATCCAATGTTCAGAGACTGGTGATGGAGATGTTCTTTAATCTGGTGCAAACATGCCAGTGTGGGTTACATGAGTGTCAGCATTTGTCAAACCTGATTAAGCTGCATACTTCAGATTTGTGCCTTTCAACATCTATAAATTTATCCATCAATTTATAATTCAGCTGTTTTATAAAGGGATTATTAAACAAACAAAAAGCAAGGGATTAAATACTCCAAATAAAAGACATAGGTGGTCAGATTGGAGAAGACAAAAACAACAGCAATATACCGCTCCCAACACGCTGTCTTTAAGTATGAGAACAAGGAAAGGCAGACAGAAAAAGGATGAAGAGGAGATTCCATGTTTGGTTTTCCATTCCTGAGTTACTTCGCTTAGAATAATGGTCTCCAACTCCATCCAGGTTGCTGTAAATGCCCTTAATTCATTCCTTTTTATGGCTAAGTAGTACTCCATCATGTTCTTTATCTACTTGTTGACTGATGGGCATTTGGGCTGGTTCCACAATTTTTGTAATTGTGAATTGTGCTGCTGTAAACATGCATGTACAAGTATCTTTTTCATATAATGACTTCTTTTCCTCTGGGTAGATACCCAGGAATGGGATTGCCGGATCCAAAGATCAGTATCTTCTACAAATACATTGCGCATACACAGAATGTCATGTTATGACACTCTCGCCTCTTCAGCTGATGGAGGCAGCCTGAATGCAGAGGAGGTACCAACCCCAGAATCTCCCAGGCAGCTGAGTGGAAAGGAGGTACCAGCCCTAGAATCTCCCAGGCGGCTTCCTGGGATGCAAGGTTGCCCCACACCCCCAAAGGGGCTCCTTGTAAGAGCCACAAAACTCTGAAAGCAGACATGCAAGTTTCCAGGAAAGCTTCTGAATTTTTCCCATGACAAAAATAAAAGAACTAATAAAAAAATTCTATAAGATAAAACTTTTAAGAACTCAGGTTATTTACATACTAAGAGACCCCTGGAAAAATAATGCCCATTTCTCCTCCTATGTCTTCTCTGGAAGATCTTAACCTTTATTTAAAACATAAATAAAATAAATAAATAAATAAGCCCATATGTCAATTTCCAGTGTGTCAGCTCAGGATCTCTAATACTGCCTCTCATTAGCACAGCACCTCCTCGTCCAAATTCCTTTTCTCGGCTCTGAATACCAGGGGTGGAACGAGGCTGCCTGCCTCCACTCCTGCCCCTGGGCTCCCAAGAGAACAACCCATCCCCACCACCTCCTTCCACTGTCCTTCTCCCTCCCATCCATACCCTCCTGCCCCTCCATGGAATGCTCCCCCATCTCAACTCACACCCACCCCTCAAAGCTCAGGGCAGTCCAACCTGCTCTGAGGAGGCCTTAACTGGTGGTTTCAGTGCACTTGCCACTTTCTTTAGGTCCTTGTCTTGCCTGCAATCTCTCGTCTGGACACCCAATGATGCAGTGATGTACCACACAATCTGTCATCTATTTGGGGGGTCGAATACCTGGTTTCCTCTCCTGCAGTCAGAATCCAACATCTTCCACTGTACATTCCTCATGGCATCTGCCCAGTACGAGTCCATAACTGGCACCAAATAAGCACTTAATATGCTATAAAGTCGAGTAATCCCACCCACCCATGCCATCCTTGAATCCATGTGAAAAGCGCACGTATATTAAAACACTACCCTTTCCAATAACATCCACAAAGAGGCCCATGTCTGGAGAAGCCAACCGACATGAAGCAGTGCTGGAGAAGTACTTAGCACTGCTTTCTTGGTAAGAACTTTTTTTATTTTTATTTTGAGACACAGTCTCGCTCTGTCACCTAGGCTGGAGTGCAGTGGTGCAATCTCGGCTGACTGCAACCTCTGCCTCCTGGGTTCAAGTGATTCTCCCACCTCGGTCTCCTGAGTAGCCAGGATTACAGGAGCCCACCACCACGCCCAGCTAATTTTTGTATATTTAGTAGATATGGAGCTTCACCATGTTGGCCAGGTTGGTCTCAAACTCCTGACCTCAAGTGATCCACCCACCTCAGCCTCCCAAAGTGCTGCGATTACAGGCATAAGCCACCGCGCTCGGCCCTCGTAGTAAGAACTTAATTAACAACAAGCAAGCTGACCTCAGAGAAATTTAAGTTACCCTGACATTTTCTTTCAAGAATCATCCTCCTTGCCATTCGCACAGGGCATCCAACCCCTAATCACCACACTCTCAAGGGCTTCTGGCACCTCCCTGCCTCTGTTCTCAAAGGCCTGCAGACAGCAGTGAAACTCCAGGCAAGAAGGCAGGAGCAAAATGCCAGAGGTGCTTAAGAATTCCTGCACCCCAGGGACAAGCAGGGGCCCCCAACATGGAAATGCCACCAGGAGGAAGAAGGAAGGCACAGGCCCTGGGGTAGATGACGGAGCCCCCCTGTCAGCCCTGGGCAGAGATGGGGCTGAGGCCAGGCCTGGAATGGAGTCTTGGGTTTCAATGGAGCAGCTCCACCAATGAGGTGGGAAGGCAAGGATTCCAGAGGAGCTGAGCAGTGAGGAGAAATCAGGGTGCTGGGGTGGGGGATGCAGCTGCATATGCTGCAGGAACCCTCACCACTCCCTGGGGCACACTCTGCCTTTCACCTTGAATTCCAAGGTCCTCACCAAGGTTTACGCCACGACCCGTTTTCTGGTTCTTGGTATTTTCTTTTCTTTTTTGAGACAGAATCTTGCTCTGTCATCCAGGCTGGAGTGCAGTGGCGTGATCTTGGCTCACTGCAACCTCTACCTCCCGGGTTCAAGCGATTCTCCTGCCTCAGTCTCCTGATTAGCAGGGACTACAGGCGCCAGCCACCACGCCTAGCTAATTTTTTGTATTTTTAGTAGAGACGGGGTTTCACCGTGTTAGCCAGGATGGTCTTGATCTACTGACCTTGTGATCCGCCCACCTCGGCCTCCCAAAGTGCCGGGATTACAGGCACGAGCCACCGTGCCTGGCCGATATTTTCTTAATGGATCTTTGCTGATCATTTTAGTTGAGGTTTTGGTGTCACTTGCTGTCAGGAAGTTCTCAATTTATCAGCAACTCCTTGGATGCTGATTTGACTCAACCTTTGCACCCCTCTGTGTAAGAAGGACATATTACCTGTGCACATAGCAAGATGTCCACACACTGGGTGGAGAAACACAGCACAGAACAGTGCTGGCCACGAGTGTATCATCAGCTCACTCAAAAACACACATAAGACCCACGTAGGAAGAGAAAGTTTTGTGAACCATCATAAACTTCTCAAACACTGGTAAATAATAAAAGTATAAAGTGCCCTAAAATAACACACAGGAATCTAGCACTCAGCCTGGGCAACATGGAGTGATATGGTTTGGTTCTGTGTCCCCACCCAAATCTCATCTCAAATTGTAATCCCCACGTGTCGGGTGAGCGGCATGGTGGGAAGTGACTAAATCACGGGGGCAGACCTCCCCCTTGCCGTTCTCATGACAGTGAGTTCTCATGAGATCTGATGGTTTAAAGTGTGTGTCACTTCCCCCTCCGCTCTCTCTCCTGCCGCCATGTGAAGAAGGTCCTTGCTTCCCCTTCGTCTTCCTCCATGACTGTAAGTTTCCTGAGGTCTCCTAATCATGCTTCCGTTAAACCTGTGGAACTGTGAGTCAAGTAAACCTCTTTTCTTTATAAATTACCCAGTCTCAGGTAGTTCTTTATAGCAGTGTGAAAATAGACTAATATATGACGAAACCATATCTCTACAAAAATTACAAAAATTAGCCATCTGTGGTGGTGCTGGCCTATAGTCCCAGCTACTTTGGAAGCTGAGGCGGAAGGGTCACTTGAGCCCAGGAGGTCAAGGCTACAGTGAGCCAAGATTGCACCACTGCACTACAGCCTAAGTGACAGTGAGACTCGGTCTCAGTACGTCAATCAAATCAATCAATCAATCAATGAAAGAAAAACCATGAAAAAACTTGATGGCCACCTAATTTCCCAGACATAACAACTCTCCTTTTTTTTTTTTTTTTTTTTTTTTTTTTTTGAGACAGAGTTTCGCTCTTGTTGCCCAGGCTGGAGTGCAATGGTGCAATCTCAGCTCACCACAACCTCCACCTCCTGTGTTCAGGCGATTCTCCTGCCTCAGCCTCCCAAGTAGCTGGGACTACAGGCATGCACCACCAAGCCCAGCTAATTCCGTATTTTTAGTAGAGACAGGATTTCTTCATGTTGGTCAGTTGGTCAGGCTAGTCTCGAACTCCCAACCTCAGGTGATCCACCTGCCTCAGCATCCCAGAGTGCTGGGACTACAGGTGTGAGCCACCGCACCCGGCCAAACACCTCTCCTTTTAATCTTCAATAGGGATCATATAAAATGTTTAATGTCAGAATGTGTATTTCTTGGAATTATATGAAAATGTCCTTTTCAAAAATCAACGAGACTTGTGTCACGTTTCACCTAATCAAATGAGGACTACTGTTCTTTCTTAATCATTTCACTAGATAGAAGACAATTTGTGATTTAAAAAATAGTGATGCTAAGAATTACTATCTAAAGGTGACACAGGCAAGAAGAAAACCTACTTTGTTTTAATAAGATACACTTTTTATAGCCCCTTTTTTCTTCTACCTCTTTGCTAATTCAATGTACCATATTGAATGTATAGGATTTCCCAAGGGAAAAATAATTCTACTTGAATTATAAAAGTGTCACATTCACAGTTCATGGAGAATAATACTGTTCAGCTTCTAATCAAAACTATATTGCCTGGCACAGGATTCTAAATAAAGCCAGTGTAATGCACAAATTTAAAATCTGACTTGAGTGATGTCATGAAAAAAGCACTGGGCTGAAGAACAGAGAACTGGGGTCTGGTCATCCCACCTAGGACCCCTCTGTTCCTGGGCAAGTTCCTGAAAAAAACTAAAGATGTGACTTTCTAACCTCCTAATTCCCTGATTCTTGATGTTGACTATTTGGGTGCTTGAGAAATCCAAACTCATATAACTCCATGATTTCATCAATACATACACAAAAGTAATTTATTCTATCATAAAATTCTGCAAAAACAATTTTAATGAAATTTTGCAAGTATTCAATATAACAGAGCTAATGATTTTTTAAGCTCACATATGAAATATTCCTTTTTCCCTCTTGATAATGCTATAGTGGTAGTTGACATGTTTCTCAATAAAACGTTTCCTGGGACATATTTAAAGTCTGCTCTCCTCCCAGGCCTTGGTTTGGGCTACTTGGCATGCTGGCAGAACACCAATCCTAAATGAAGCTTTTAACTACCCTTTCCATCACCTCAGCAGACAGCTCCAAAGAATAGCTGCAAAACCCATTTCACAAAGTCGCCAATTTGCACTGGCTTCAGCTGCATTTACAAATGTCCCTTCAGCCTTCCTGTGAGTCCTCTCATCCCTCTTTCTCCATTTTCTGCATTATGAAGCTCTACTTCTGTTTCAACTTCACAGTCTTTTCCTTTCAGGGATAGCCTCCTGCTTAAAAGAAGGTTAACGATGGTTCTGTCTGAAGATTAACATTGCCTTAAAGAGGGAGACGGTCACTCTGTGTCCTCGAAGACTATTAGACAAAAAAGAAAATTGCAAGCCTCTGGCTACTGGCAGCCACTTTTCCCTCAAATGGAGAGAAATAAATACTAAGCCAAGAGGAGGATACCTTCTAAATCCTAAACTCACTCATGCTTAACACTTGGACTCCCAAACTACATGAATCAATTAATTTCCTTCTTTCTAATGTGAATTGGAGTTGGGTTTCTGTAATTAGACTACTGGAGCTTTCCAGCAGACTTGAAGTCGAGTAGTGCCAGTCCTCTGACTTTGTTCTCCATAAATATTGTGTTGATTATTCTGGGTCTTTTGCCTTTCCACATGAACTTCGGAATCAGTTGGTCAATAGCCACAAAAAAACTTGCTGGGATTTTGATTGGGACTGCAGTGAATCTGTAGATCAAGTTGGGAAGAACTGAATTCTTAATGTTGAGTCACCTATAAGCATGCAATACCTTTCCTTTGATTTAGATCTTATTTGAGGTTTATGCAATTTGCAATCAAAATAGGCCTCAATGCTGCAAACTTAAAACTTAAAACATAAAAAGAATCTACAAACACCTACGGTGAATGCATTTATAAATGCCACATCGTAAGTGAAGTGCAGATGAGCGTTTGCAGGCCTAGTATCTTCAGTTCACTTGAGAAGACCTTGTTTAGACTGGTCTGTTCTAAATGCTGGTATCTCTAGGAAGGGGTCCTAGGGACAGGTGCATTTGAAGAAGCCAGACAAGAGCCAGTGGATGTGGGATATAAATGTTTCCATCAATGAGTCAGCTATTAAGACGCACAGACTTTGCATGATGATGTTCTCTGCCCGTCCCTTTAGAAAGCTTTCTCATTATTTTTAACAACCACCATGGCAGTGCTGGGAGGATCCTAAGAGATAACACGCATCAAAGTCTTTGGTGCCTGAGAGTACTGCACGAACAGAAGGGATTAGGATTACTTCATGCTCCACAACCCCTCTGGACAAAAGTGGCAGCACAGTTCTCTCCAAACCATACGAGAGTCTGGGTTTGGCATTTTCCTCTGCTGTATTACATATCCAAGCACCTCATGGTGACTACCTTTGTATCAGCACCTTCTTTGAACCCCTAAACTACTTCCAATGCCCCGATATACCTTGTCACCCTGACCTTTACTTTTTCTTAAAATGAGTGACTACAATCCACAATGATAATTTTATGTCTGTGATTTGCTTAAAATCACATATTGCAACTATGCAACTATACACATAGGGGATGGTTACTGAGTTCACGCCTGCCTTGCTCACTCCAATGGAACCACCATGAGAATACAGAGCGTATCTGTGTGATTGGTGCTGTAACTCCTCAGTGCCTAGCACAGTGCCTGGCACACAGGAGAATGAACATATGATTGAAGGAATTTTTTAAACAGGTGAATACATAACTCAACAATGAGGTACTAAGCATAACTCTGAGACCTGCTCACTTTCAGAGAAATGCTGAATAAATCCTGACCATGATGGAGGAAGGAGAAAGGGGCTCACTGGCACCTTGCATGTTGGCAGCAGGCAGAATCCAAGACCGAGGGCACAGATGTGGGAGGAGCACCTAACAAGAGAGATCTCTGAACAAGATCAGGGGTGGGAGAAGAAAATAAGTTCAGGTTCCTGAGCACTGAAGCCACCATGGCCAAAGGAGAGATTTTCCACCAGTGAGCATCATTACTGGGGACAAGGCAGGAGGGATGGCAAGCAAGTGCCTAGAATTCTGCAATCTCAAATTAAAGCATTGTCCTCTAACAAGTGGCAATGTGAAGGAATCAACATGGAAAAATGGATCATAAAATTAAAGAAAACATAAACACACACTACTTATCAATGAAATAATTTGTTGCAGGCTTAAAATGCTAAAAGCAACACGGTAGTATTCAACAATAGAAAAATTAATTTGAGGAAAAATCATTTGATTAAGCAAATGATTGCACATCAATTCAGGCACATGTTCTGAACTGGCATACAGCCATTACAATTACAACTACACATTAATAATGGAAAGGTGTTGTGATAAAATGATAAAAAAATCAGTAAACCAAAAACTACGCAGGTTGCAAGCATAAACATTTTGATGGGCATGCACTAGAATTGGAAGAAAACCAATAGAAATACTTGGTTTGCTGAAGAAACGGTGGAAGAGAGATGATTTTCATTTCAGCTACTGTTGCATTTCTGCAAGGTAGTGCTACTGCTGCATTTCTGCTACTGTTGCAAAGTACTGTGCACAGTATAAATGTGGGTGGAGAGGTGCTCAAGGAAACAAGTGTATTTATCCAGACCTCTCCTGATTAATTCTTGCCTATGTGAGTGGTATTGTTCCCTCCAGAGCGGGCAGGAAGAATCCTAGGAAGCAACCAAGAAGACTGGAATGCTGCAGCACCTGGTGAGTTCAGATCTCAGCCAGACTACCCAACCCTCTGCAGGGCCACAGACCAGCAAGCAGTATAGTGAAATGGGGAGCATTTGGACCCACAGGTCCTCTAAGAGCAAGCCATAAAATATTTTCTTCACTTCCCTCGTTCCTTCTTCTGCTGAGTCTTTCTTAACATGACACACTTGCAAGTGTGTCATCATCTGTGTGTAGGGCAAACTTATCAAATCAAAATAGTCCAGAACGTCAGACAGCTGAGGGCAGGCAGCCTGAATGAAGCCAGCCTTGAAGGCTGCAAGAACTGAGACCAGGTGCCCTACCCACAAACACTACTGCTCACACAGCAGCTGTCTGTGCAAGGCGAGGCGTGGCCACTTCTGACTCAATATATGGCCAGGGACCCACAACCTTAGCATCAGCTGGGAGTTGATTATAATGAAACATCTTGAGGCCCCCTCCCTACAGAGTCGGAATCACATTTTAACAAGACCTCCAGGTGACTCATGTGCACACTAGATTCTAAGAAGTTTCCAGTCCTGCAGCTCCCATGTCAAACTGACTGTGGGTGCCTGGCTAAGGACCCACTTCCTCTCCAGTCCTTTGTTCACCACTGACCTGCCAGTGAACTCTACACTGACGTCCACGATGACGTCTACCGTGGGTGAAACTGTGTCCTTCAAAAGGTTACGTTCAGGCCAGGTGCAGTGGGTCACACCTATAATCCCAGCACTTTGGGAGGCCGAGGCGGGCAGATCACAAGGTCAGGAGTTCGAGACCGGCCTGGCAAATGTGGTGAAACCCTGTCTCTACTAAAAATACAAAAATTAGCTTGGCGTGGTAGTGGGTGCCTATAATCCCAGCTACTCGGGAGGCTGAGGCAGGAGAATCGTTTGAACCCGGGAGGTGGAGGTTGCAGTGAGCCGAGATCACACCACTGCTCTCCAGCCTGGGTGACAGGGCGAGACTCCATCTCAAAAAAAAAAAAAAAAAAAAAGGGCTAAATTCAAGTTCCAACCCTTGGGACCTGTGAATGTTTTGGAAACAGTCTTTTTTCAGATATAATCAAGTTGACCTGAGGCCACGCCACAGTAGAGTTGGCCCTGAATTTAACAACCTCATAAGAAGAGAAGAGACACAAAGACAGACACACAGGGAGAGTGCTGCGTGAAGACGGGGGCAGAGACTGGAGCAAGGCATCTGCAAGTCAGGAAATACCAAGGATCACCAGAAACCTAGAGAAAGGCACAGAACACATCATCTCTTGGAGCAGCCAAAAGGAACCTGCCCTGCCGCCACCCTGATTTCAAGTTTCTAATCTCCAAGGCTCTGAGAGAAGAAAAAAACCACTGTTTTAAGCTACCAAGTTTGTAGTATTTTGTTAGAGCAACTTCCAAACTTGGCCTACTCACCTCCTCGACTCTGGGACCTCCCTCTCTTCTCTTTGTTGCAGGAGAACTCTCCAGAAGGCCTGGCCTGTTGCTGATTCTCAACAAGTGTAGTCCTTCCTGTCATGGTTGGCTTCACCTGAGTTGCCAGCCTCAGCTGCCCAATATTCTAATTCAACAAGTCTGTCTCCATACAGACAATGTGACCTAGACGGTCCTCATTCAAACCACCGCATCTGTGTCCCCACGAATGATGAGAGACTCTCAAATAGATTCCTGACTCATGCCCATGACATCCTCAGATCAATTAACACCATCAGTGCACCCCCTCCTCCACTCAAAATCAAGAAGGTGAAAATATTTTATTACTTGCTCTTGGGAAACCCTTCTGACTCAAAATACTCCCAAATTTCTTTAAGCTGCTTGCTGGTCTATGACGGTGCCAACATCTCATTGGTTGGTTTGCTCCAGGCCCTGATTCGTCAGGTCAGAGGGAGTGGAACGCACCGGAGTTCTCGTCTCCTTACCTAACTTGGCCAACAATCCTGTACCAAGAAACACAAAGGTCACAGAAGCAGGTGGCTTCTGAGAGAGGGAAGTGGCTCCCGACTCATCCACCATGGCAGCTGCATAGCCCAATGACAAGAAGCATAGAAGGAAGTGGAAAAGAAACAGACGGGAGCTCTAGTGGAAACCAAGGCAGGGCAGACACACGGCGCCAATGAAAGAAGCACAGAGTCATCACCCAGGAATCAAGCCCTAATCGCCTTGATCATGACTTTCATCGGACTTTAGAGCATTTGAAAATCTGGATGCCTCAGAGCAAACCAGATGGAGCAAGGCCTTTGCCATAGACAGAGAGGTCAGCCAAGCACTGTTCATGAAAACTGAAAACTAGAAACCAGCTATGTGCCCTCAAATGGAAAACTGGTTAAGTAAGTTATCATACAGCCATGAGGCAATGTGTAACCTTTCAAAATGTGTGCTTGAAAAATACTGAAGGACACAGGTAGATATATACAGAAAAATGCAACACTGTAAAAGTGTGTGTGTGTGTGTATACACATGAGAATTTATACTATACATATGTTACATTTATATGTGTGTATATATAGGTGTGGGTGTATACATATGTGTGTGTATATATATAGGATAATGCTAAATAAGCAAAAAGAGCTCATCACTGTAAAAACAAAAATGCTAACAGTGTAATCTCTGGAAGGTAGGGTGATAAATGATTCTTATTTTTCTTAATTAACTTTTTGGCATTTTTCTAACCAGATCACATATTACTTTTAAACTGAGGGCAAGGACACAATAAATGGCTGCTTTGTTTAATGCAAACCAGGACTTGATACCTTTATGAAAATCTGGAACACATATAAAGACGAAGGGGCGAAGGCAGGAGCTGCTGTAGGAGAGGTGCCAGACAGGCCCAAAGTTACTCAGTGAAACGTGACTTCCTCACCTGCCAGCAAATCCTATTCCATCTGATCTTAAATTATCATCATCCCTAACACATTCAGATCATTTGTTCTGAGGACAGTAAAGTTCTATGTGTACAAATCTGTGAGTAGCCGTGTGGATCCCAGATGCTAGCCCGGAAATAAATACACAAAAAGCAGCAAAAACTCCTCATAAGGAAGAATTCTGGGTAAGATTTAAGGCAAGAAAATACAGTTCATTTCAAATCAGGAAATTATTTTTAAGGGAATCAAAAAATGTGCCTCTTGGAGGGCAGAACTCACCCATCAGCTGTATTTACTGAGATTACAGAATAGCTTATTTCAACACAGCTCCTCTCTAAGAAAGCCAGATGGAAATGGCGCCATGTGATGGTTAGAATGGAAAGAGATGGGGAAGCCTGCTCCCTGGGGACAGTGCCCCAGAAGGAAGACAAACCTTCTGCATCTGTGTGCCAACCTCAGCTTGGGGGGCCTCAAATTCAATTAATCTTCACCCCAGTTCAATCCGCATGCTGGTCAGGAAAGTTGCCTGAGCGTCAGGGGCCTGGGGCTCTACACGACAATGGAAGAAATGCAGAAAGCTGACAATATTTTCATAATAAACTAAGCAGGAGACAGAGGGGCAGAGTCCTGAGATGAATAAAGAGGAGTGTTTTTCCAGTGCAGGTTGAGATCCATTAGTGCTCATGAAATAAATTTAGTGCCTGTCAACCAGCAATTTTTTTTTAACTGAAATACATTAGTCTAGAATAGACTAAAGGAGACTAGACTAGAAAATGCCAGAATGCATCACAGGGAATCAGTGTAGAACTTCTTCATGAGCATTTTCCAGCTTCATATGCACAACACACACGCACACATACACACACACACATACAATGCACACAGACACACTCACACACATATACCAAGTAAGCATCAATTTCCTACTGTGGATCATGGTCAAAGTTTCCTTCTATAGAAAATTCTGGCATTCTCAGCCCCAGATGGAACAGACTATGCCAAGGTCCTGCATGCAGTAGTCTTTTCCCAGGGTCATCCTAAGGGAAGGTAGTAATATTTGTGGACTTGAAATGATGTCAATGCCTGTAAGAACTGACTGCAAAGCCCCAAACGCCTCAATCCAGCACTGCAATCCACGAGTGGCCAAGATACAGCCACCTGCTGCCAACACAGTGGGGCCATCGCCAAGGTCTCCTCCCACAAGCCTTCGTGACCAGCCCCTTCTAACTCTCCTCCCTCCCCTTCACACTCACCCAATTCTTGTGGCATTTCACCAGAGTTTTTAAGTTGCTTTATGCATGTCCACTTCGATGGAAAGCTCCACCAGGGATAATGTCGGCATCTTTCCAGCCCAAAGCATCCAGCCTGTTCTCCATTGATGTGGATGGCAGGCATGGGCCCTGTTTCCAAACACCACGGGATAGCCAGGACTTAGCAACACTGTCTCTAGGAGCCAAATGGGAAAGAGAGTGGTTCTGGAACTAGCCAACCAGGGTTTAAACCAGCGCGTTACCCCATCCCAGCTCTTGTGGCCTTGGGTAGGTTAATTAAGGTCTCTAGGCCTCAGTGTCTTCATCAGAAAGCAATCAAAGTATCTACTTAATAGGGCTATTGTAAAGACTAAATCAGTTGAGAAATACAAAGCACGTTGAACAGCAGGCGATCAATAAGTATCAGCTCCAGTTACTCTGGCACTAGGCGCTCATGCTATTTCTATCAACCACTGATTGGGGGAGCTAACCCTCAGGAGGCTCCTCACACCCAGATGTTTGGTGTTTCCTGGGGAACGCACTGGTTCTACTTGGGTCTCCACGAGGGAAAAAGGCTTGGAGAGCCAGGTGGGCTGCCTATGAAGCTGTCTGGATGTCACACACTGGAATCTGACCCATTTCTCCTGGCAGCTGAAGAACAGCACAGTTTTCTGAGAAACAGCAAGTCATCACCAGATGGGAGTTTCAGGAAAACACCAAAAGAGATGCCAAGGAAAAAAGGGGCAGGTCCAGCATCAGCATGCAGGAAACGGTTCCAAGACTTTTCTGCCCTAATTTCAAGACGAAGAACTGGGGACCTAGCAAGCCCAGTGGTTCATGAAACCACAGTCACAGTAGCACAGAGAAGAGAAGACAGCAGAAGGGAATTCCGAGGCTGACTGGAGACACCGCAGCTGGGGGCGGCGGGGGCACCTGGGAGGAACAGCAGCCACAATCTCTTGGGGCAGAACACAGAACACGACTCGAGGGCAGAGGCAATGGGGCCAAGGACCCTCTTGTCAGGTAGGAGAGAGAAACGCCGAGGGCAAAGAAGAATCCAGAAGGCACGGGTTGAATTTCCAGAACATCTGGGCCGGGTGAAGGGGCAGCTCAAGGTGAAGACAGAAGATCTGAGATGGTGAGGAAACAGCTAGGGGTGGAGCGGGTCTCAGGGAGGGGGACGGTCAGCACTGCACAGCAGGTGGGCTTCTCCTCTTCAGAGGAAAACAGACAGGAAGAGGTGATACCGAGAGACCCCAGGTCTTTTCTTTTATCATTTTTTTTTCGAGATGGAGTTTTGCTCTTGTTGCCCAGGCTGGAGTGCAATGGCGCGATCTCGGCTCACTGCAACCTCCGCCTCTGACCCCAGGCCTTTTCAATGCAGCAGTCGGAGCCGCATCATTCACTCAAGGTAGGTGATGTGCGGCAGAGGATATGCCTGGAGCTGGAGGAGCTGCGGAAAGGGCTGCTGAGGGAAAGTCAATATGGAATTTCAAGTGAGGTTTCGGTAGCATGGTGGGGTGCTGGGAAAAACAGGATGATTCTTCAAAAAATTCAAGCATAATTACCACGAGAAACAGCAATTCCACTTCTGGAGCACTGGCAGCAGGGTCTTCAAGAGGCATCTGTACACCCCAGTTCCCAGCAGCATGAACCACAACCACCATGAGGTGGGAACAGGCCGAGCCTCTATCCAGGGACAGGTGCGGAGGCAAAATGTGCACGAGACACACAGCAACATGACAACCTTAAAAAGGAAGAAGATTCTGACACATGCCACCACCTGGTAGAACCTTGCAGACATTATGCCATATAAAAGAAGCCAAACACGGCCGGGCACAGTGGCTCATGCCTGTAATCCCAGCACTTTGGGAGGCCGAGGCGGGTGAATTATTTGAGGTCAGGTGTTCGAGACCAGCCTGGCTAACATGGTGAAACCCCGTCTCTACTAAAAATTCAAAAAAATTAGCCGGGCATGGTGGCAGGTGCCTGTAATCCCAGCTGCTGGGAGGATGAGGCAGGAGAATCACTTGAACCGGGAAGGCAGAGGTTGCTGTGAGCCGAGACTGTGCCACTGCCCTCCAGCATGGGAGACTGAGCGAGTCTCCGTCTCAAAAAAAAGAAAAAAAGCCAGACACAAAAGGACAAATGTGGTATGAGTCCACTTCCATGAGGTTCCCAGAGCCATTAAATTCTTAGACCCAGAAAGTGGACCGGTGGCTGCCAGGGGCTGCAGGGAGTTGGTGTTTGATGGGGCTGGAGTTCCATTCAGTTTGGAAAGACGTAAAAGTTCTAAAGAGGGATGGTGATGATGGTTGCACAACAGTGTGACTGTACTTAATGCCACTGAACGGGACACTTAGAAATGGGGAATTTCATGTTATTTGGCCACGGCAGTATGTTTTCAAAAAGTATTTGGCTGCAGCCCCAGGGCTGAGGGCCATTCACTGAGGGACGGTGAGGCGGTACTGAAACATCTGGGCACGGCGGGCGCCTGGGGAGCGGGGGTGACGGGAGACGGCCGCTGGGAAGGGGAGTGAAGGCAGGCAGCATCCACACACTCAGTGGAGTTTCCTGGACATTTGACTTAACATAAAAACTGGCCCACGCGTCCTCCATTTGTGTTTTCTCACTTAAATGACCTTGGAAAAATTTTGTCACTAAATCAATGAAAACAGTCCTGTTGAAAATTCTAGCTGGAGACCATGCTTATCCTGCAATAAATTACTTCTGAAGTTCCTCCTGCCCTCCCTCTTCAATGAGGCGTAAAACCCCGTGGCTGACTCTAATCCGCAAAGTTGATGCCAGTGGCAGGTTTGGTACCAAGAAGGGGATGGAGCCTTTCTCTGCTAAAAATTCAAAAAAATTAGCCAGGCATGCTGGCGGGTGCCTGTAATCCCAACTACTGGGAGGATGAGGCAGGAGAATCACTTGAACCGGGAAGGTACCAACCGTTTGGTACCAACGAGGGCCACACTTGGGGAAACAATGTTTAACCTTTAAATGTCACAGTCTGAAAATATACTTTGTCTATGGAAGATGGTTCACAAGGTATTTCCTTCCATTTAGACACAGCAAAACTGAAAGAGTTAAAACAACACAAAAGTCAGGCTCCCACGATGGGAATCTTTAAATTTCCAACGTCATCGAGAAAGCACCTATTGTGAAATAATACGATACCAATTACCAGAAGGGAGGTGACATGCCTAATAAAACGCCGTGCGTCTGTCTTGCAGATGTAAGGTTTGCATCAATGCACACACGTCACTCAATTCACTTGTGTCTTATAATAAAACACCCACTGAAGCATGGTCTTCCCGGTCCCTAGTCACTAAGTAATCTGACTTCAAGGGAGGGAGGCAGACACAAATCAAGCCCAATCAAATTTAATAATGTAAGGATATATTTAGCAATCTAAAATTACTGCTGGGCTCAAAACTTCCTGTAATTTTTATCTATTCTTACACTACACACGTCTGTTTTTCTAAAATGCCACTGAATTCAGTAGTAAATGTACCAAACACATTGCTAATTTTAACCTTGGGACAATAAGACAGCTTTGGGCAATATCAAGTTGCCCAAATAACCTAAAATTTTAATGTATGCACCACCTACATTTCTTTCTGTATAAATCACCAATTTTTATAGTAAATCATGTAAAAAAAAAATCAAGAAATCGTAGTGAAGAGTCCAAATGGCTCCACCAAACAGCTGCACCACCTCTGAGATGAAAGGTAGGCTCCGACTTGATTCATGTCTACTTATGCTGGTTTCCTTGGTCACAGCAACCATCAGCCACGTCTCAGCACACATACATCTTTGTTCCAGGGCATATGGCAAAGCTTTAAGGCTGGGAAGCGACTTGACCAAAATATTTTTAAGACACTAGCCATAAGAATGCCTTCTAAAATTATACGTTAAACAAACATTAAAAGAGGAAGAACAGAGGCGTCTACCATGATCAGTCGAGTGAAAGATGTAAGCTAATCATTTGGAAGATTCTTGTTCTTTGAAGGAATTAGTGCAGGCAGCAAATTGCAAGTTGTACAGCTCCTTCTGCAATAAGTCAGCCCAGTGAAAACCGCCATAACTAGGATAACCAAGATTGTGGGGGTCCTGCGGCTGCTCCATGGGCCTCCCAGGCACTTCCACACCAGTGAGCATCCTAAAGAACACTCAGGCCTCATGTGAGTGGAAGGGATCTTTCTTCCAAAGGACAACAGGGTGAGACCAGGTCATCAAAAGAGGGAAGAAGGACAGAAGGACAGGGGCACTGGAAGGCTCGCTCTTCTGCACAGGCAAAGATCCACTGAAGCATGAAGGTTCACCACCCTTTCCAGGGCATGGACACCCTGAGAAATTAGGTGTAAAACATGATTCTCATCAATTCCCCCAAATTTAAATAAAGTGAATTCAGAATCTGTCTTGCCAAACAGCAAAGAGAGAAGCAATGAAAATATTTAAGAGCACCTAGGGAGGAGGAAGAAGGGATTTCACTACACATGGAGCATGATTATGTTCACTACAAAAGAGGCTCCGGGGCCTTTCCCTCGAGTTCAGGCTTGGCAGGGCCCACAGCCCCTTAGCTCAGCCACAGGAAGCCCTTCATCTACAAGTCCACTTTGATACAAAGCTACAGCTAGATAAGAAGAATAAAGTCCAGTGTTCTGTAGCAATGCAGAGTGAAGACGGTCAACAATAATTTAGTGTATATGTTCAAAAAGCAAGTAGAAAGGATTCTGAATGTTCACAGCAAAAAGAAATGAAAAATGTTCAAGGTGATGCTATGCTAATTACCCTGATTTGATCACATCGTATACCTGTACTGAAATATCAGCGTATGTCCCATAAATATGTACAGTTTTTATGTGTCATCTAAAAATAAAATTAAAATTAAAAAAAGGCCGGGCACAGTGGCTCACGCCTATAATCCCAGCACTTTGGGAGGCTGAGGTGGGTGGGTCACCTGAGGTCAGGAATTGGAGACCAGCCTGACCAATATGGTGAAACCCCATCTCTACTAAAAATACAAAAAAATTTGCCAGGCATGGTGGCATGCGCCTGTAGTCCCAGCAATTCGGGAGGCTGAGACAGGAGAATTGCTTCAAGCCGGGAGGCAGAGGTTGCAGTGAGCTGAGATCACACCACTGCACTCCAGCATGGGCAACAGAGCAGGATTCTGTCTCAAAAAAAAAAAAAAAAAAAAAAAAAGCACAGCTCTTGAAATCAAATTGAGATCTCTGACATTAACAACTATGGTATTTGGGGCAAGTTAATTAACTGTAATCAAAATACCTACCTCCAAAAGAGATAATGAAAGAAAAAAAGAAGGAGAAGTCTGCCTTGGCAGTGGCCGGCACTCACCTTCACCCGGACGGTCTGGTCTGACATGCTGCTCATCATGTCATTGATGGACCTGAAGAGCTGCAGCAAAGATTCCACGAAGTCAGCCTCTCCCTTGTTTTCATACAGTCTGCAAAGAAACACACAAACTGTGGGGGCCTGGCAGAAACACCTCAACATTTTTTGAATCCATGTCTATAGCCATGAAGGGAATCACTTGGGTGACAAGTTAGAATGAGAGACCACATCCTCAACATCTATGAAGCAAGGAAGGTAACTTGGCAGTGAGACTCATGCAGACCACTCAGCCAAGGCAGCGTGCCTCCACATACAGAGGCTGACCCTTAATGCTACCACTCACTGCATTTTTCATTGTAACATACTACATCTTATAAATCTGAAAAACACAGAAAATATACAGAAAGGGAGGGTGGAAAGGGCCGAGGAAGAGAAGGAGGGAAAGAGGATGGGGAAATTCAGCTTTATTTCTACCCCACAAAAATTACACTATTAAGATGCAGTTGTGTTTTCTACCAGTGTTTTTATTTTTATTTTATTTATTTATTTTTGTAATGGAGTCTTGCTCTTGTCACCCAGGCTGGAGTGCAATGGCATGATCTCGGCTCACTGCAACCACCGCTTCCTGGGTTCAAGCAATTATCCTGCCTCAACCTCCCAAGTAGGTGGGATTACAGGTGGCCACCACCATGCCCAGCTAATTTTTATATTTTAGTAGGGAAGAAGTTACACCATGTTGGCCAGGCTGGTCTTGAACTCCTGACCTAAGGTGATCCACTTGCCTCGGCCTCCCAAAGTGCTGGGATTACAGGCGTGAGCCGCCAGGCGGCCACTACCAATGTTTTTAAACCCATTATGTCACAAATTGAAAATCAACAACACACTCCATTGCCTAAATTTACCATGATCTTCTAATCCTTTAAAATGATATCACAAGAGTTGCTTTTTTATTCCAGAGTAATGGTGCTTTACAAACGCATTCATTTCAACATCAGTGGTAACTGAAAAGTATTCAAGAGGTGGGACATATTCAATAAATAGGTAATAAGGAAGTTGTGCATTGGTTACATGTATGCTAATATATGTTACTAATTGAAAATAAGTCTCGTTTGTAAATTATTTATTAGCAGTTACTTCAAGTTGCTGTGTTACTAAAAAGCAACACATTTGCATTTTAAAATATTGTGACTCAGATGTTTTATTAATACAGTGTTTACTAATACTAGTTTGCTGCCTAATTAAAAATATACGATACCTGAAAACTTGTGTACAATGGAAAATTTTGTAAACTAAGTGATAATTAATTACCCTAGAGGTAGTCTGATATTTAAATGAATTCCACTGTAAAGCAACAAATTCTGTGTAAAATGGGAAATTGCAACCTAGTGGATCTGTTTTGTAAATAAGGGTTTTCAAATGGGGTTTGCTTAAATGATGTACCAAACAATTAAAATGATGGAATCATGAACTTCTGCTTGCAAGTGGCATGAAGAACACCTGGTAGACTGGTGCAACCCTTCGGGAGCCATCAAGCTGCAATCATTTTTCCCCTCAGGACATCTGTAATTCCTAGACCTGTATGGGATAGAAGACTAAAAACCAAAACGAAAACCTCTATAAAGCAAAGTGGAATTTGCACCAATCATCAGAGAAAATGACTCGAGTTTGGAAAACGCCAGGGAGAGAGTCCCCAGGTAACAGAGCCGACTCTCAGATGAAAATCCTAGAAAGCCAGAGGCACAGTAAATGGAGACTGAGGCATACTAAAGGTCCAGTGTAGCCTCAAAACTGAGCACAGTCTCTGATTAAAATAAGATGGTCAGCCCCACTTTGTCTAGAAGAAGGCAGGATGAATTATCTCTGGAAGAAGATCACATCATCTGAAGCTTCTACAGTTTTACATACAAACAGTCTTGACTTCAAACAAAAATTATTAAACTCAGCAGAAAACCAGACCACAGTCCAAGTGAAAGAGGAAAAAGAGAGCAGAAACAGCCCCACAGATAATCTAGATATTACAATTTCCTAGAACATCAAAACAACTATAATCATATTTGAGAACAGGGAAAATAAGATAAAAAAATGACAAATAGAAGGTAAGAGAAAAATTTCAGTAGAGAAATGAATCTATGAAAAAATCAACTGGAAATTCTAAAACTACAAAATATACTCTCTAAAATTAAAAATTTATTAGATGGATTAACAAAATAGAGAGTAGACACAGCAAGAGGCAGAATTAGTAAAATGGAAGACAATCCACAGAAAATAACTAAACAGAAGTACTGAGGAAGAGAATACAGAAGAGGGCTAGGAATGTGCAGGCATATTGAGGAGATCTAACATACATGTAATTGAAGTGCCAGGAGAAAAGGAGGAAGATAATGAGACAAAAGTAACATTAGAACAGACAATGGCCACAAATCTTCCAAAACTGATCAAAGATATCAATCAAAAAATTCAGAAATTCAATGCAGGATAAATAAAAAGCAAAAACAATCCTATGCAACCCATAGTAAGATTGTCAATAACCACAGAAAAGGAGACAAACTAAAAGCAGCAAGAAAGAAAATAATACCATTTAAATTCAAAGATGTAACAGTAAGTCTGAAAGCTAATGACTTACTATAAATGAAGGAAATCAAAATAGAATAGAATACATGGAAGAAGAAAATAACTTCCAACCTAGAATGCTATAGTGAGTGAAAATATCTTTCAAACACAAAGATGAAATAAATCATTTTCATACAAACAGAGTCCCATAACTGGCCAACACTAAAAGAAATAATACAAGTGAGTTCTTTGGACAGAAAGAAAATGATCCCAAAGGAAAAGTGAAATTGAAGGATGAAAAACAATTACAAACATAAAACACATCAAATGAATACTAACTGTATAAAATAACAGTAATGTCTTATGGAATATAAAACATAGAATTGAAATACAATAATAATATAAAACAGAGGAGAAGAAAATGGCAATTCCAGCGTGCTATTTTTCTGGCCATATCTAGCATTATCAGTGGATTGGTAAGAGTAATCATTTGAAATACTCTAAAATAAGTCCAACATGGATGTTACCATCTCTAGAATAATTGTTAAAAATAATAGTAAAAGAATATTCAAATAATATGTTTAAAAATCAGAAAATGAGATGCTTAAAAAAAGTGTAACTGGTATAAAAGAAGGCAAAAAAGGAGGAAAAGGGGAAAATAATACAGATGGGGAAGGGAAAATTAATGCAAAAATAATATATAAATCTAACATTACTTAATTACACTATATATAAATGGATGAAATGCTCAATTAAGAAGCTTGTCAGACTGGATGAAAGAAAAATACAACTATATGTTGTATTATAAGAGGCACACCTTAAGTATAAAGACACAGAAAGCATGAAAATAAAAGGATGGAAATAGGTATTCCATGCAAATACTAGCCAAAAGATTAAGAGAAACTTTTCATATTGATTAAGGAATAGACCAACAGGAAAGATATCATGATTATAAATCTGTATGCCCCCAATAACACAGCTTCAAAATCTATAAGGCATGATTAATGAATCTTTAATATTTTTTAAATTCTACCAGAACCTCTCATGAGTAAAAATGTAAAACAGTTTCTCTTGTGCCAACCAACATGTTTAGAACATAGCATTTTGCCGTGATCCTTTTGAAGCATCTTTCTGTAACAAAAGATCACTGTTAAAGTCTCTAGAATCTTCCCTTTTCATTTTCCCAGATAAACCAGGGAGAACCACTTTTTTGATCCACCCTGAAGTGGATAAAAAACTGAGAAAAAACAACTCAGAAACTTATCGATAAATAAACAGATGAATAAGACCTGCTCATTCCTTGCTCTACTTAAATAAGTGTTCATTAACAAGGAATGACAGGATCTTTGTCTATTAACTACATTCTATTTTGTGACCCAGGGAATGATAGCAAAAAGGTCTGTACAACTTATTCATGATCAATAACTAATTATTTACAAAGCTAACACCAGATGACAGGCAAAAACTCTACAAAGCACAAGAAACCCAGAAGAGAAGGCAGGCAATAACTAGATTTAGTAATTTGATTCTGATGCAGAATATCTGTTTTCTGGCTTTCTAGTTAATGTGATCCACCCACACAGAAAACACAGACAAACAAAAACCAGTAGAGAAGTGCCCCCGGCTGTCAGGAATCTTTCAGTGGGTTCCCCAGGAACCAAATGTCTTTGGGCCATAGCTTTTAAACTGTTGTTCTCATTTCAAAACAAAATGAGCTTTCTAAACAAAACAAAAAATATGAGACTGCATAGCAAGAAAGATAGTAAGTTAACAACATAAGCTTCAATATCTTCATCTTCAAAGTTTCACCTCTTTGTTCTTTGGAAGAATAATTACTGTCAATTATACTGGAATTTAACAAAGCTATTGCACTATAGGAAAACACAATAGACCATTTTGAAAGCCAAAGAAAAATAAGATCTCAAAAGTTTATCCCAGCTGCAAAAAGGAAAACACACTCATGAATTCCAGCTGTGAGCACAATTGTTTTTCTCTCAAGGTAATAAACATGCTGCAGGTAAGAAGATGAGAGTCCTAGTTTGTTTTCTTCCCCACCTCTGACAGCACCACACAGGAGACTCATTTGGAGCTTGTCACGGATCAAACATCCTAGATATCTGTGTGGGACGTGGGGCTCTTTTTCCTTTAAGTAGCCTATACAAGCTAGGAAAACGATTTCAGCTACATTTCAGACCTGTGATAGCACAGATGAAGTAACAACTGACATGCTGTGGTGGGATGATGGGGAGCAGGGGTGGGATGGGGAGGACAGAAGGGGAGGGATTACTAGAAGACTTCTGCCCTACCGTCCAATATTCTAAGGGCATGGGTTTTTTCCTCTCATAAAATCTATGAAATATCTTCTCAGCCATTTTAGAACACAGATTTAAATTGAAGTATTTGTTGTCTCTGCACAATGCGGCTAGGTGCTCCACATCTCAAAGAACGTTATGTCCTTCTCTCCCCTCAGGAATGAGGGTAGGCAGCCAGGATCCACATTCAGGAAACGTTCAGAGAAAAAATAATAAAGTCAAACTGTGAAAGTCTGGGATACACTTGGGGCTCATACACTCATTAAGTATTCATGGAAGGAAGGAAGGAAGGGACAAAAGAGAGAAAAAAGGAGGGAAGGAGAGAGGAAAGAACGAAGCGAGGAGAGAAGGAAGAAGCTAGGGAAGAAGGGAGGAAAAGAGGGAGGGAGAGAAGGAACATGAGTATCAACATCCCCAGAATCAGTGGGGTACAGGGGCTCATGCCTGGAATCCTGGCACTTTGGGAGGCCACAGCAGGAGGATGGCTTCAGGCCAGGAGTTTGAGACCAGCCTGGGCAACATAGCGAGACCATGTCCTACAAAAAATTAGCCAGGCATGCTGGCACCTGCCTGTAGTCCTAGTTACTTGGGAGACTAAGGCAGGAGGATGGCTTGAGCCCAGGGGTTTGAGGCTGCAGTGACCTATGACTGCATCACAGTACTCCATCCTGAGTGACAGAGGGAGGTCCTGTCTCAAATCATCATCATCATCATCATGATCAGGAGCAGCAGCAGCAGCATCAGGATCTCCAGAATCACTGCAGTACTCGGTTAGCTAAAGTCAGGAATGCCCAGACAATGGCCTCAGAGGCTTAGGGAGCCTCACTAAGTTGTAACAATTGCTACAACTTGTCTTGTGACCACTTTGTGTCCTCAACAGTCTCAACTCTTCTAACAAACAAGTTATACCAGCAAAGAAACTCAGTTTGTGGACCATGCCTGGCTCCTGCTGGGTCCATACCAGGACAAAGGCAGGTAGAGCGATCATGTTCTGTGCCATGCTGTTGAGCACCAGAATGCAGGCATTCAGAGGACTTTAGCACTAAACACTTCCTGTCCCAAACACGAGGAGCAGCTGAGTACTTCAGTCCATTTCTATGTAACCTGGTAGGACTAAACCATGCCAGTGGATCACTTAGGGCCTAAAGAGATACTTAAAGCCAAAGAGATACTGGTGACAGAAGTCTCAGAGATTGACTCCCAAACTAATGGAGAAGAAAGGCTCTGCAAAACCTAGTTAAGTAGGATTTAGTAACCCAGAATGAGTTAGGGAAGCTCTCAGGGAACAGACCATCTGGGTTGAAGGTATGAGGAAGAGAATGTTAACTGCCCATCCATTATCTATTTCTCCCTAACTCCTTTACTAAAATCACTCTGGTATTGTAGAAAGCATCAACCAGCCCATCTAAAAATCCTTTCCAGCTTCCTTGCAGGTAGGGTGGTCATGTGACATGGTTCTGGCCAATAAGATGAAAGCACATGACACTTTCTAGGGATGAGGAAAGCTCTTTCAAAGAAGAATAGCTGGCACAGCTGTTTCTCCTTTGCCTTCCCCTCTCCTCCACCTGGAATGCAGAGCTGATGCTGGGAGGGGCAGAAGCCATCTTAGGATTAGGAGATAAAGAGACCCCACTAAGGATGGTGGGGCAGAGAGATCAAAGGAGCCAAGGACATCAGGACGCTGAGTCCTCACGCAGGTGCATGAACTCGGAACTCTTCCTCCGGGCTGCACATTATGTGACTAAAAAAAAAAAGTGAACCCCATATGGTTAAGTCACATAAATGGTGTTTTTCTATTACATGCAGCCAATCATATTCCTAAGCACTATTAGACTGATCAAACGAAAAAAAAAATTATGGACCATGAATCTAAGATTTTGTGCCATTTGTATTTTGAAATTGAAAGAGATTAAAGAACGAGGCAGAGAAATAATTTGCTACTGGTCAACCTGGGTAACTCAATCTTTTCTAAAGCAGCATTATTGTATAAAAGACTATAGCATTTACTACTATAGCAGAAACACCATTATCAATGCACGATCGTTTTAAGTACAAACCTCTGAATGAAAGGGAAAGTCCAGTGTTATCGGGTGAGAATATGCAGATCATCAAATGCCTGAGTCAATGTCATATTGATCACAAACTGCACAAAATTAACATTTTTCAAATAAAACATGACAAAAATCTGTAACATCTTTCAAGTTCATCCTCCCACCCTAGTACTGACTTGGGTTTAGCATAATCAGAGATTTAAAATCAGTGAGGAAAATATAACAGCAAGGCAGGGGGGGCCAGGAAGTTCATTTTCATAGAATTAACTTTACTGAAATAGAATTAAAATACAAGAAAACATAACCTAGCTTACCATGCTGTGTTTCACCCTAACAAAGAGAAAATAAATCACAACTTAGATCCTTGAGGGAAAGCTTCAATCCACACCAAAGGTCATGCATATCCATAATAAGCAAAATAAAAGAGTGTAATATCTAAGTCAAGGACAAAACCATGATGCCCTCAAACATGCCATATTTGTATGCAAAAATGGCAGCACGAGGACTGTGGTTTTGACCATGGACACGCCAGAGTGAACAGAAGCACACTCCAGTCCCTGACCAGTAACACATCACTAGTGGTTACCACCCTGTTTATGACTCTGATAGGTCAACACACAGTCAATAACTTGTTGCTTTGTCCTTATTACTATCATGGTAGACACATGGTTAGATTTTGAATTCTTCCCCCTTCTCCTGAGTCCTTCTTCTGGACACGACTGCTTCAGACAAACGAAAACACAGTGAGGAGGAAACGGGAAGGCACTGATGTGGGCCCACACTTTCAATTCCTTATTCTCGTTAATAGGTTACAAGGGCACCATGCTTTTCAAAGGCAAATGTATTCGCTAATTCAGAGGGACACAGGTTCATGAATCCCATCTGTGTGTGGAACTCACAACAAGAACAATAACAACGTAGAACCACCAACATCCATTGACATCACTCATGGCAGGTCACCCACAAAATAGCCATCCCCCAAAAAAACAAGCAGAGGGAGTGAAATTCCACACCCCACCCTCAACACACTTACTTTTCACATCTTTTGAATCATACAGTGAAGAGGCGTGGGCCAACTTAGAAAGTCCTCATTTTAGCGCAGCTCTTAACCTGCATCTGTATCTATACAATATTAAGGCTCTCTATAAAATAAGCCATAAATATCCCAATTTATGTATTTTATTGAGGCAAAATATACATATATATAATTCACCATCTTTACCATTTTAAGTATACAGTTCAATGGTAATAAATACATTTTTTGTTCCCCTTTAACCCTTCGATTTACTTTAAAGCTCAAAAATCATTCATAAGTTCATCCACACAGCGTGTGAAAACTGTCACTAGGCTAAAGCACCTGAGTATCCTTCCTCACGGAAATACCCTATGTAGGAAGAGTTCTCCCGAAATGAAACATCACTCTACTGAGGAAAAGAGGAGGAGGAAATCCCAGAGTCTGCCCAAGTGAGGCAATTTCACTTGGTTTTGCCTTTTCATTGTTGTTTTATTTATTTATTTTGTTTTTGAGATGGAGTCTCGCTCTGTCGCCCAGGCTGGAGTGCAGTGGCGCGATCTCCGCTCGCTGCAAGCTCCGCCTCCCGGGTTCACGCCCTTCTCCTGCCTCAGCCTCCCAAGTAGCTGGGATTACAGGCGTGAGCCACTGCGCCCGGCCTATTTTTGTTGTTGTTTTTCTTTTGGGACTTTTTGCCATATAAAGATATCCTGAAAAGGGCTTCTGAGCCCTCAGTAGACGCCCAGGATTGCACCTGCGTCATCGCCAATGCTTTCAGGAGCCAAGGCTCGACTCACAGGCACACATCTCAGACCAGGAACAGGGCTCCCGCCTCAGCACCGGCAGGGACCCAGGCGGGTAAGGAAAGAGTGGGCAGCTCACCCCAGGATCAACAGTGCTCTCTCAGCCTAGAAAGCAAGGGGGAAAAAGGGGGAAGAAGAAAGGAAAGAATAAGGGGACGAGAGAAGGGGAAGGAAAGAAGTGAAGGATCTCCTGCCAGTCCTCTGAGAGCCCGGGCATGGAGGGGATAGGTACGCACTGATTGAACAGGATCCTGGAGCGCACGATGAACTTGAAGATGGATTCTAGCGCTTTCATGGCTTTGTACAGCTGCTCATTTACTCCCGGCTTCTCAGCACCGTCCACGTAGTTCTTCAACACTTTTGTCAACTTCCTATTCACAATGCAAACACGCACAAATAAGCTCAGGAAAGGAAAATATCTCAAATCTTAACTGCTAAGGAAATATACAAGTAGGTTACTTTTATTTGGTTTCCATCTATCAGTATATGAATATCTGTAAAACGTTTTCTCTTTTTTTTTTTTTTTGTTTGAGACAGTTTCACCCTGTCACCCAGGATGGAGTGCAATGGTGCAATCTCGGCTCACTGCAACCTCTGCCTTCCGGGCTCAAGTGATTCTCCTGCCTCCGCCTCCCAAGTAGTTGGAATTATAGGCACACGCCGCCTCGCCCAGCTAATTTTTTGTATTTTAGTAGAGACAGGAGCTCACCATTTGCCCGGGCTGGTCTCAAACTCCTGAGCTCAGGCAATCCACCCCCCTTGGCCTCCCAAAGTGTTAGGATCATAGGCGTAAGCCACTGCACGGCCTGTAAAACGTTTTCTAATCAGTAAATGTGCCTGATAAAATACCTCTGAGAGCAAAGGCTGAGCATTTAATAAGCCCTTTCTAAGTGTAGACGTTGTTCTAAGCAGGTGAAATGCATTATCTAACTTAGCCTTCACAGCAACACTATGAGGCAGTATTATCCTATTTAATGGATGAGGAAACCAGGACTTCCACAGGTAAAACACTAGCTTCCCCAAGGTTAAACAATAAAATCGAAGAGATTTTCATTACAGCCAAACAGAGACACAAAAATTTTTTTCATAAAGGCATGACACCAAAAATACTCTCTGATGGATAGTGGTGACGATTTTCTCAACATTGCACTTTAAAACTATTAGGTAGGGGCCAGGTGCTCTTGCTCACACCTGGAATCCCAGCACTTTGGGAGGCCAAGGCAGGTGAATCACTTCAACTCAGGAGTTTGAGACCAGCCTGGACAACAAAATGAAACCCTGCCTCCAGAAAAAATACAAAAATTAGCCGGGTAGGATGGCATATGGCTGTAGTCCTAGCTACTCAAGAGGCTGAGGCAAGAGAATCACTTGAGTCCAGGAAGCAGAGGTTGCAGTGAGCCAAGATCGCGCTACTGCACTCCAGCATGGACGACAAGAGTGAAACCTTGTCTCAAAAAATCATAAAATAAAATAAAATGATTCGGTGAATTTTATGTTATGTGTATTTTACAACAATTTTTTTAAAGGCATGAAACAGTATTTGTTATTGGAAAGCATCTCAGACACTTTTATTCATTTTAGTTGATTTTCTAAAACTAGAGTTCTTACACCGAAAATTAAAATTTACAAATGGTCTTTCAAATAGGAAGCAGTCTTAAATTTTTAATAATATTGTAAAAATCCTTATAGAGAAGACTATAAACAATATATAAGAATAGTAAGAATACTATCAGTGGACACATGAAGATTTTAAAATATTGACATTTCCTAATAAGATTCCCCAAAAACATTTAGTTTTAAAAACACAATGACTACTATACTCTTAGTCTGTTTATTTATAAATTGGGATCTAAAATCAAGTAACATCCTAATATGAAAACATTTAAAATCTTTTCCATGATAAAAAAGTTTACACACTTTGGAATACACAAAAATTGAGTAAAATTATTTGTAAATTTTTCATCCTACTACAGAAGTAATTATAGACAGTTGGTATAAATAAACTATATATTAGGAGCTTAATATTAATTCATGGCTTCATAAATATTTTCAGTGTTTAATTCATAGATAGGTTTTTTTAATTCCTTGCTAAAGATGAAGGGAAATGTATTAAATTATTTTTACTTTACTGTAATTCAAATAACAAGAAAGTTCAAATGATAATAGATCTACTCAAAGTTTTAGGGAATGTGAGAAGCTTAATTTTTTAAAATCTAGAAATATATTAATCAACTTCATTAATAAACACATGAAAATTAAATAAAATTTCTGCCTAGTACAGACAAACTTTGGGGTATCATAACACTGCTGTTGGATAAATGGGCATAAAACTTTTTTTTTTTTTTTTCAGACAGAGTCTTGCTCTGTTGCCCAGGCGGGAGTGCAGTGGCACGATCTCAGCTCACTGAAACCTCCACCTCCCAGGTTCCAGCGATTCTCCTGCCTCAGCCTCCCACACAGCTACAGATGCACACCACCACGCCCAGCTAAGTTTTGTATTTTTAGTAGAGACAGGGTTTCACCATATTGGCCAGGCTGGTCTCGAACTCCTGACCTCGTGATCCACCCACCTCAGCCTCCCCAAGTGCTGGGATTACCGGTGTGAGCCACTGCACCCAGCAGGGCATAAAAATTTTTTAGAGGGTAAAGTGGCAATATGTATTATAATATCTATTGGAAATATCTATTATATATAATAGTTGGAAAATCTATTATAATTAAGAAATATCTATTATAATTAAGGAAATATCTGTTATATTTGGAAATATCTATTATAATTAAGGATATTGGAAATATCTATTATATTGGAAATATCTATTATAATTAAGGATATTCAAATCCTTTGACACCAGGAATTCCAACTCTAGTAACTGTCCTACAGAAACAATTACAAATGAATCAAATGATGTTTACTGCCGCATGATCTGACTAGTAAAAATACATAAACAATGCAAATGCCCAACCTCTGAGAGCCGGTTCAATAAATGGTAATACATCCCTACAATGAAATACTGCACAGCAGTTCAATACACTAGGTGGGCACTCCCTCATCACTATAGTAAAAAAAAAAAAAAAAAAAAAAAGAGGCCAGTTTTGTCATTATGCTGTTAAAAGAAAACAGCAGTTACAAAATCGAAGGTCTATTGTGAATCTGTTCTGTATTTTATATTCTCTCCTTCTGAACTTTTTGTCTGTCCTTATGCCAATACCATGCTATCTTGGTTACTGATGTTTAATAATAAATCTTGAAATTTTGATCTTCTAAAATATTATTTCGGTATTTTAGACTTTTTGAAAGTATAAATATTCAAATTAGTCCATTTTTTTTTCACAAAAGCATACAGAATTTTCATTGAGACTGTGTTCAAACTATAATTTGAAATAAACATTCAAGCAATATTTTATTTTTCAATACATGAACATGGTATATATTATCAAATTATTTACTTTTTATATTTCTCTTAGCAAATTTTGCAATTTTCAGTCATCTACCAGTAAATTTATCCCTCATTATTTTATTTATTTATTTTTGAGACAGAGTCTCACTCTGTCACTCAGGCTGGCGTGCAGTAGCGTGATCGTGGCTCACTGCAACCTCTCCCTCCCAAGTTCACGAGATTCTACTGCCTCAGCCTCCCAAGTAGCTGGGATTACAGGTGCCCACCACCACACTTGGCGAATTTTTGTATTTTCAGTAGAGATGGGGTTTCACCATGTTGGTCAGGCTGGTCTCAAACTCCTGAACTCAACTGATCCACCCACCTAGGCCTCCCTCCCAAAGTGTTGGGATTATAGGCATGAGCCACCATGCCCGGCCTATGACTTTTTGATAAGACCCTAAAGTGTACTGTACTGTACCATACTGTAATTCTACTGTACTTTTAATTCCCTCTCAATTATGTGTATATATACAATTGAAGTTTCCTTTTATGTTTGTTTTAAAATAAATTATAAAATAGATTCAGGAGGGCTTTTTATATACAAAATCAACGTGAAAATACAGTTTTTCTTTCCAATTGTTATACCCGCATTTATTTCTTCTTGCTTTACTACTTCCAGCGCAATAATAAACAGATATAGTAAGAAGAGACAGCCACGTTTGTTCCTGAACTTACAGGAAAAGCTTTCCATGTTCCAGCATTATGTATAAGGTTAGCTATGACTTTTCGTAGATGAGCTTTATCAGATCAAGGAACTTCCCATCTATTCCTAGTTTGCCAAGAGGTTTTATCATAAACAGATGCTGAATTCTGTCAAAAGCATAAAGCATAAAGCTTCTGAAACAGTGATGCCCAACAGAACTTTCTACAGTGATGGAAACCTGTTTCTGAGCTGTCCAACCTGGCTCAGCACTTGAAACACACCTGGCACAACTGCGGAAGTAATTGTTTAGTTTAATTTTATTTAAATAGCCACACGAGGCTAGTGCTGTGACATTAGACAGTGCAGGCATTGTTAAGACCTTTGGCTAGGCAAAGATTGTTTAGCCACAAAATGAAAATCCCTATCTGTTTTTTTAAATGATGATTTAGGCTTCAACAAAATAAAAGATTTCTGCTCATCGAAAGACACCATTAAGAAAAGGGATAAACAGAGGCAGGAAGAAAATGTTCAAAAATCATGTCTGACAAAAAAAAATACATATATTTATGTGTATAAACACACAAACACATACACACACATACCATAAACATCAATAAGAAACAGACAACAAAATATAAAATGAAAAAGAGATTTGAACAGACATTTCACAAATGGCAAATCAAAATAAAATAAACAGGTACTCAGTATCATCAGTTATCCAGTAACTGCAAATTAAAATCACCAAGAGATATAATTTTGCCCCCAGTACAATAGCTACAAAGTCAGACACTACTAAATGTTGATGAGGATACAGAGCAAAAGAACATTCACAGATTGCTGGTGGGAATGCAATATGGTACAACCCTTTTGGAGAACTGTCTCGCAATATCTTACAAAGAAAACTATACACGTATCCTTTAGCCCGGCAATTCTACCGCTAGGTGCTTATCCAAGGGAAACAAAAACAAACTTCACCAAAGACTTGGACAAGAATATTCATCGCAGCCTTATTCGGAATAGCCAAAAACTAGAAACACTTCATGTATCCATCAACAAGAAAATGGCTAAACAAATCATGAAATATTCATACAATAAAATACTGCTCAGAAATAGAGAGGAGCAAAATCAAATATTTAATGATGCACAAAGCAACATGCATGAATCTCAAGAGAATTATGTGGAAGGGAAGAAGCCAGATACAAAAAGAGTGCATGACCCCACTGGTGTAAAGTTTAAGAACAGGCAAAACACATTCCTAACAGAAACCACAGAGTGGCTGCTTGTCTGGGAGTGGGATGGGCTCAGATAGGCCAAGAGGGATGTTTGTGGGGAATGGCAATGTCTTATGTCTTGTTTTGGGCAGTAGTTCCAAGGGTATACAAAAACCGTCCAAACAAAATTAAAATGAGCATTTTGTTGTATGCAAATTATAACAATTTTTAAGTTTTTAAATTTTAAGCAAGCAAAAATAACAATGCTGTTTTGTAAAATATGCAGACATATTAGTCATAATCTTAATAACAATGTTAATATAAACATAGAAAATAAATGCTGGCACAGTAGATATCTCCAATATGTAGCATTATATACAAGGGAACTTTTATCGTCTGCACTATAACATTTGAGTAATGTGAGATTTCTTTACTATTTTTTATCCGTTGAGCATGTGTTATTTTTAAATGATAGAGGCAGTAGTGAGGATCTGCCATTTTTAATTCTATCCACACTTCTACACTTTCAACCATTACTGACTCATCAAATAATAATCTTGTTCATAAGGATGACCCTCAAGCAATAGCTTACACATAATAAAAGAACAACTGAATTAACAACAACACACGGTCATTTTTTAATGTACTGAGCTGCACTGCAACTCTCCAAAAACTAGCACCATGCGTGCAGCCAGTAAGACACCAGGAAGAATATCCGCCACCCAAACTTCTCCAGTCACCAACATCTTACGCATCCAACAAAATTCACTGAGGCTTTTTAAAAGCCACATGAAAGATTTTTATGTTCATAAAAGCAATCTGCTGGGGTACTGACAGCATGTCTGGTTCAGTTGTGAGCCAGTAAAGGCCAGACTGCTCACTCAGGTTATGGAATAAGACACTCAGAAGAGCAACCTTCACTGCAATTATGGATGAGCTAAGAGTACCTATTTTACCAATACATCACAATGAAAATCTTTTTTTTTTTTTTTTTTTTTTTGAGACGTAGTGTCGCTCTGCCCAGGCTGGAGTGCAGTGCTGTGATCTCTGCTCACTGCAACCTCTGCCTCCCAGGTTCAAGCGATTCTCCTACCTCAGCCTTCTGATTAGCTGGGATTACAGGCACCTGCCACCACACAAGGCTAACTTTTTGGGTTTTATTTTTTAGTAGGGATGGGGTTTCACCATGTTGGCCAGGCTGGTATTGAACTCCTGACCTCAAATGATCCGCCCACCTCAGCCTCCCAAAGTGCAAGGATTACAGGTGTGAGCCACCATGCATGGCCTGAAAAGCTTTTTGGGAGACTGAGTGGATGTGAAGCCATTTCTAACACCGATCAGGCACCAGAGCTCTAGTAGGGAGCCCTGATGCTCTCAGAGTCACACTCCTGCTCGCTGTTCTGAAGAGGCGAAGTCTGCAGATCCTCCTGCTACGGTGTCCATCTCCATTGGCTGGAAAACACACCTTGCCATATAGGCCTCTGCGGGTGGTGCTCACTGCACAAGAGAGCATGCAACACCCTGGCATGAAGCCTGCTTCACTCAGTTTTACTTATTTTCCCAAACTTACTGGACCACGCACCTCTTATTACATATATTAATATCCCAGGGAATAAACATTCCATAGAACACATTTTGGGAATTCTTCAAACCAATTAAAAAAAGAAAAATAATAATGATTTGCAAAGAGAAGGACTTAGAACCAACAAATGTATCTTAACCTGGAATTAGACAGCAAAAAGAAAGAAAATAAATAAAAGAAGGACCTAGAACCAGCAAATGAATCTTAACCTGGAATTAGACAGCAAAAAGAAAATAAATAAAAATAAATCTGCCAGGCCATCTTATACCTGCACAAAAAGCAACCCCTTGGCACTGGCTAGAGGGGGCGGAGCAGATGGAGCATCAGTTGCCAGTGAGGAGCCTGCAGCAGCTCCATAGGGTGGACAAAAAGGAGCCCAGTCATGCTGGTTTTATGGAAGAGCAGCCCCCAAAGCCGATGCCTCCCTTCATTCTCACTTGTACCAGTGCTGGTCAGTCCAGTGGGGCTCCAGCATCCATGAACTACCCACGCAGGGGAGCCGCAGACACAGCTCGAGGTGCGGAAGAGGACTGCCCATTGCCAAAATCTTTCATTCCTTCTCTTGGTGTTGTTGGGAAGAAGGGCTAAAGATCTCAACATTTACCAAAGGAGAGAGGCTACATGGACAAGAGTCTAAAGTAAGCCTGTACCTACCAAAGCCTTCTAGAGGAGAAGAGGACAAGGACACTCTGGGATAATATTACTGGAATTTCGCCTGGCCCAGAGAATACTGTAAGCATATCACCAATGCGGAGGCGACCTTCCATGATGTGGTCAGAGCTATCTCAGTCGCCACTGACTCCTTTGGAATTTCAAGGTGCAGACATGCAAATTCAGGCTGCTGAGGAACCACGTGAGGTTGCCAGTTTACCAAAACATGCTAACAATACTTATTTTCCACAATAAAAATTTCTTTTTCAGCAGATTCCATAGATTGAATGACAGGATCCTTTTTTTTTTTTTTTTTTTTTTTTTATTGAGACAGAGTCTTGATCTGTAGCCCAGGCTGGAGTGCAATGGCACGATCTCGGCTCACTGCAACCTCCGCCTCCCGGGTTCAAGTGATTCTCCTGCCTCAGCCTCCCAAGTAGCTGGGACTACAGGCACGTGCCACCACGCGCAGCTAATTTTTGCATTTTTAGTAGAGATGGGGGTTTCTCCATGTTGGCCAGACTGGTCTCCAACTCCTGGCCTCATGGGATCCACCCACCTCGGCCTTCCAAAGTGCTGGGATTACAGGTGTGAGCCACTCCACCCGGCCATGAGGATACTATTCTTATCTCAGTCCCATCACAGCATAAAGAAAAAATGGTACTTTTTGTTTGTCTCATTAGGAAACTCATCAAAATCTCCCATTTTTCTTTCTCCACCTATGAGAATGGCTGCATCACTCCTTCCCCAACAGCACAGCATGGAAAGGCTGGCGCCAATGAAGAGATGTGGCTGCAGTGTGGTAAGCTGATTCATGCCTCTCATCTTCTGAAATTCAAGCACGGAGCCTAATCTGAGAAGAGTTCTTTGGCCACATTTCAATCAAAAGGCAGAATTTTGAAAATGAGCACACGTGGAGGCCGTGCTACGTTTGCTGCAGTCCACAGGCCACTTCCGCAAACCCCACAAGCTCCTGTTTTGGTCACAAGAGCCAGGAAAAGTGCCCTGCAATGCACCCTCCCCACGGTCTGTAAGGAACTACTCGACATGCCCACACACTGGGCATCTCCACTCAGCGAACAAAATGTTTTAAACAAACGTTTATTAGCAAGCAAGTGCAAAGAACTAGTCACAGCTTGTTCCGCAGGCTTGAGGACCTCACAGCTCTTAGCCTTCCTGGAGCTCCACCCACCACCTTACAGTAAACACGCACACGAGGCAGATATGAAAGAATCCAGGTGCAGGACCAGGGTATATTAACAGCTGGCTTCAGGAGGCCAGAGTCCTCTGACCTGAGTTCATGACTGCACACAGGGAGGAAAAACAGGTATTTTGCAAAGTATGTTGAAGACACAGAAGGGAGTTTTAACTAAATTTACTCACACTAAAAAGAATCCTTTCTACTGATTCTAAGCGGGATGTTCTTAAAGAAATTATGTAAATCTTTATGTTTTGCTGTAACTCACACAATAAAAAGTCTGAATAAATGCCAATAAATTCCACCAAGAAAGAGCCGGTAAGTCATCATAATAAATCTAATGATAATGAAACCCAATAATTGCTTAGTGCTTTCTAAGTGCCAGGGATTAGTCCAAGCACTCTACACGTAATAACTTATTAAAATTTCCACACAAGCCTACAATCATGCTCTGATTACAGACAAGAAGGCTGAGGTACAGAGAGGTTAAGCAACTTGCCCAAGATCACAGAGCTTGTGAGGGACAGAGCTGCACATCAAGCCCAGGCAGCCTGACTCCAGACTCCAGGGCTCTGCTCTTCAATACCAGGCACACTGCTAAGCTGGCCCAGGCACCATGCATAGCCTCTGGTGTCTTCCTAGACCTCTGGGGCACAGACGGGCAGAGGGGTGGATAGAAGGAATCCAAGACAGTGACAGCTGAAGCTTGTCAAAGAAAAGGGAAGGTGCTCTTTAAAGAGCAAGGAGATACATTGCAAAGTACAAAACTGCATCTAATTCACACTAAACAACCAATCTCCTTAACACGGGAACACATGCATTTATCCATTCATCAAAGGCTCGCGAGGAAGCCGCGGTGTCAGACACTCCGCATCCAAAGCTCAGTTTCATCGAACATAAAGTGAAGATTTCAAAGATAAATGGAAGGTGTGAGGGAGAACAAGAATTTATTCCAGAATATTACGATGATTTATCACATATCTCTTTCAACAAGGTTTTTAGGTATGTTAAGAGGGAAACAATACTAAAAATTATTCCAGTAAACTCAGAGTTTTGAGCAGGAGTAAATACACAGTCATAGACAAAAGTACATGAAAAAGACTCTAAATAACACAAATACCAAAAAAAGAAGTATTGGTTTTAAAACAAAGTAGGAACTTACGTGTAGGCTAACGTTGCACTAAAGTGTTTCTTAATGTAAGTTTCCAAAACAGGATTAAAATGCTGAAATTTTCTATCAGCAATCAGTCCAATGATAAATACCTGTCAAATTAATCAATAATATTTTCATTAGCAACATAATGTAAGCCATTTTATAATCTTCATCAGAACCATCTGCACCCCTGTGTTAGGATATGAACCATAACATTTTCAGATAGAAGTTGGTGGCTAGTTTACCTTTTCTTACCCTAGAAATGACATTTGCCTAACTACAGTTTTACATTTAAAAAAAAGAGAAAAAAAATCTGCCACCCCAATTCATCTCTGATTGGATTTACAACTGAAAATGCGTTCAAGGTCACTGTGACGAAGCCCCCGACTCCAGCCTCAGACGCTGCAGCATGGAAGAACGCTGTGTTATCCAAGCATATGAGAAGGAAAGCTCTCTTACCAGAGCATCAAAGACTAACGTGTCAAAAGTCTCACTCTCTGAGTTCTCCATCATGATGTTGAAGAGGGCATCCAACGTGTCCTGAAGAAACTGCATAGACACAGAAGGTCGGGTGACAATGTGAACCCACCGGACTTCCCCCACACACTGGAATAACTATCATCTCTGCAGTACTCCAAATACCCACTTTGCCCCCAGCACTACCTATAAAGCCATTCGGGATCCTTTTCAGCCACTAGATACACAAGACAAAAATTTTGGATGAGCGAATTCAGAACAAAGAAATGCCACCAGTGTTAAATGGAGAGGGTCAAAGCAAGGAGAGGGCCTACTGCTTCCCCCAGGGGGCCTTTCCAACCCTCTTTCCGGTTTTCATAAGGCTGGTGACAAAGCGCTGAATGGCAACTCTGGGAAGATGCATCTCACTCATTCTACACACTGGGTACAGGACTTCAGCTAGTGAATGGGCAGAAGCCACACAGGGACAGGACCCAGCTGAGTGGAAGGAAGGACCTTCTACCAACCAGGGTGCCCAGGCATGGAAGAGGATCGTGATTCTGAAACTGGAATACACAGCAGTATCCCAGTTTTGAGACCAGAAGGTGCTTACTTTATTCAACAACAATGTCGAAATTACAGTTACAGTTGACTAAAATTTACCAAATAAATACTACTGCAAAGAAGGACAAAGCATCATACATGTAATTAGGAAGAGACTTCAAAGGCATGTCACACTACAAGTCAGCTTCAAGTCCCACCCCATCCTCCCCTGCAGGAAATGTAAGACGGACTGAAGATCACGGTGTTGGAAGTGATGATTCGTATTAGAAGAGAAGGTCAAGAAGAGGCAGAACGCCACACAACGAAATACTGGCCATAAACATGATGAAGTACTGATCTATCATGATTACTCATTAGGGACATACAAAGGGAAACCATCATGAGCTATCACTTCACACCCACTATCTGGGCTACAATTTAAGATGACTAATAAGAAGTGGGCAAGAACGCAGAGAAATTGGAGACCTTGCACACTGCTGGTAGAAATGTACAATTGTGCAATTGCTATGAAAAACTGTTTGACAATTCCTCAAAAACTTAAACACAGATTTACCATATGAGTCAACAGTTTCATTCCTGGCCATCTCTCCAAAAGAAAGGAAACATATGTTCACAAAATAACTTGTACACAAATATTATTCATCATCTCCAAAAAAGCAGAATCAATACAAATGTGTGTCAACTAATGAATGGAAAGACAATCTGCGGTCTATCCATGTGATGGAATGTTATCGGCCATAAAAAGGCATAAAAGCAGGCCAGGTGCAGTGGCTCACATCTGTAATCTCAGCACTTTGGGAGGCTGAGGAGGCCGGATCACCTGAGGTCGGGAGTTCGAGACCAGCCTGACCAACATGGAGAAACCCCCATCTCTACTAAAAATACAAAACTAGCCGGGCATGGTGGCACACGCTTGTAATCCCAGCTACTTGGGAGGCTGAGGCAGGAGAATCAGTTGAACCTGGGAGGTGGAGGTTGTGGTGAGCCAAGATCCTGAGATTGCGCCTTTGCACTCCAGCCTGGCCAACAAGAGCACAACTTCATCTCAAAACAAAAAAAGGTGTGAAGCACTGATAGTCACTACGGCATGAATAAACCTTGAAGACACAAGGCTAAGTGAGAGAAGCCAGACACAAAAGGCCACAGGGCGTATGATTCAATTTACATAAAATATCCAGAACAGGTAAATCCATCGAGACAGGAAGCAGATTAGTGGTTACAGGAAGAGGAGAAAGTGACTACTAATAGCTATGTGGTTTCTTTTGGGATGATGAAAGTGTTCTGAAATTAGACAGTGGTAATAGTTGTACAACTCCATGAAGACACTAAAAACTTCAGAGTAAAAGGATGAATTTTTTGGTATGTGAATTATATCTCAATGAAACTGTAATTTAAAGAAAAATAAAAATAAATGGGTGAGGTGATCACACAGCAAGGACATCAGAGGAAAGGCTGGGTCAGGTGTTTGGTTCAGATTCCTCCTGGACTGTGCAGCCTCTTCCCAACACCCAGGGGGCTTTTGGGATGGCATGGAAGATCTCAAACTGCTATAGCCCCAAGATTAAAGAAGCAAACCACAAACTCCTGCTCGCAAAGGAGTGCTGTGGAACCACAGCAGCAGCAACAGCCTCGCCCGCCTCCTTCGGGAGAGAGGATGTCCAGCATGCCCAGCATGAGCCTCATCCGTTTCCTTTGGGAGAGAGGACGCCCAGCATGCCCAGCATGAGATCAGAGACCCTTTAAGGAGTAAAATCCTCTCCATGCTTGGCTGTGCCAGCCACCACTTACTTTATACCAGAAAATGTCACATGCAAACAGTGGGAAACAAAACCAACCTGACCAAAAGGCATGCTGGTCTGGATGTCAAGGGATTAATCAACTCCTAACTATGTGGATCTGTACCACTTTGTTACTTTTGCACCATTTCCCATCATTTTCAGAATGTAGATTCTTTGCGAAGGTCAAAACTTGATGCCATCTGCTAACAGCCGAATATTTCCCTGCCAACAGGCTCCCAGGTGGCAGGACCTGGCCTGTCACGGTTCATGCAAAGTCCCTGAAGTAGACCACCTGGTCCCACCCAGACACATGACATGGTCAGTGGCACAGAAACAGAACCACAGGGAGATGGAGCTGCACGTATTGGGCTGCGGAGCTGCAGTGGGGCAGGGGCGAGCACCTGAAGGAGGGCCTTCACACGGAGCCATGAAAGGGCTTCATCTGGCACCCCACCCTCTCTCTAAGACCATGTTCAAGGGCACCAAAGTCACCATTTCCATTTTCCATCTAATGGGACAGCGTATCTTTTGCTAAATACACAAATACCTTCCTCAATCTACCAAGCAATGCCATCTCTCTGCTATCAGTCATCAATACTCAGAAGGGAGGTCCTGAATAAATGGAACCAAACCCACAATCTATCAGCATCCCTATCAGCAAAAGGAGCCCCGTGCAGGCAGGAATTCCTCAAGTCCTGGCTGGCCATTAACAGCCCCGTGGCCTCAAGTCAGTTCCACTCTCTAGGCTCACGGCGCATGTCAGACACGCCAGCAGAGAAAAAGCACAAAGTTAGGCAAGGTAGGTAAGGGCTGGACAGGTCACCCAGGCTTGCGTGGTACCAGCACGCACAGGAAGAAAGGAAAGGTGTAAAGGCCATGTCTAGGGATGAATAATCAAATGTGAGAATCTATGAGATGAGGGGAATGGGGGAGAATGACGGGACAAGATCATTCTACATTCTTCCAGGTAACTGTGGTAACTGGTCGCCAGAAATACAACTCATTCCTAATATGATACAGGGACTTCAAAATGAAAGAGGACAAAATTTCATTAACTGGATTCTTCTCAACTACGTTCATGTATTTCACCTAGTTTCCACCTGAATTAGGGAATTTACAGAACACAGGGAAGTTTAAAATGCAATTAACATTGTCCAAGCCATTGGGAGAACACCAGGACTGAGAAGATGATTAAAATTTTAAGATTAGTGAGTATATGTCTGAAGAGTTATACGATTCAGGAAACTGGTGCGACCAAATTAATTGATACTGAAGTGAAGCACACTGCTGGTTAATTAAGGCCATTTTAAGTAATTAGTTTTTACAGAGATAAGGTCGTCTCTTTCTGCAATCACCTCTCCTAGAGAGTGAGGAACTGAGGCGGCAACACACAGACCTTGCTGGAGAGTCTATGCTTATAGAACGCCACATGCCAGTGACCCCCTTATCGTCCCATAGCCAAAAACAGAATCGACTAAAAATGGAAATTCGCTTCCTCACGTACAAGGAAAAGTTGCCCCAGCAAATTGTGGGGTATCTGAGAGCAGAGAAGAGCCTAATACTGCAGAAAACATCAGAACCACAAACAATTACAGAGTAAAGAATTCCAGAAGCTGAGTGCTCCCAGGACCTCCGGCCATGTAATCTGACTGCCCTCTCTCACAGATAAAGATGCTGAGGCCACAAGGGTCTGAATGAATAATTATACCCGACACTGCTGCAGAGCGTCCCGTGGGAAGAAGACGGCCCAGGCAAGCCTCTCAGTGTCGTGATCTTTCTACCACACCACAGACCTCTCCTGGTCACTTAAAGGGGATCTCAGGGAGTCTAGTACGAATGCTGATGGCAGTAACAAGGATCATGACAACAGTAAAAAGACCTGAGGCTCCACAACGACCCTGCAGAAGGCACTACTGTTACCCCACTTCTCATGGCAGGGGAAAGAGAGGCTTAAAGAGGTCACTGAACTGTTGTGAGTCCTGTAGTGAGGACCTATGGGAAGAGGACGCAGAACCCACGATGAGGTTGATTGCAAAGCCAGTCCCCTTCACGGCTAACCCAGAGAGTCCCCCCAAACCAGAAGCCAAGAAGCACTCTGTGCACCTAGAGGTGTATGTCACTATTTTTTTGTTTTGTTTTTTTGAGACGGAGTTTTGCTCTTGTTGCCCAGGCTGGAGTGCAATGGTGCGATCTCAACTCACTGCAACCTCCGCCTCCTGGGTTCAAGCAATTCTCCTGCCTCAGCCTCCCGAGTAGCTGGGATTACAGGCATGCGCCACCACACCCGGCTAATTTTGTATTTTTAGTAGAGACGGGGTTTCTCCATGTTGGTCAGGGTGGTCTTGAACTCCTGACCTCAGGTGATCCACCCACCTCGGCCTCCCAAAGTGCTGAGATTACAGGCGTAAGCCACCGCACCCAATCCCTATGTCACTATTTTTTAAAGGGAGTATAACCACAATCCTATACTACCTTTGAAGTCACTGCCTACTTCTGTTAACATACATTAAAAAAAAAAAAAAAAAAAGACCCAAAAAGTCCCTTTGGGCTCCATGTTACCTTCACTACTTCACCACCATCGACTTTCATCAGCTGCCTCAAGTTCTGCTGCAGCAGGCTGGTGTTGGAGCGCCATTTCAAGAGCCCCAGAAGGTCCACTGGAAACAGAAAATGACAATCAGATCTTCACAAGCAAGAAACTCTGTTCTGTCTCTGTTAATCATGCATTATGTGAGGTTCTCTATAAAATTTTGTGAACAGAGAAATCAACCCTATTTTAAAAGATTCACCTGCTAAATATTCCATTCCTTTGTAGCAACATACTTAACACCTAGTACACTTGAATTCATTATTCCCAACGACATTTACCATGAAATGATTTCCATGTAGAAGCTTTAAAAGTGCATTTGGGAAACTAAAAAAGAACTTGTCTTTCCATTCTACAGGAAGGCAGTTTCAGAGCACCACAAGGCCTGAAGAGGCCTGCTCACCCAGAAAGCGCTGCCCAGGCACTGGATACCAAATGGTTTGTTTCTCCTGCTCAAGAACAAGCTGCTATTTTTTTATAGATAATATAAATAAAATAACTAACACAAATTAAAGTACTGAGACTGCAAGGTTAAGAGTCCCCACAGCTACAGTAGCTCTGGACAACTGAGACCACGCCTGCACTGAGGTTCACGCCTGCACTGAGTGAGCTTCCGGCCCTCACCATGTCTGGGCTTCCACAGAAGTTTGTGGTTGTTATGGTTGTGTTTTTGTTTGTTGCATTTTATATAGAAAAAGCAAGGAATGAATATACTGGTTTTTAAAGAGTCAATGTGGAAGAAGACAGTGTCCAGAAATGTTTTTGTTTAAGGCATCAAGATATTCTTTTTCTTTTTTTTTTTTTTTTCCTTGAGATGGCGTTTCGCTCTTGCTGCCCAGGCTGGAGTGCAATGGCGCAATCTCAGCTCACTGCAACCTCCGCCTCCTGGGTTCAAGAGATTTTCCTGCCTCAGCCTCCGAAGTAGCTAAGATTACAGGCGCCCGCCACCACACCCAGCTAATTTTTTTTGTAGTTTTAGTGGAGACAGGATTTCACCATGTTGGCCAGGCTGATCTCGAACTCCTGATCGCAGGTGATCCACCTGCCTCAGCCTCCCAAAGTGCTGGGATTACAAGTGTGAGCCACCATGCCTGGCCCAAGATATTCTTTAAGGTAAGAAGTCAGGATCCAAAAGCTCTCTAGGAAAGTACATATGCCTACCCAAGTTTCACCTGAAGTTATATTAACATCCCATTACTCGAAAAAATACCATTAACAAAGTACATCTAATTTACCGTTATGCTCATGAACCAACTTCAGCTACAGAAACTGTCTCCATAAAAGAAAGAATCAAAAAACAAAACTCTAGTTAATACTGAAGAAGAAAAAAAAAACAAACTCTAATTGTGACTATAGGTAGAAAATCAGGAAATACAGACATCCATTATAACTTCAGCATCAAATTGTACAAAAGGCATGCAGGCAATAAGCTCCAAAACAAGTACAGCTGACAAAGGGAAGAGTTAAAAATAGGGAGACAAAAAAGGAGCACCCAAAGATCCCGTGGAAGACGCCCAAGTGTGGGCCTAACCACCAGCATGCAGCAACCACTTGGCCTGGGGAGGTAACTTCACCTCAGTGTTCTCATCTGAACCATGGGTACAGTGTTGCCTGATTCACAAGGTGGTTGTAAGAATTAACTGACATGACGTGTAGAAAGCACTTAGCAGAATGCCTAGTCCAAAGCACAAATGGCAGCAGTCATCCCAGGAGAGGATGACGAATTGAGCACTCTACTCTTTTTTATTTATTTATTTATTTATTTATTTATTTATTTATTTATTTTTGAGACAGGGTCTCACTCTGTCATACAGGCTGGGGTGCAGGAGCACAACCACAGCTCAATGCAGCCTCTAACTCCCAGGCTCAAGCAATCCTCCCACCACAGCCTCCCAAGTTGCTGGGGCTACAGGTGCACGCCACCATGCACAGCTAATTTTTAGTAGAGACAGGGACTCGCCATGTTGCCCAGGCTGGTCTTAACCTCCTGGGCTCATGTGAACCTCACGCCTCAGCCTCCCAAAGTGCTGGGATTACAGATGTGAGCCACTGCACCTGGGCAACATGTCTTCATTTCTAAGTGAAAGTGAAGTAATGGAAAAGGCTCCATCCTGCCCAGACACACTCTTGGTCCTAGGGTTAAGGGAGATTTCCATCTCACAAGAATTACCAGTATTTCCTTAATAGACAGTAATAATCTGGATCCCCTTCATTCAAAGTTGGTGGCACGCTGTATTGTAAGTTTGAGACAAAGTCCAATTGGGCTAATGAGTAGTAAAACACCTTGGAGCAAAGGGAGTGCTGGAAGAAAACAGGGCTTGTCCAGCCCCCATGAGGCTGCCCAAGGCAGATGAGTCCCACCCCAGGCCCTTATTACCGGGACTCACAGCCCATATTCATGACTCCTTTCTAATTATATAGTCAGTTAATTGAGAAGAGGAATCACATCTTGTACTTCTTTCATATCCCCCACAGCATCTAGCATAATGCTGAGGACAGAGAAGTTTAATACCAACCTCAATGAATAATTCAGCCACTGCGTTTCCCTAAGTAATGGAACTTCGCAGGAACAAATCATGGTTTCAGAAAAATGATTCCCTCAAATGAGAATGTGGGAGTTGATGCTTAGACGCCATTTGGGGCAGCTCCATCTTGTACACACCTGACATGCCACAATCCCAAGAAGGGGAACCGTGGCTGGTGAGAAATGAAAGGCAGACTTCCCATCAGTCCTGGTGAGTGGCATCACATCGGAATTTCCTTGTTGCCTGGCAACAGCTGCTGCTGAGAGCAGGGTGCCCTCTCCCTCAGTCTGGGGAGGGGATTACTCTGCAGCTGGTGAGACTTAAGGAGCTTGAGGGTGAAAGGAGGGATTGCCACTGACCCCACCCCCCGGGGGGATGTCCTGGTCCACAGTCCCCTTTCTCCAGGGTCATAAGGGTTAAGAAGGATTCTGTGGATGGGCCTCATCACCTAACCGCAGCTCAGAGCATTGCTTTGAATGGGGAAAGATGAGCAAGTTAAGTAATGACTTCCGAGCATGCTTTCGGAACATGACCCAATTATGAGATGATGGCTTCCTGCACCATGAGCACTGCAACACATGGCACCTACTGAAATGCTAAAGTGTGGCCCACCTGGAGATGTCACCTTTGGGTTAAATTAGGCTCTGGATGCTGTCATCTGTCAGGCGAGTGGAGCTATCAAGGCCACATCCAGAGACTAACATGTCACAGGGGAGCATCCTTTCCATAACCAAGTCCCAAGTTGAGCCCCGCACTGCTGACCACATGATATGGTTTGGCTATGTCCACACCCAGATCTTATCTTGAATTCCCACGTGTTGTGGGAGGGACCTGGTGGGAGGTAATTGAATCATGGGGGCAGGTCTTTCCTGTGCTGTTCTCATGAGAGTGATAAGACTCATGAGATCTGATGGTTTTAAAAAGAGAAGTTCCCCTGCACAAGCTCTCTCTCTCTCTTTCTCTCTCTCTCTGCCTGCGGCCATCCACGTAAGATGTGACTTGCTCCTCCTTGCCTTCCACCACAATTGTGAGGCATCCCCAGTCACACAGAACTGTACATTAAACCTCTCTCTTTTGTAAATTGCCCAGTCTCAGGTATGTCTTTATCAGCAGCATGAACAGGGACAAATACACTGCACATGCCTCGGGCATGCCACTAGCAGGCTCCCTGTGCATTCTCTCCCTTCCCCACTGCACGGCTGCATAGATCCCACACCCAGGTAAGGCTTTTCATATGCTCATGGAGACCACTACACAACCACAAGCTAGGACCCTTCATAAATGGTTCGAGAAATGCATGCAAATGGAATATAAAAGTGCCCCAGTAGGCTTAAGGCACTTAAGAGACTTACTGCTCCCACACCAAGCAGTTTACTCAGCAGACCAGCAGTGGGAAAGTGTAGCCCAGAACAACAGAGTGCAAAGTGCAGAAACGGAAAGATCCAAAAGCATTTGACCCAGGGCTCGCATGCCCAAACATGCAGCACACTCAGTGCACGCTCCACTACAATGTCCTGACTTCCAGACAATGGCTTTACTTTTGTCCTGTGTTTATCCTATTAAAGTCCAAACGATGACTGTCCCTTGGGCAAATCCAAAACTACTGCCATGATTTACGGACAATCCCCCAGAGACACAACTCATGATAGCAACAGACAGTAATAATCAAAATCTGTATCGGGCAGTTAAGAGGAAAAAATTGGATTTTCAAGCTCTGCTTCAAGAGAGCATAAAGTCACTCTGCACAGCTGTGATACGGCTGCATTTGGAAGATTCAATTTTTAAATGTAGGATTTCTGCCTCTTCCAGACGGAGTGACAGCAACAACATCAGTGTGCTCTGAATAAGAAGTACCCCTGGCTGGACAGCAATGTCACTGGAGAGGCTGCAAGCAGTGGTGGTGCAGGCACTCAAAGCATCGGCCAAACCCCACACAAGGGCACGGCACCAGCTGATGGATGAGTGATCTGCCACATTAGGGCTGAGCTTTGGGGTGTGGGAGTCAGCAGGGGGTGCCTTATCCCACAGCACGAGTAGGGCTAGAAAGTAACATCCAAACCAGCTTTTAAAAATAAAGATAACTAGTAATTATCTCAGAGAGTAGCTGAGAATGGGGAAGACATAAAGAGGGAGGTGAGCTCCCAGCCCACTGTTCATGTAACCCTCACTAAGCCCTTTGAGGCAGGCACTATTCCCGTATCGACAGACAAGGAAGATAAGACCCAGAAATGTGCAGAAGACTTGTTGAAGGGCATCCCCAGGGTTAACACAGGGCTATGGTCCGATTCCAGGTTTTTAGTCTGACTCCAAATCTTGTGCACTTTCCTTTATGTCACGCTACCTTCCTTTGGCCAAAAATCATTTTAAGAAGTAAATCCATTGCTTTATCTCCCTTTAAGAGTAATACAGCTGGGCACAGTGGCTCGTGCCTGTAATCCCAGCACTCTGGGAGACCGAGGCGGGAGGTTTGCCTGAACCCAGGAGTTTGGGAATAGCCTGGGCAATAAAGTGAGACCTCATCTCTATAAAAAATAAAAATAAAATTAGCCAAGCGTGATGCTGCACACCTGTGGTCCCAGCTACATGGGAAGCTGAGGTGGGAGGATCGCCTGAGCCTAGGAGGACAAGGCTGGAGTGAGTTGAGATCACACCACTGCACTCCAGCCTGGGCAACAGAGCGAGACTGAGACCTTGTCTTAAAAAATAAAAATAAAAATAAAAGAATAACCCTTAGACCAGAGTAGAAGTGTGAATTTTAAATTACAACAAATGAACAAATGCCACCTTCTATGCATTGATAAATCATCACAGCCCGATGCAATGAATGCCTTATGGGTGACGTTCATGCACCTACGGAGCACACCTCCACATAGGAAGGAGCATGGAAAAGACAGGACTGGGGCAGAGCTCCTGGGGTGAGTGTGTTTCTCCTCTCGAACGCACCGTTCTGAGTCAGTTTGGTGGAGCACACGAGCGTGGAGATCTGGAAGGAGTCCTTGCTAATGGTGCAGCTCCCAAGGCTCTGCATGCTCTTGCCGGTGGCCGAGTGGCCCTTTTCTTCCAACTCTGCCTTCGTGGAGGGCAGACTCAAGTACGTGGCAGCATCTTCCAGCTTCTTTGCTTCGGCCTGTGGATTTAGTCATGCCGTATGTCAAAGGCAATTCACAAACAGCAACACACCATTTTTGCCACCCTTTGTTATCCCTAATCCTTGTAACCATCGTAATTGCTTTGTATCATATTAAATACACATTTTAATAATTTCCCTTATTACTGCAGCATAATTCATGTTCACGGCATTTTTAGATGGCACCTATTGTTATATTGTATATCATCTTTTCCCGTTAGGAACAACAAAAGGGCTGGTCATTGGAAATGTTCATTTGCATAATTAAATGTAGCTAGATAGCAGCTTCCTCACAATGATGGGAAAGGTTGGTCCAGGTCAGGGAGCCCAGAAAAGACTGAAACTGTCTATAGCAGCAATATTGCACCAATGCAACCAGATACCTTATAGACGATAAGATCGTGCTCTCCGTCTCGCAGGGTGGTACCATCGTATCTCATCAGCTTGACAAATGCTAGTGCAAATATTTTCTCAGATTTATCCTTAGCTGTAAAACAAAAAACAAAAAAATTGATGATTGCTTTCAATTATCATGACAAAATAACATTATAAGAAGCTACAAAGGCTACCTTTATGAAAACAATTACAAAATTATACAAACAGGTATTAAAGCTAATCTAATAAATATATGGAAAAATGGACCACGTTTACAAGTAAGAAGACTCCTAGCATAAAGGGATCAGTTGTTCTCAAATTAATCTATAAATTCAAAGCCATTCTAATCAAAATCTCATAGAAGAGATTTTTCCTGGAACGTGAAAACGGATTCCAGGATAAAGGGCCAAGAAGAGCAGCATGGTCTTGAAGAAGGCAGAGGAAAGCCCGCAACACTAGAAAGCGAGAGTAACTGTAAAATGACAATGAGAAAGACTGTGTGCTTTCAACCTAAGACGCCCAGACCAGCGGAAATCAACAGGGCCTGGAAACAAGAGGCCACAGTAAACGACAGAGGCTGGGAAGGGGCAGACCATTCCACCAAGGAAACTGCGGGTCAATACAGAAAACTAAAATCAATTCCTGCCTTGCAATATCCATCATGTGAATTACCAATGGACTAACGACCCCAATGTGAAATTGTGCTGCCTTTGGCGAGAAAGTTCATCCCCCAGGTATCTGCATGTGGGGCTCACTCGCTTCATTCAAGTTTCTGCCAAAATGTCACCTCCTCCAAAGTGACCATATCTTGTCTAAAATAGCCCATTAGTCACCCAATCACCCTCTTTCCTCTCACCTGATTTATTTTCGTGATAATTCTTATCACTACCAGATGTTGTGTTTATGTGTGTGTGTGACAGAGAGACAGAGATAGAGATAGAGACAGAGACAGAGACAGAGACAGAGATAGAGATAGATTGATAGAGAATCTTGTTGATCTTGTTGCTATTTATTGTTGGTTTCATCCACTAGACCCTGGAATGTAAGTGACCTTTTGTTTTACTGCCATTTCCTAGTACATGAAATAGAGCCTGGTGCCCAACAGGTACTCAATCCATATTTGTGCCACTTTGGGAGACAGTCAACAAACAAATGAGCTTTCAGATGATATAGAAAACAAAACATTGTGGTTTCTTAAGGGGTCACAGTGACAACGGGGACAATCCAATTTATTAGTCAGAAGACATCTCTCTGAGAAGCTGGACAGCACATAAGCCAAGATGTCAATGCTGCAGGAAGAGGGGGACCTAGCGCAGAGGCCCTCACGAGGACCAGTGTGGCACATCTGGGGACAGAAGTCCAGTGTGGCTGGTGACAGACAGCGAGGGCCAAAGGCGGGGAAGGACTGATAAGCCAGGACAGATGAGGAACATGGACTGAAGAAATGGATCTGCCAGAAATTCCTCAAGTTGCAATCCCAGCAGAGCACAGAAACAGAGGACCAGAGCTGGAAACTATCTCTACAATTACAGATTCCGAGCTTTCTCTTTATAGATGAAAGGACAGAGATCAGAGAGGGAGAATGACACATCCACCCGCCTTGAGTCCACGGCTCAAAATATTTACCGTCGGATCCCACTACCCAAGACAACATGGCTTATCACCTTTGCCTTCCTGGTTGTGCTCAATACATCCTGGCAAATTAAATGGTTCCATGAATAATCAACCAGCCAAAAAACACAGGAAGAAACAGAAGTAAAATATATGTACCCTAGGATTCTAAAAAAATAACTCTGTAAAAGGGCACCAGAGCACATGAAATATTTCAATGTTCAAATGGCAAAGAACAGAACAGTTCCTCCTAAGTTTGGGTGGACTTGGAAACAACGGCAACAAAAAAGACATGCCTCCAGGAAAACAGCCAGGGTTCAGAAGGATGTGTGACAATAATGGTCAGCAGAAGGCTTCTACTGACCCTACCAGTAAGTAGTACAGTAAGTGCACCTTTTATTAACATTCTGCATCTTCACATCCGAGGAATGGACCGCTTTTTACTGCATGCTCACTAGCAGCCATCATGAGATGGATGGTTTATATGACAAGTTTACAGAACCTTAGGAACAGCAGTAGGGGTTGTGTGTTCTGGAGTGTGGGTAGAGCTGCCCATTCTCTAGGCCGCCCTACCCAACAAGCCCACTACAATCAAGGAAAACTCAGCTCCTGGCCAGCTGGGCCTGAGAGCTGCAAGTCTGCCTGGCTCCGTGGACCACACGGTCTGGTGCAGCTGGAGTTGCCGACAGGTTGCTGGAAAGGTATTATGTTAACCCATCGACACCAAACTTTCCAATCCCAAGGTCAGATCCCAGGTGAGAAATCCCATCACTTGTTCCCTTTGCTAGCCTCCTCTTCAGGGTAGCAAGTGGGGACCAATGTGGCCTCAGCTCTTTCTACCTGTTTCTGCCCCAGGTATCTGCATGCAGGGCTGGCTGGGGAGGCCCCGAAGGCCATGGTCAGCGGCCGACATCCAGGCTTTCATCGGCATCGCACCTGCGATGCTCAACATGTTTCCAAAATCCCACAAGCTGTGGCCACGGAGACTTCATTTATTATGCAGATGTGTCCTGGTATGTTGGGTGATAGCATCTTGTCTATAATGAGTACTTAAAACTGACAAGAAAAACAAGGATTTTGAAAATTAAAATGCTACAGGAGCTATCGCTCTGCCCTAGTGTAATTTATTAATTAGAGAGAATGAGCTTGTTAAAAGACGGGAGCGTAATTTTGAGACGAGTCCTCTGTGGATTCCAGAACCCCGTTCTTAACCTGCTTCCTCCGTGGGCCTCAAGGTGATATATGCGTGGAGCCCTAGAGGGTCTGGGGCACACTGCAGCCCACTAGGCTGGCCCCCACCATGCCCTCCATGCCTTGGTCGAGGACACACCTGTGCCCACAGCCACCCCCATTCCACCAGCACCCTCCGCTCACATCATACCTCTGCCTAATTCATGTGATACTCACAGGCTGCCACGCCCTAGCTGGTTCTTGCAAACTAATCTCAAACCTCAACTCAAACCTAAGCTCTGCAAGAGGAGAAACCCCAGCAGCTTGTTGTGTATACAGCAGGAACTCAATAAAAGCCAAAGGAAAGAAGTGGCCTCGCCACTCCCCCAAGGCATTGGAGCATAAGGCTCGGGCACAAGGACCTGGCTTAGAACCAAAGCTCTTCCACTGACTACCTGGGTGCCTTTCAGCCCCTGACCTGGGGTTTCCAAGCCCCAGTTTCCTCATCTGTAATGTGGGAAGTAATAATACTGATACCACATGGGAATCTTGCGAGGACGAATCCAAATAACACAATAAACTTCTTGTGTCGGGCACATGATAAGAGCATAGTGAACGATGGCCAACATCTGCTGATAGTTGTTATTATCCTACAGCTTCGGCCACCAAGGATGTTGTGCACCATTAGCAGATCCGACTTGGTCTGGGGTCTGGTAGCCTGGATCTGATCCTGGGGCAAGGATGAGATGGCAGGGAACTGCCTTCCAAGCTGGCGGCCTTCCTGCCCCTGCTTCTCCCGTTAGACATAAACCTGATGCCCTTGTAACTGAACCCCTGGCCTGCATGCACTGTTGGGACAGGACAGGAATGCAATGATGCTTTCGGCAGCTGCCAGCCACCACCCACCCCCCGCACTCCCCCGCCATGCACCACCCACCACCAGGCACTCCATGCTGCTTGAAACCCCTCCAGTCAGCCACATCCCAGGCCGGGCCCCACCACACACACATCTGCCATTGACAGTCATGGGCCGGCACCCCAGCTCTGCAGACCACACACCAGGCCTCTCCAACTCCCCTGAACAACAGCAGGCCCAAGCTTCTCGATGATCTGCACACCATAACATCATGACCGTGCTCGTGCATTTGCTCTCCAGGCTGCTCTCCTGCAGCCCCCCTGTCCAGGCACACCCACCCCACATGGAGGGCCCAGGGCAGGCCAGGCCCCAGAAATAGTCAGGTGAATGAACACATTATTCCAGCAGCAGCAACTACAATGGAGCCCCTATCCATACCAGGCAGCGTGCCAGAAGGTGGCCAGCCTCCACCTTGCCTGACCTTCAAGAATACCCTAGGAGGAAGGTTTAATGTTTTTTTTGTTTTGCTTTTTGTTTTTGAGACAGGGTCTCACTCTGTTCCCCAGGCTGAAGTGCAGTGGTGCAATCACAGCTCACTGCAACCTCTGCCTCCCGGGTTCAAGCAATCCTCCTGCCTCAGCCTCCTGAGCAGCTGAGACTACAGGTATACCATCACACCAGGATAACTGTTTTAGTAAAGATCGGGTCTCACTGTGTTGCCCAAGCTGGTCTCAAACTCCGGGGCTCAAGCAATCTTCCACCTTGGCTTCCCAAAGTTCTGGGATTACAGGTGTGAGCCACGGCACCAGCCAGAAAGGTATTCTTATCCTCAAATGAAGATACAGAAGAGGCTCATGCTTAAGCTCCATCCAGAGCACACAGAACCTGAAACTGCCCACTGCACGGTGTGACCCCCACGGGGTCATCAGTGACAAAGGGCGGTCTGCCCTCCACACCACTCTTTTCCTTTAACTGCCTGCGGCACACAAGCCTGTAGCCAACTCTCTTTGTCATTTATTGTCCCAAATATGAATATGTCTCAGTTCCCAATGCCAAAGAGACACACACCCTGAAAGACGGGAATCATGTTTTCCTTCTGTGATATCTTACTGTCTAGCACAGGGCTACAGCTTTAGTTGACAATTAATTTAACAAAATGTGATGGAACAAATTTCAGTCATCAATAATAAATTCTTTTTGAAGGAGAGTGATTCAAATAGCAGTTCTTTCCTCCTAAAGTCTTGGCACCATGGTCAGTATTCACAAAAATGTCTATGAGAAAAGCCATCCCTGAGCTCCAGACAGCAAGGGCCACCAAGGAAGACAAAAAGGGTTCAAGATTTCCAATTCTAAGACAGGCACCTTAAGAGCCCATGTTTGAGAGGTATTTGTTACAGCTCAGTAACTTTTCTGATGGATGGCATGGATGGATGGCAAGTCAACACGGAAGACTGGAAAGCAAAAGAAAGAAGGGGACCAGCAACACTGGGTAGGAGGAACTGGAGAAGGAAATTAAGATCTCCTCCTGAGATCTGCTCAAGGAAAAGAGAGAAGAATGTTTCCAAGGAATAGGTTCCGGTGGGAAATGAGCCTTATTGTGTTATGATAGCGAGTTCCAGAACAACTGAGAGTGGCCTCTCGCGCTTTCCCCCAGTTCTCCCTTAAAAATACTTGGGGGAAGAAAGTGCTTGACTACTCACAGTCCTGTGATGACCTGTGGCGGAAGGTAAACCGAAGGTGACTGCGGTTAACGTCCTCGATGGGAATGGCCACCTTCAAGAATTGAAAAAGAAGTTTAAGCACTGTTATCAATATCATCCAGCGTAACAGCTTTATTCAACTGGAGCTATCAGGTACAACTGTAAACATTTCTAACTGCAGTGGTGAAAATACTGTACACCTAGTCCCCTATATGATTTTTCCAAAGACAAAATGCCTCTGCAAAATTTTGTATCATATTGTAACAGCTGCCAAGCCAACTGACTCCGTGACACAGCTGAATTTTTTTTTCTGAATGCTCTGACCATTACTGTTAAGATTCTTTTTTCTTTCTTTTTTTTTTTTTGATACAGAGTTTCGCTCTTGTTGCCCAGGCTAGAGTGGTGCAATGGCTCGATCTTGGCTCACCACAACCTCCGCCTCCTGCGTTCAAGCGATTCTCCTGCCTCAGCCTCTCGAGTAGCTGGGATTACAGGCATGCGCCACCACACCCAGCTAATTTTGTGTATTTAGTAGAGAAGGTTTTTCCATGTTAGGCTGGCCTCAAACTCCTGACCTCAGATGATCTGCCCACCTCAGCCTCCCAAAGTGCTGGGATTACAAGTGTGAGCCACCACATCCGGCCAAGATTCTACTTTTAAACGTTGCTGTTTTTGGGCCGGGCATGGTGGCTCATGCCTGTAATCCCAGCAGTCTGGGAGGCCGAGGAGGGTGGATCACTTGAGGTCAGGAGTTCGAGACCAGCCTGGCCAACATGATAAAACCCCAACTCTACTAAAAATACCAAAAACATTAGCCAGGCATCATGGTACATGCCTGTAATCCCAGCTACTCAGGAAGCTGAGGCAAGAGAATCGCTTGAACCCAGGAAGTGGAGGTTGCAGTGAGCCGAGATTGCACCACTGCACTCCAGTCTGGGTGACAGAATGAGACTCCGTCTCAAAAAAAGAAAAGTTGCCGTTTTTCTTCTTAGCCCCAACCTGGAAGGGTCTATATTCCTTCCACAGCTGTGGTGACCTGCCCACAGCTGCGCCAAAAAAGCTTTCCTGTTGTCACATTACACTCAAAGAAAAAAGACCTAATACATGCTGCCTCTAAGCAAAAATTGTCCCTAATTCTCACATCAAACATCTGTATTCCAGAGCCAACCCCTGGCCTGGTTTTCAAATATTCAAGCTCTTGGCGGTGAGACGGTGTTTACTCCATCGTGGAGATGTGAGCACGCTGCATTATGAAAAGGCACCATATCAGAGCTACAGAACAGGATCCCACTCCCCAGCAATGACCTCCACAGGCTGGCAGCTCGGTTTTTTTGTTTGGTGTAAAGACAGCATGCCACACATAAAACAGTACTGGGAAGAGAAAGACAATAGCTATCTTAAAAAGACTCTGTCATTTGTCTCCATGAACGTCCTATTTTTACGTCCAAAAGGAGATGAGAGTAAATGTATTCTAAGAAACACCAGTGTGGTTCCTTAGCAACCTTGAATGACTTTGTTGGGAGACACTCTGCCTGCCTGGAGCAGCTCCCGGGCTGAGGAGGATGTTAGGATGTTTCCTTGGGTTACAAATGAGCATTTCATAATCAGCGCCATGTGATAAAATGACCATGTAAATAATACCTTAACAGTCTCAAACCAGCGTGGCTGCTTTACTTGGTAGTAAATCACAGATTTGTACTCTGAAATCGCTTCATCACCAGCACCCGGGAAAATCACATGCTTTAAAAGAAGACATAAAGAGCTCACGTAAGACCTCATAGAGCTTGACACCATATACATCTCCCACTATATATGTGGGGGGACAGGTACGCTCCAAGAACACCAACACACCCCCACCACAAATGAACACGTTCCCAGCAAGGGAAGCACAGATCCACCTGAAGCCAGCGGCCAGCTCCAACCCCTGTTCTCACACATTGAAGATCTTGATGGTTATGACACATGGGGATGACACTGACCTCCAGTTCCCCAGACCCTCAACCCTAATAACTTTAACATTAGGATCTGCAGGAAGTTGCCTGATCCGTCCCATAGGTCTAGGGTGAGGGACTGTAGACTAAAAAGTGGGAACCCTCCCCTCCCCTTCCTCCAGCCATGAACACTGTTTGCTTCACTCCAACCAGAAAGACCAGTGGCAAGGGCAGCACCTATGTTTCCAGGGAGACGAGGCAGGCAGTGATGCTGGACAGAGTTCACCCAGAGAGAAAGACATAATGCTTCTCTTGGCGACACTGAGCCTTAGGCACAACCCCATGGGCCCAGAAAAGCCCAGTCCTCCAGCACTGGTGCAAAGAGGCACCTCACAGGGACAGCAGCTCTGATTTGACCTCTGGTCATCAGAGGAGGCAATAGCTTCTAAGTACCTCCCAGGTGGACCCTGCAGGCTGCTGTGGCCACGGAAGCAGATCTTCATGATCGCCGGTAGGTAGAGCACGAGGTCAGAGCTCTGGCTGTCATGAGCAGGTGCTCAGTTCCACCCCTAGAGCTCTCTAACGCTGAGCAATTTAATTGATTTCTTAGGGCCTTCATTTTTCTTCATCTCTCAAATCGTAACAATGGTATCTGTACTTCTAGTGTGACTGCTAGACCTTTAGGCCTTGGGCTTGTGACAGCAAATGAGACTCCACGATAAGGTTGGGCAAAGGTGGTCAAGACCACAGGGACCTGCTCGGGCACTGTGGCTCACGCCTGTAATCCCAGCACCTTGGTAGGCCAAGGCGGGCGGATTATTTGAGGTCAACATGGTGAAACCCCATCTCTACTAAAAAATATAAAAATTAGCCAGGCACGGTGGCACACACCTGCAGCACTCCAGCCTGGGCAACAGAGCTAGACTCCATCTCAAAAAAAAAAAAAAAAAAGACCACAGGGACCTCCTGAGATAGGCCAGCTGCCAGGACCAGAGGACCCCAGGCCCTGCATGGCAAGCTGGAGAAAAGGAAACAAGAACCAACGCCAATCCCAAGAAACGGGACTCCAAAGCCCCACCCTGACGACATCTATGCTGTAGCAGAGCCAAGGTGAGCACTTGGCAAGTAAAACTGAAACACTACAGATGAGCCCTCGCCACAATAAATACCTCTAATCGTTTCCCATCCTCATCGTACACAGACACCGTGACCTCCACGTTCTTCGCTGTTGTTTTGCTTCCTTTATCAAAATCTCCTTGAACTAATGTTACATAGATATCATTTCGAACATCACCTGAGGGGGGAGAAATCATACATTTAAAAAACAATCCATTATTAATAGCGTAATTGTGAATTTTGCAAGACTGTCTACCTATCCTCATAGATTATTACAAATACATATTAGATGATTATGAAATATTTTCTACAAAACAGTCTCACCATTTAAATACATGACAAGAGCAATTTTCATCATGATAAAGTTTTCTAGAAAGAGGAAAAATCTCAAAGTTTCCAATGATCTGCTTGGTTATCATCTGGGCAGAGGACACTCTACCCCTCTCAGGGTAGCCGACAACCAGAGGGGCTCCAATACTATTGATGGCATCCATGACCCATGGCAGCCCACACCATTGTCCCTTGTTAGACGGCTGGCTACGGCTGTCTGAGTCCTCAGTAGCCAAGGACTATCGCAGTATCCACTGGCACTCCCAGGTAACTGGCAAGGTTGCCTCCTATGCATTCTTCTTAAAAGCATGACTCCAAGAGTTGAACTAAAAGTTGATTAAGAATGAGGACCGGCCAGGCGAGGTGGCTCACCCCTGTGATCCCATCACTTTGGGATGCCGAGGTGGGTAGATCACTTGAGGTCAGGAGTTCAAGACCAGCCTGGCCAACATGGTGAACCCTCATCTCTACTAAAAATACAAAAATTAGCTACTGGGCGTGGTGGTGCAGGCCTGTAATCCCAGCTACTCGGGAGGCAGAAGTTGCCGCAAACCGAGATCCTGCCACTGCACTCCAGCCTCAGCAACAGAGCAAAACTCCGTCTCAAAAGCGAGCTAATGGGTGCAGCACGCCAACATGGCACATGCATACATATGTAACAAACCTGCACGTTGTGCACATGTACCCTAAAACTTAAAATAATAAAATAAAATAAAAATAAAGAAAAAAAGAATGAGGATCACCAGCCTAGAATCAGGGAGGAAAAACGGGTCTAGGGAGAAACTTTCTGCATGGCTCTTCCCTTCTGGCAGGCAGCTATCAGGATCCCGAATGGGGACCACAGAGAGAAGAACAAAACAGACCTGTCTGTTTTAAAGTGAGATGGGCTTTTAATTGTAGGGGGTAAAAAAAACGCAAGAAATGAGCTCAAGACTCTTCTTCCTACTGAGAACATAGGAAGCCCCTGGTAATGGCCCAACTGGGAGAACTTCACAAGCTTCATTAGTAACATGATTTAGAGGAAGCCTCGTTCCCAGCCACTGCTCCTCTGCTGCCTGCCTGGCCACCTCCCACGCCCTGACCACCCGCTCTCCCAAGGAGCCAAAGAGCGGTTCCGTCAAGAGCAGCAAATGCCCATTCTGGCTGAAGACCAAGGATCCCTTAAGGAAAATAACTCTCTTTGCTCCTTGCTTTCTTGTTTTGGCTTTTTTTTTTCTTTTAAACTGCTCTATTTTGGCTTTTAATGTATCCAACTATTAAATTAAGCTTTCATTTAAAAGTCATTATCATCATAATCCCAGTGGGTTGCCACCACAGCCACAGTAGCTGTGTGGAAGGAGGCGCGGCTGCCGCCCACTGATACTGACCACGAGAAGAACCGTGGAGCACAGGACGAGGGGCAGGTGCAAGGCCACCCAACCAAGACTTGTTGCTCATTTGCTGTGTGACCTTGGACAAGTCACTTAGCCTCCAAGGCCAGCACCACTAAACAGCCTCACTGATAAGGAAGGCATAAACTCCATGATCTCTCAGCCTAAAAATTCTATCAAGGCACAAACACCATCATCAAAAAAGAACTTCAAGGCCGGGTGCAGTGGCTCACGCCTGTAATCCCAGCGCTTTGCGAGGCTCAGGTGGGTGAATTGCCTGAGCTCGGGAGTTTGAGACCAGCCTGGGCAACACAGTGAACCCCCGTCTCTATTAAAATAAAAAGATTAGCCAGGCATGGTAGTGCGTGCCTGTAATCTCAGCTACTCCGGAGGCTCAGGCAGGAGAACTGCTTGAAACTGGGAGGCAGACGTTGCGGTGAGCTGAGATCGTGCTACTGCACTCCAGCCCGGGTGACAGGGCGAAACTCCCACAGCCTCACTCCCAAGTACACCTCAAGTGCGTTACTCCAGGGCCAGCACAGAAGTAAGACCTCATTTACAGTAAGCAAACCCCACAAATGGGCATTCACCATAGACCCTCATCAAATGCCTCCCCAGGTTACAGAACATTCTGGGGAAGAAGGAACTAGAAGCAGACATAGTGGACTCCTGCTACCTTCCCAGCTCAAAGGAAAACTTGGCATCGCCTGCCTGGATCCTTCATAAGGATTCCAGGAGTCCAACGAGCTATGAGAAAGTAGCAGAGCAGGCCGCTGGGTGATGGGACAGGCTCTGCGCTGTCCAAAGAAGACGCGCATCCCTGCAGACAGTGACAAAACCGGGTGATACACAGGTTCTGCAGGCTAAAGACAGCGAGACAGACTGATAACCGCCCATACTCTCTCTCTCTCTGGTGCCCACAGCGCGGCCAGTGATTACTCGGCCAACAGAGAACGCAGATGACCCACCCAAGCTAGAATCACTTCCTGTGAGATATATACCCGAGGACTCAGCACATGGAACCTGCCAGAACAATGGTCAACTGTATCATTTCCCTATGAATCTATCATGAGATGATCTACAAGTTTAGACTTAGTTTTTTTTTTTTTTGAGACAGGTTCTCTCTCTGTCACTCAAGCTGGAGTGCAGTGGTTGTGATCATGGCTCACTACGGCTTTGACCTCCTGTGCTCCAGGGATCCTCCCACCTCAGCCTCCCTAGTACCTGCTACTAGCAGCTACTACCTGGCACTCACCACCACGCCGGGCCTAGACTTAGTTTTTAAGTCTATCCATCATAAGGGAAACACTATTGGCATGAACTGGAAGCTTCTGAGTTTCCCTTTGAACATGAGGACATCCTAAGGATGCCAAGATAAATGCATATTGCCAATTGCTTCATCCTAATTTATAAATCTGTATCTCAAATGCAAATACAAATAATAAGTATACAAATTAGTCCACTCCCATTAATAAACCTAAATTAATTTCCTGCATATAGACTGGACACACACAAGCAATAGCTTCAGAATTGACTAAACGTCATGCTTTTCTTTCTGTACAGGTAAGCCTAGCTATTATTTAGCCTAACCAATTTAGATGTCTTTCATATGGATTTACCAGACCGACTATTCAATGACCCACAACAGCCCTGAAAGACAAAAGGAGTAGAAAGAATGTGTCTTGAAGTTGCACTAAAGTAAGCAAAGCAGTAACTCCTACAGCATGCACCCTGAATAGCCACCACTCTCCTGGCTATACAGCACAGGCCTATAAAAGGAGGCCGCGTTGAATATGGGGGAGTTTGTCCCCGTTTCCACGGCTCATTAGCTGAGCGACTTTAGGCTACAGTTTAATCTGGATAGGAATTCACTCAACACCAATTTGTGGGCTTCCAAGAGCCTCACGTGGTTCAAGTTAGTTTTGTTTTGAGACAGGGTCTCAATCTGTCGCCCAGGCTAGAGTGCAGTGGCGTGATCTGTGCTCACAGCAACCTCTGCCTCCCAGGTTCAAGTGATTCCTCCACCTCAGCCCCCCAAAGTAACTAGAATGACAGGCATATGCCACCACGCCCAGCTAGTTTTTTTATTTTTTTGTCAAGACGGGGTTTCGCCATGTTCCCCAGGGTGGTCTCGAACCCGAGTTCAAGTGATCCCCCCGCCTCGAACTCCCAAAGTGCTAGGATTACAGGCATGAGCCACTACGCCCTGCCAAGCCACGTAAGCATTACTTGCAAACCAAAAAGTATCACACGGATATAAAGGATACAAATTAACATGCTTCCAAAGATCTCTTGATGATCAAATCAGATTATTAGGAACGTTATTTGGAAAATGAAAAGTATTATGTAAATATGAGATTAATGTTAACACGCAAATCCTGTTATCGGTCAGTTTAGAATTCATGACTTAGAATTCATGGAGGAATGCCAGTATAACGTACACTAGCTGAGCGGGCGCAGGCACAGGCATTTCCATTCAGCGACCATCCAACCCTGCCATTTGCCCTAAGTGGGCTTCACAATGGGCAGCTCCCTTTCTGACCTCTTTCTTCTTTTGACCTGATGTCTACCCAGACATTTGCTGGGTGCCCACGCCCCCCTCACACAATCCTTGCAGCTGGGGAGAGCTGATCCATCCAGGGGTACAGGGGGCCAGGGAGCATATTCTACCACTCCGGTCACAGCCCCATGATCCATAACCATGCTGGGGCTTACAGGGTCACCTACCAGGAGCTGAGCCCTTTCCTTGCCAGAGCTCATACATGATGCTGCCCACACGTCATCCTCCGTGGCCGGCTACCCCCATGCCATGCTGAGAAGCCCTGAACAAGCCAGTTCTTACCAGGCATGATTATCTCCGGAAACCCTGTTTTTCGAGCCACAGCTGTGGTCCTGTCCACTAAATGCGGAAACTCTTTTCGGATCTGATGGATATCTCCAGGAAGTAATTTCAATGTTACCCACAAACCTGGAAAAACAATGGATGCTCTTAAGTCGCATTTTATCCTATGCATTTTTAGAAGTTTTCACGAAACCAATTTCAATGAATGAGAGACTTTTAATTCACAATTCAACATCTTGAGAGAAAAGGTGGGTATATGAGAAAGAGAGGGGCAAGGCAAAAGGTGCCTGTCGTGGGGACTCCATGCATCCAACGAGCTGGGATGCCAGCCCTGCCCTAGGGTGACTCACAGACAGCTGAACGCACATCAGCAGCTGCTGTGCACCCACTGTGCTGCTGAGGAATGCCAAGGACCAATGTCTCTTTTGAGTGGGTAGACATTTAAGATAAATCAGCAGGCCACCTTTTTCTAGGAGGTGGCTGAGAAGTCTGTCATTTTCTAGTCTCCCAGGAAAGACAAAGGCAGGGGAGGATTCTGGAGGTGAATTCGTAGCTTCGAGAACCCATCAAAGTTTCAAGTAGCTAAGCAGCATCACACAACCTGGGCGAGCAGTGGAGCACCAGTCTGCAGGGCCACCAGCAGGACAGCCCTCCGCAGCCAGGACAGGTGCAGCCTGTGGAGCCCAGGCCCTCTGTACCACAGTGCCACCGCAAAAGAAAACAAAGCCCCAGCCGCTCTCGGCTCTTTTCTCCAAGAGAGAAATGAAGACTTTCAAAGCCTCTAAACCTAGATGCCAGGGGTATCCTGGGGAGAGGGCAGTAAACCCGGTGGGGTCTATGTGTAAGGGCGTGTGTGCGGGATGTGCGCGGGATCTTCCTCCCTGCAAGGCTGACAAAGAACTGTGGTTTGTATAAATACTGAGTAGCAACCAAATAGGAGGTGACAGTACAAGGAAACAAGCCACACATTCCAACAAGTCAAAGGCGGGGCAGGCAGGGGCTCGGCCTGAGCTGTCTTCTACGACGACGGCATCTTTTCCCCCCATGGGAAGGGGCTGGCACTATAAGCCAGCACATGGGGGTGCTCTGTCCCTGAGGCCTCAGGGGGGGCTGCCTGCTTGCTTCCCCCCACTCAGCTTGGTAGGGCCTCATCTGCCCCTCAGAACATCAAAGCCTCTGTCCTCATTTCTGCTACTAGCATGGGTATGCGCGCATGCCTGTGGCTGTGCGTATGTCTGTGTGAGTCACTGTGTGTCTGTGTATCTGTATCTGTGCATGTGTGTGTGTGTGTCTGTGTGTCCATGTGTGTCTGTACACGTGTGTGTCTGTGTGTGTCTCTGTGTATCTGTGTCTGTGTATCTGTATGCGTGTGGCTAAATCTGTGTCTGTCTGTGTTTCTGTATCTGTGTCTTTCTGTATCTGTATGTATGTCTGTGTCTGTATCTGTATGTATGTCTGTGTCTGTATCTGTGCTTATGTGTATATCTGTATCTGTGTGAGTGTATATATATATGTCTGTGTGCGTGTCTGTGTCTATACCCATGTGTGTGTCTGTGTGTGTCTATATGTATATCTGAGTGGAAGGGGCTGTCTGTATCTGTGTGTGTCTGTGTTTAATGGTGTCTGCATCTGTGTGTGCGTGTGTATGTGTGGTGTATCTGTGTGTGTGTGTGTGTTTGTGGTGTCTGTATCTGTGTGTGTATGTCTGTTTTTATGGTGTATCATGTGTTGGTGTGTATGTGTTTGTGGTGTATCTGTGTTTATGGTGTCTGCATCTGTGTGTGTGTGTGTGTGTGTGTGGTATCTGTATCTGCATATCTGTGTTTATTTGTGGTGTCTGTATCTGTGTGTGTGTGCGTGTGTATGTATTTGTGGTATATCTCTGTGTGTCTGTGGTGTGTGTGTGTGTGTGGTGTGTGGTGTATCTGTGTTTGTGGTGTCTGCATCTGTGTGTTTGTGGTGTATCTGTGTGTGTGTTTATGGTATCTGTGTGTGTGTATGTGTAGTGTATCTGTGTGTGTGTTTGTGGTGTCTGTATCTGTGTGTGTGCGCGTGTGTCTGTGTTTGTGGTGTTTATATCTGTGTTAGTGTGTGTGTGTGTGGTGTGTGTGTGTGTATGTGCGTATGTCTGTGTTTGTGGTATTTGTATCTGTGTGTGTGTATGTGTGCATGTGTGTGTGTGTATGTGTGTGTGTGTGCAGCTGTCCCCTCTTCAGATGCCTCCAGAGCAGAACCTGCCCTCCATCACCCTCAGCTCAGCGCCCTGCCCTGCGTGGAAGGAACTGAGACAGTCACAGGCCTGTTCTCCAGCAGCCTGCCTTCTGAGCAGCACTGGGAGGTAACCGACAGCGGTGCCGGCACCTCCGGCTGTCCCTGACGGGAGCAGCCCTGCTTGATTCAATCCCGCACCTCACGCCCTGTCCTCTGGCTGCCCATTCCTATATCCGCTATCCTGGAAATGGCATTCTCCTTTGCTCAGATTTCCATTAGCTGGAGCTGAGAAGTCAAAAGTCACTGATGATGTTTTGTTCTTTGCCAGCTGGTGAAACCCCCTTTCCTCTTGCTATCTAGTGAGTCCCTCTAATTTATTCAAAAGTAGCTACTGAGCACCTACTATGTGCCAGGCAAATACTGGGCACTGCACCTACTGGAGACATAGGGCAGACCCTCACGACCTCCCCTGACAGGTGTTTAGCTTCCATTGCCAACGGTCAAACACTAACTCCATGGTCTCTTAGAGAAATATGCAACTGCGAAGTTCTCACGGGAGAAGTCCTGAGCACACTGCAAGGCATCCTGGGACCACAGTCTCAAGGGTCACAGAGGAAGGGACTTCGGGGCTGAGACCTGCAGGAAGTGAGGGAACTGCAGGCCTGTCCTCACCCAGGGGAGGTGGAGCCCCCAGACGCTGTGGTAAGACAGTGCGGAGGCTGGGGTGGCAGGGACTGTGGTCTATCTGAAGGATGGGGGGCACCCAGAGTGGGGCTCAGGAACAAGAGTCAGGCTCTGACCTGACACCCTGTGGCTACAGGGAATGGGTAGGCAGGAGAACAGAGCACAGTGGGGATGGAATCGCAGCAGGGAGGCCACCGCATGATCCTAGCTGGCTGGCAGGACGTGAATGCCACTATGGAGGGTGGGAGAGGGACCAGCGTGAAGGTCAAGTCAGCAGAACCACGGGGAGTTGGGGTAGGAGGAGGCGCAGCTTACAGAGACGGTGCCCCTTGCAGGCACAACCACTAGCAAGTCCCGGGGGCACCGTTCCTTGAAATAGGAAGACCCGCTCGCTCCAGGCAGAGCTGCCTGAAGGGCAAGCACCCAGAGTGGGGAAGGAAAGAAGAGCCCCGAAGAGGCAGGAGAAAGGCCCACTTTGAGAGCTCACAAGGGGACAGAGACCTCAGAGATAACAGGGGAAATGGAAAACTGGGACAGATGGTGCCCATGCAGCCACAGGGCTCCTGGTGGGAGACGGGGGCAGAGGGGGCGGGGGCGCTCAGGGAGAGGGCCGATGCTGGGAGGCAGAAGGGTGAAGATGAATGGGAGACGAAGACCAGAGGGAGAGGCCACATAGACAGAGACAGATGTATTACTCAGGGTAGGACTGCTTCTTGGTGTTTCTTTTCTTTCCTTTTTTTTTTTAAATATTTTTTTTCTTTTTCCTTTCTTTTTAAGATATGAAATTCCAGATCATGGGAGGGAGAGTTTGAAGAAGGAAGAACCACCAATAGAAAGCGGTCCCCAAAGAGGTATCGGGGATGGCACCCAGACAGGAGCACATGTACCACTGCCCAGAATGTGCATTTCACTAGACAAGTGACCACAAAAGGCAAGTGGGAGCTAAACCCTGCCTCTACTCGCTCACAGAGCCACAGGTCCTGGCGCTGGCTGCATCTCCCTACTCACCTGGTTGATGAGGCCCCTTTTTCTAATTCACACAAAAGCACCCTGAGCTAACAGCAGCTCCAGACCTGCAGAATAGGTAAGCAGACAGATGGGCAAAGGGCCAGGCACTTCCTCACCCTAACCCCCAGCCCTGGCCTCCGGGAGAGCAAACCAAAGCCCAGACCCTGACAGAAGAGCCTGAGGAACTGGCACCGTGGCTCACAGGGAGCTGGTCTTCCCTGGGACACCAGGATGCAGCTAAGAGTTTCTCAAATCTCAGGAGTTTGAGTCCAAAAGCCTCCCTGGAGAATGAATGTCCACAAAATATATCTTACAGAAAGATGCTCTTTGAAGGATTGCAGGATGTGGTGAGGTCATTATCTACAGAGGTCAAAGGTTGAGACATGAGGATGGAACACTTAACACTTAATATTAGAAATCCTGTGTTTCAAACACCTTTCTCAGAAACGCCGGCCTGCGCAAATATCTTAATACATAAACTAATGCACTAGTGACACATTAAATTTATTACCACACGCTTTAAAAATGGAAATTAAATGTTCCTGATTATGCTGTGTTTTAAATGCTTTTCTCACAGGAGAAAAAAGTGCATTTGGGGTTGACATTTGCTTAAGCAGAATAACTAAAAACAAAGAGGATTAGCATACATTCTATCTCAAACAACAGAACCAGATGTCTGGAGTCTTCATGAATTCACTGTCCACATAAAATGTCCCACACCTCTGGGTTCAGGGATCAGAATAATTTGGATTAAATATTCAGGATTTTTGTCTCTTGTGAAGAGGAAACATGTTGGCATAAACCAAAAACTGGCCAAGGCCAAGTGGTGAGCTCAAGAGACAGGAGGCGCATGTGGACAGAGGTGTGAAAAAACCCAGTGGTTCTCTCTGAAGATGAGTATCTCCTCCATGTCCCTTCCACTCCTGGGGCCGCTAACAGTCACTTGACAGACAAGCAAGGATCAGGTTAAGCCTGGGCTGCTGGTGATAAAATGAGCGCCGGTGGGCAGCGCCCTGCAGTCCCGGCGGCCGATCTGTGTGGCTGCCCTCACTGGCCACATCACTCACCTCTGACCTGAATTCCACCCACCATTGTGCCCTGGAGAAAATTCAGGTTCAAGGAAAACAAGCACTAGTCATGTTGCCTAAGGCCATTCTGATTCAGGAAGTCACCTGTGATCCCCTTGACAAAACTATCACTGTTCTTCTCCCTCAGTTTTCACTGTGACTTGAAAATGCCCACTCCTCCCAGAAGTTCAAGGAACTGGACCCCCGGACATGAGCCCAAGGTTCGCCGGCTTCAAAGATCCTGGCCACACACCAGTGAGCCTGGCAGAGGCAGGCTTCTGGTCCTCTTTCCCAGTGATTTCCTGCTGGCCTGACACCAAACTCCACTTTCCCTGAATGACTCTAATAAAAGTTTATCAAAACTCCGATGACTGCAAAAGAAACTGGAGATCCGAGGGCAGTCCCAGCTCGAAGCACTGAAGGATCGGCTGGCAACCTTTGCACTGGCACTCCCAGCCTGAGAGTGACTCCAATCTAAACAGCCCTAATTGGACCTCCCCGTGGTTTTCAATTAAAGTGTAAATTGGGAGGGCTGTTAATTTAGGAGAAGATGGGTCCTGGGTCAGCTGAAAATCGCTCTGTCTGCAGAGGCCACATCTCATTAACGTTCTGGGTTGGGGTTTTTGTCCTGCTACTGTTTGCCAGAAAGGGGGGTAGTTCACACCAGAAGAAAGCTGGAGGTCCCTGCAGATCCCTAGGAAGGCTCATTCTCTAAAACATTCTTCAGGCTCAATTCACATTCTCCTTTAGAACAGTGGAAATGAATCAAGATAATTGTTTTTTAAAAGTCTAGTGACATAAGGTAGCTGGACGATGAAGCAGGTCTGTTCACCTAAGCTCTACCGCGTTTACGGGCAGTCTGCATGGATCAGGGAGTGAGACGGTCAAGTTCTGAAGGTGACTTCCCCTTGGGCTGGAGGCGGGGCCTCAGTCACAGTTGTTTCCTGGCAGCCCTCCTGGCCAGCCAAGTGCCAACTGTCACCAGCCCGAGGTGACTGATTCATTCCTTCTGCCAGCAGCAGGTCAGCTGCTCAGAAACGTGTCAGTGCAGGATTAAAAACAGTGAGTGTGAGGCGGAGTGTAGGGGCGGAGAAATCACTTAAATGACAGAACTCAGGGGAGCAAGTCTGCACAAATGAAATCACCTTCTTAGGGAGACCAGCAGGGAAGACCCAGAACAGGCAAAGATTAGCACACAACACGGGCAGAGGGAGTTACGCCTACCGCCTGCATGTTCCTCTAAACTTCTAATCTGACCCCACTCTCCATCCAGGAGTGGGCTCTCAGCAATGTTCACAAAGGTGACGGGCAAGAAAACCATCATGCACTGTACACAGGGGCAACTGTCACACACATTCTCCACCACGATCACTGTCATCCCCATCATTATCACCACCATCATGATCAACATCAAACTAAAACCAACCCAGACAGCACTGCCCCAACGCATGCAAATACACGCTGATAGAAACAAAATAGGAAAATACGTACCCTGCCCCTTGTGGTTGACTTCTTTGGCAGCGATGACTTTGTTTATAACAGTCTGAAGGAAGTCATTCTCCCCTGCCACCCTGGGTGAAAAACGGGATGACATGTTCAGCGGCTTGTGTCGAATGGCGTCGTCCAACGCGAGCCTGGAGGGCACGGGACGACCAAGACCACAGGAGACAAAGGGGCACAGAGACCCATGGGCCACGGTAACAAGGGAACATAAGAGATCATCGTCACCGAGTGCGAGAGGGAGGCATCATGAGTCAACGCACGACAAAGGATGGGAGAGGTGACAAGAGAAACAGGGAAAAGCATTGATCAGGAAAATGCTGAACCACGAGAGGGAACAGAGCAAATGAGGGCAACCCTCTCCCCAGGAATAAACGTGCACCAGGCCTCCACTGCATCTCCATCAGACTCTTGTGTTTAAAAAAAGGAGCTTGTCTGAAAGCCACATGGTTGAAAGGCATTTAATCCCAAAGAATGTTTATGGCCATTCCTCCAATTTCAATTAATTCTGAACATAGCATAGGTCAAGGGGCAGGTTGATCTAAAGGGAAAAGCAAAATCAAGATTTAAAAAAAAAAAAATCCCTGGAACCTAACTGCTTGCAAAGGCTTTCTACTCTACCCTCCTGGACTACGTACACAATAGTCCCTCAAGTGACTACATGTGAGAAGAATGGTACCGTGTGTGGAGAACACCACTGCCTAGTCCCACGTGTGGCGCTGTTATGAACACAGACCACCCACGTTTTCAGGGCCCATGAACCAGGAGCCTGTGACAGATGCTGCGCTGTACGAGAGACTGGCTACAAACGGGGGGCATATGCCCAAATAGAAATACCATGTAGCACAGCGAAGTGCACTATGAAATGAGCAAGAAAATAGACAGCATGGCCATAATGTTTAAAATCAATCCTGGGAACAAGGACAGTGCTATCCATCACTTGAGCCACATGACTCGAGGGAACTGAAGACTGTTGTCATTTACGTCACCAAGTTAAAAAAGACAGGGAGGGAGGGAGATGTGCAATGTGCTTCCTTCTCTAAAACCAACCCTGTGAGATAATAAATCAGTTTTAATGGAGCAAAAAATGGTTTCATTAGCACGACATTTCCCAAAGAACTGGTTTCACTGCTTATTTTGCTATTAAAAATCATGCTGTTCTTTTGTTTCCAACACTTCAAATATTCATCTGTCTATTAGTCTTCCTTTAATGGAGCATGGAGTCACAAATTACATAAGAGTTACACATGGAATAACATATTTTTCAAGTGGACATTCCACTACAAGATAGAAAAAGATGGCGTCAAAGCACAGGCAATCTCAAACAACTCATAACATGTTCTGTGAAAATCAGTGAATCTAAAACTAATAACCTCCCTAACCTTTCAAACAATCCCTCAGGTTGGGTTTGTTTTTGTTTTTGTTTTTGTTTTTGACTTTTCACAGAGGACACTAGCAGGCAACAGGTAATTTCAACTTAGTGTTACATCTGGGCATCAAGAACCTCTGAGGTCTAATATATAATACAGCATTCAAAACAGCAGGGGGCTGCATTATTTCTCATGAGAGAATGAGGCAATTTAATATTATAATTTTACAAAGGTGTATTTTATTTATGACCTCAATATCTGCCCATGTTCCATGATACTGTTCCCCTTGTTTGCTAAGGAAACTTCCAGATTCTGCAGCACTGTGTTCCCTTTATAAACTCTCCTCACTGGATGGGACTACAAAACAACATAATCCAGCAGAGCTTTCTGCAGTGCTGGAGATGTGCTATGTATGTGCTGCCCAGGACGGGGCCACTGACCTCCCCTGCTGCTGAACACTTGAAACAGGACCAATGTGACTGAAGAACTAAATGTTTAATGCTACTTCATTCTAATTACTATTATCATTGAGACAGAATCTCCCTCTGTCGCCCAGGCTGGAGTGCAGTGGCGTGATCTTGGCTCATTGCAACCTCTGCCTCCCGGGTTCAAGCGATTCTCCTGCCTCAGCCTCCCAAGTAGCTGGGATTACAGGCACCTGCCGCCACACCCGGCTAATTTTTGTATTTTTAGTAGTTATGGGGTTTCACCATGTTGGCCAGGCTGGTCTCGAACTCCTGACCTCAGGTGATCCTCCTGCCTCGGCCTCCCAAAGTGCTGGGATTACAGGCATGAGCCACTGCGCCCAGCTCATTTTAAGTATTTTAAATAGCCACATGGAGCTAATGGTTACCATATTGGACAGGAGAGTAAACCTAAAGCATTTAAGCCACAAAGAGACCTTTGCCTCTAGTTGTGCATGCTGAGATACATATAACTTAACCCTGACTCCCAGCTCAATAACGCAGGGTTTGCTGTTATTCTTACGTCAAGAAGATAGCAAAATCTCCTACTGAGCTGTACAAAAAGCTTTAGGGTGCTATGTGACCACATCGCCCGCCTGCAAAGAAAGCCATACTCTTCCTGTCTTAGCCAGTGGCACTCAAGACCCAGAGGAGTCGGGTGGGGTTGAGCGCGGTGGTCCATCACCAAGGATGCGTGGGGCAGAGGGAAGTCAACCTCACATCTCCGGGCCCCCAAGGACAGGGCTCCTTCAGCCACCCAATTACTACCCGCCTCCTAAACCCTTCAGCCAACAGCTGAAAACCGTAAAATTTCTAAAATCTGAAATGTGTTTCAAGTCTGAAGTCGATTAAGAATAAAAATGAGGGAAAAGTGAAACTGCAGAGCACTATGGCAGGTGGCTTCCACTGCCCTTACCATGCCTTCTCCCCTAACATCGCCACCCAACCCCACGCCCAGGAGGAAGCTGTCTCTTACAATTAACCTCAACCATCTGGATTCCTTTTTCTCTCCTCCTCTGTGAGGAGTAGGAGTGCTTAAGTGGCCAACGACCATCATCTGGGTACACTCTTGCTTCCACACGAGGGAAATAAACGCCAGTTCTTCCCACCAGTTCCCTGGGTTCTACCCACAAATCAGATAATCAATTTAATGAATCTCCTCCAAGAGCTTTTTCTCAGCTTCCGTGCCTCTTTAAAGACTTCAGGTCAGAACTAGAGAAAGCCTAAAAACGAACACAGATAGGCTCCACTCTAAGCAAAAACCGAGACACAAAAATCAGCAGTGTGATTATATGCTTTAAAGCATTATTTCTCGCTTTAAAATAATTCATCATAATTGTTTGTTTTTTTATTTTAAAAACAGCAACCTCCTATGATGAATTTGGAAGTATTGTGCTTTGAAAATACAAATAGCTACTAGAATAAATCAATTATGTAAAGAAACATTCAGGCTCAGAGCAGAGCTGTAACTCTGTGCCTTCTATATAAGGCAATTCAGTGATTACAAGTAAAATCTCCTACTTCCAGGACCATAAACAAACTTTGACCCAGGATTCTTATGGCTACAAAAAATTCCATGTACTACAGCAGTGACTAAAGAGGTTTTTCATAATTACAAAATAATCAATCCTTAGTTATGTTTATCCATTTAATTATAAAGATAATTATTACAAGCCTATGTTTTCCACATTATATCTGGCTAAGTACTTGAATTGCTCCATACTTACGGCTGAAAGGGAATGAAATGCTGCTTATCTTCATCATCTACTTTTCCATTTATTATATCTGTTACATCCATCACTGGAGACAAAAAGAGAACAGAGATTGTTTTGGCTTAAATGCTATAATCACAGAACACAAACAAACAAAGGAACATCAGAATATCTTCTGGCAAACAACAGCAAAAGCTGTTTTCTCATAGTCAAGTCTAAATTATTTCCATGCTTGAAAGACAAATTAAGTTATCAGAAAATGCTGGCCCAAATGGAATTGGGGCTCAAATGGCAGAGTTCCATTTAATAATTTCCTTTGCCTATTACCCAACTGTCACCCTAGAGCTGCCCTGTCCAATAGAACTTTCTGTAATGATGGAAAATGTTCCATTAACAACAAGCAACGAAAATGTGAAAGCATAGGCCAGGCGCAGTGGCTCACACCTGTAATCCCAGCACTTTGGGAGACCAAGGCAGGCACAGTGCTTGAGCCCAGGAGTTCGAGACTAGCCTGGGTAACATGACAAAACCCCATCTCTACAAGAAATACAAAAATTATCCAGGCGTGGTGGTGTGCACCTGTAGTCCCAGCTACTCAGGAAGCTGAGATGGGAGACTTGCTTGGGCCCAGGAGGTGGAGGTTGCAGTGAACAGAATTCACACCACTGCCCTCCAGCCTGAGTGACAGAGTGAGACCCTGCCACAAAACAAAAGAAAAAAAGAAAATGTAGAAAGCGTGATGGAGGAACTGAAAATTTACTTTTATTTCATTCATTTAATTTAAATTTAACTAGTCACATGTGACAAGTGGTTACCACGCTGGCCAGCACTGTTCTGAAGCCTCACACTTTTGCTTTCCCGCAAACAATTAAGCCAACAAGTAGCTACCATTTACCAAGCACCCACCACATGCTGGTATCTGTGGACGCTCTTTCAAGAGGACACTTCAAGGCAAATCCTCAGTAACCTACCATACTGACAAGAAACTGAGGCTCAAAGACAGGCATGAACAAGCATGCTCAAAGTCTACAGCGAGAAAGTCTCCAAGACCCAAGCTCTTTCAATCCTATTAAACTGCCTTCACAAACACACCCCCCGGGAGATCCAGGCTTGCTAACATCACAAGAAAGGCTAATATCCTTTGCCATCTTCTTGTGTTAAAAGACATTCCCTGATGACATTCAGGGGTAAACCCAGACACACTGTCTACCTTTCAAACAATTCCTTTTGCCCTTGGTCATGACAGAACAAGAAAGTCCAAGAATAACCCCAGATGGCCCGGGTCACTTTCCCTGTGTCTGCTACTGCTCCACCGCCACACTGGACTTGAGAGGAAGATGCCTTGTTTATTTTCTTCGCACAAGACCTTTCCCCAGAAGGGTCTCTCTGTAGCCCAGCTCTGCGTTCAGGTAAGAGGATCAGTCTAAATATATTTTGTCCAACATGTAAGTAATCATATATTGAAAATTTTCCTTTCTACCATCACCATCACCACCCTCCAAAAAGGAGGAGGGATACATAGAACCAAAAAAGCAGCATCCTCATCCCCTGTTTGGTCTGGTGGGGCCCCAGGGGCCTCAGCAGTGTCGTAAGAGACGACACCCACACTCACTCCACTCAACCAAGGGGCCTCAAAGAGCCAGGAGCCCACGGCTGTGTTTGCAGATACAGGTCAAAGAATCCCAAATAACTTGCAACATCAAATGACAGCTGCTCAGAGGATGCATGGTCTGGACACGGGCCCTCACCTGGCCTGGGGGAAGCGTTTCCCAGCTTCCAGCACTCTTGGGGGTGACTGACCCACACGCGACTGACTGCAGCACCCACCTTTTTACCTTTTTCCAAGATGCCCGAGACCACCAGTTCAGCATCCTTCAATAAACTCATTTAGGCAGCAGCCCACGATGAGCCAGAACCAAGGGAGTCTGACCCGAGCAGGCCCACCCTCACATGCCAGCTGGTCCTGGGTGGCCTTGCTGGGTGCCTGCAGAGCTCTGCTCTGCCATGGGACTCATCTCACCAGCTGACCATGGGACTCCCTTGCCACATCCCCAGTGCCCAGCCCTGGAACACAGGACCATGTGCAGGAAGGCAGCAAACAAGCGGGAAACGCAATCAGAGCCTGAGCACCCACAGGTGGAAAACACCCCGAGTCCCGCACCCATCCTGAGCCTCGAGGAGAAGGCCTTGACGTCACCAGTCATCACCGCTCATCGCGCTTCCCAGGGACTCCCCTGACTGCTCTTCCGCACACAGCCCCACGCAGAGGGAGTGCTCCCTGCAGTTTGGACAAGATGTCCCTGACACCAAAGGAGGAAATAAAGGACTTGGGGGAAAAATTCCCCCAGCCAGCCAGCCCAGGGTCTCTACATTCAGGGAAGAGGATGGTGAAAAGACAGAGTCCAGCTGAAGTCAGTACAGCTGTGTGAGGGAGAGGCCGGGTAGACAGACGGCACCGCGTGATGCTGGAAGACAGAGGGCAGGAGAAGGAAGGAGGCAGTGGCGTTGGGACAAGAGTGACAGAGGCCCAGGGCCAGCACAGGCAGGAGAGCAGAAGGCAGGAGGTGAGAAACGTCTCGCAGGGAGAGGGGCTGATGGCTCAGTCCCACTGGTGGGGCTGCATCAGGATGACTTGCTCACGGCAGATGGACCCCCACACCCTGCGAGTCAGCAACTCCGCTGCAGGGGCTGGCCTGCAAACAGGCACAGGTGGGATGCTTCAAGCCCCAGGATGCTCACTGCGTAGCTACTACACCGCAAGGCTGAGATAACCTCAGAGCCCAAAGCAAAGGACTGCTGGAATCACAGGACTACAGGCTGCAGCCATTGAGAAGCCGAATTTTTGAATAATGCTTAATAAAAGGACATGTTCATAAGATAATGCTAGGTTTGTTAGAAAGATAAAAGTATGTGCAATGCAAACATACTTACTACTGAACTGCACGCCTAAAAATGGTTAAGATGGCAAAAAAGGGACTAAAAAGACATTAAAAAATCAATCAGTTAAATAAACAAATACATGGTAGGACGGGATATTGTATTTAAAAATCATATGCCACACACAGAAAAAATAATTTGGAAACAAACATATCAGAATAAACATGAGGTACTACCCTGGCTATGTAAAACTATGGATAATTTATTTAACTACACTTTTCCATAAAATTTCCATTATTTTTACAATTTTCTATCTTTTAGAAAAAGATAGAAAAGGTTACATTATAAAAAGGTTAAAAGACAGAAATGTGACACATTCTTTTCAACCGAAGACTAAGAACTGTAGACTTAAAGGTCCATGGACACTTTCTCATTTTAAGGAACTGAACTCTGTTAACACAGACACGCAGAAGTCATTCTAAAGAAAGCCTCAAAATTAAATTTGCATGTGGAAATTGAAGTAGCCTATGAACAGATAGAATACGATTACCAAAATGTTGATCAACCTTCTCAGATGTGGGAAGCATCCCTTCTATCCCTTTTTTTTTTCTTTTTGAGTGTCTCACTCTGTTGCCTAGGCTGAAGTGCAGTGGTACAATCACGGTTCACAGCAACCTCAACCTCCCAAGCTCAGGCAATCCCTCCTGCCTTGGCCACCCCAAGCATGCGCCACCACGACCGGCTAATTTTTGTTTTTTAGTTTTTTTGGGTAGGGATGGGGTTTCACCATATTGCCCAGGCTGGTCTCGAACTGCTGGACTCAAGCAATCCACCCACTTTGGCCTCCCAAAGTGCTGGGATTACAGGTGTGAGCCACTGCACCCGACCAAGTATCCTTTCTTAGTAACAAAGAGAACATCTGGTTGGACAACACACTGAATAAGTTAGAAGCAAGTCCTATTAAAAAAAATTCCCCAGATGTGCTGAATGCCACCATGTGATAAGCGGGGCAGAGCAGGGAGGGCAAGGTAGTCTGGTGGCAGCAAACTGCCAGTCACTGAGTGGCCCATAGTGACAAACAAGCGATTTTGGTTAAAGTAGAGATTCTGGTTTACCTGGACAGGAGTGGGGCTTGTGCAAGACTTTTTTCTTTTTTTTGGGGCGGGGGGGTGGCGGGGCAGGGGGCCGTTGGGGGGGACAGGATGACTCTGTAGCCCAGGCTGGAGTACAATGGCACGATCATGGCTCATTTGCAGTCTCAACCTCCCTAGGCTCAGGTGATCCCCCCACCTCAGCCTCTTGAGTAGCTGGGACCACAGGTGCAAGCCACCAAGCGCCCAGCTAACTTTTGTATTTTTTAGTAGAGACGAGGTTTTGCCATGTTGTCAGGCTGGTCTTGAATGCCTGGGCTCAAGCGATCTGCCTTCCTCAGCCTCCCAAAGTGCTAGGATTACAGGCATGAACCACAGCACCTGACCAAGAATTTTTATTGATAGCTCGCAAGATTTTTCTCATATTCAGTTAGGATTGAGAACCACTGCATTAAGATATTTACTTTTTGTGCCAAAAATTTACATAGCCAGATCACATAATGAAATGTCTCAGAGAAGAGTTTCTAGTAGGAAACTGGAAACTCCACAAGCAGAACGATCAGGTCCTTACTTTTGTTTTGTTTTGTTTTGTTTTCTTTTCTTTTTTTTTTTGAGATGGAGTCTCGCCCCATCACTCTGGCGTGATCTTGGCTCACTGCAACCTCCACCTCCCCAGTTCAAGCAATTCTCCTGCCTCAGACTCCTGAGTAGCTGGGATTACAGGCACACAGCACCACGCCCAACTAATTTTTTGTATCTTTAGTAGAGACAGGGTTTCACCACACTGGCCACGCTGGTCTCGAACTCCTGACCTCATTATCTGCCTGCCTCGGCCTCCTAAAGTTCTGGGATTAGAGGTGTGAGCCACTGTACCTGGCCTTTTTTTTGGGGGGGAGGGGAGACAGAGTCTCTCCCTGTTCCCCAAGCTGGAGCGCAGTGACACAATCTTAGCTCACTGCAACCTCCGCCTCCCAGGTTCAAGCAACTCTTCTCCCTCAGCCTCCTAAATAGCTGGGACTACAGGCATGCACCACCATGCCTGGCTAATTTTTTTATTTTTCGTAGATAGGAGGTTTTACCATGTTGGCCAGGCTGGTCTCGAACACCCAAACTCATGTGATCTGCCCACCTCAACTTCCCACAGTGCTGGGATTACAGGCAGCGCCCAGCCAGTTTCTTACTTATAATGTACAGACACACACCAGCTGAGCAGGGCTAGGAAGGCTGGCCCCTCTGGAGTGAGCACAGAGGCCACAAAGGCTCAGTGCTCAGTGCTTGGCACCAAGGGATGAACAGGACATCCCCACCCAGGGCATGTAGTGGAGCCAGGCAAACCAGCAACTGCTAGGCAACTGTGACACCAGAAGGGACAGAGAACTCAAAGGACCCGGCAACCCAACATTAACAGCTGCAGGCCTGAAATCTTCCCACAGAGGAAAACAAATGCCTATGGGTATCTCTGAAGCACTTCACACAGGTTCACACAGGTTCACGCAGGTTCATGCAGGTTCACACAGGTTCACACAGGTTCATAAAGGTTACACAGGTTCACGCAGGTTCACACAGGTTCACGCAGGTTCATACAGGTTCAAAAAGGTTCACGTGGGTTCACACAGGTTCATAAAGGTTCACACAGGTTCACGCAGGTTCATGCAGGTTCACACATGTTCTTAGAGGTTCACACAGGTTCACGCAGTTTCACACAGGTTCATGCAGGTTCAGAGGTTCATAAAGGTTCACGTGGGTTCACACAGGTTCACACAGGTTCATAAAGGTTCACGCAGGTTCACACAGGTTTATAGAGGTTCACACAGGTTCATGCAGGTTCACACAGGTTCTTTGCAACCCCTAAGTGAGGGGGGACACCCCATGTGCCAGTCAGAGCAGAGCAGTGAGGAGAAGCCACACTCTGGAAAATTCACGAGCAAGACGACAAGGCTAGAACTTGGCCCCAGGTGGGTTTTCAGAAGCCCCGATATCAGTGGGTACCAGAGACACAAGACAGGAAGGGAAGGAACCAGAGACCAGTCCAGACAGGAGGAACCAGGGACCAAAGGGGGTGTCCATGTGATCAGCAGATATCAGGGGACAGAAGTCCCTGGAGGCCACACAGCCAGGCATCCAAACTCCAGGGACCAGATGTAGTGTCTCAGCCAACACTACACAGGTAGGGGCTCCAGAAACAAGGAACTATGTCCAGGCTGCCCGCCCTGCCCCAGTGAATAACCCAGGCTTCTGTAATTCATGGAGAACTCCAGGAGCTGGGGGGCCCAACCTAACTCTAGACCCCACCAAGCAAGCATAAGTGAGCATGTAAGAAACAGTGGAAGGCCACAGTGGTGTCAGCTGAGCCCATGCCCATCACCCTCTCCATCCATTAGTACCTAGACTTTCCTGGAATATCAACCCAATGAAAACTGAAAAATATTCCAAATTTTTAAATTCCAAAAATTTTAATCAAAAGAAGGTAAAAACTGTCAGCCTGTGGTCTACATTTCATCTTTAAGAAATATAACTACGCATTCGTAGGAACTTATGACACAATCCATCTTGTAATCTAATAACCAGAGAATGTGTAGCTCTGCTGTTGAAAAGAGGAGCGACTTCCGTGTGTTGTCAAAGATGTCTCTGATTGCTCAAATGAAGCCAATTATGCCTGAGACAAAAATTAAATATTTTCTTAAAACTACCATCAAGGTGGAAAAGAAAAAAAACAATCCTGGAAAATGAAAGGCATTTTAAATATAACACTAGATTACATGTAAAAGATGCTACAGGCTCTGACAAATAGAGGGGCAATTTTCAAGTATGTATTCAAGTCATGACATGAAAATGTTAGCACGGCATGTGCCTGTGGTCCCAGTTACTCAGGAGGCTGAGGCAGGAGGATCACTTGAGCCCAGGAGGTCGGGGCAGCAGTGAGCTGTCATCACACAGCCTGGGTGACAGAGTTAGACTCTGTCTCATAAAAACAAAAAGACAGAAAGATGAAAATGCAAAAGGATTTCCCCAGCCCAAGGCTGTGGGGACTTCAGAAAGAACACCTCACCCTCACCATTTTCACTCACAAATGGTAAAATCATTGGAACACTCCGTTAGTTAGCTCTATGGGTAAATTGAATTCAAGTAAATTGAATTAATATGCTGCTCTCATAATGTCTATATCGCTGCTATTGCTTACTCCTTATGATGTAGTAAGTCATTTATTTAAATGATTTGAAATATTTTTCCAAAAATTCCAGGCGGAGCACAGAGGACTTTTAGGATGGTGAAGCTACCCAGTGAGAGACTACAATGGTGAATATACGGTATTATTCATTTGTCGAAACCCACAGAAGGCACAACATCAAGAATGAACGCTAATGTAAACTACAGACTTCACAGGGCGACGATGTGTCAATGCGGTTCACCAACTGTAATCAATGTACCAATCTATGGTGGATACTGATAATGGGGAGGCAGGGGGAAGGAAGGAGAAATATATAGGAACTGTCTGTATTTTCTGTTCAATTTTGCTTGAACCTAAAACTCTTCTAAAAATAATGTTTATTTAAAAGGCAGGGGGGATGGACTAAGTTCAGAGTTTCCTGGTAGCCAAGGGAAAGAATGTCTTCCATAGCTGTTCATACAAAAAAATCCAGCTATGTGTCAAGAATCAGGAACTTTTCCCTCATAAATATCCATATGAATCCCAAAAATCACAAAAATTAAAATAAATATCACAGTGCTAGGTAATGAAATTGTACTGCAACCATAAAAGAGAGAAAACCACTTCCCAAAACTATGAAAAATGAGAGTCACAGTGAACTAGGGCAAATAATCAGAACTTCCTGGGTATGCCTTTATCTTTCCTCAACAGAGATAATTGGTCTTTCACATTCCTCGTGCTGTCACCAAAAATAACAGAGCAACAGCAGGGTGGAGGAAGAGCACCAGCACGGTGGAGGAAGAGCACCAACATGGCAGATAAAGAGCACCAACATGGCGGAGGAAGAGCACCAACATGGCGGAGAAAGAGCACCAACATGGCAGAGGAAAAGCACCAACATGGCGGAGGAAGAACACCAACATGGCGGAGGAAGAACACCAACATGGCGGAGAAACAGCACCAACATGGCGGATGAAGAGCACCAACATGAAGCTAACCGCGTTCTCTTCACAGTTTGCCTTTCTTCCTCTTCTTCGTTGCTTTGACCGTCCTGCACATATCCATTCTTATGTCCATCACCAAGACCTGAAAACCTCCACTGACTGGCTTCCCTACAGACTGAGAATATGGGTCAGGATCACTCCCAGGGAAAGATGGGATCCACTTTAAAACCAAATATATGATTTATATCTGAAACTTGAGGACTAGAGCATCCTGAGCCTAGCAGGTCAACTTGAAGCCACAATGAAAATAACTAATAAATATATTTTTTCTCTCCAGCAGAAAAGCTTATAAATCACAGCTGTGCATTGTCCAATCAACATTCAACAGTGATTCTTTTGAAAGTGACTGTGAAGATCTGAAACTCTCAAGGAAACACAGAGAAATAGATTACCAGCCACTCCAAAAGGTCGCCGCAACCCCGAGGTCAGTTTCCTGGTGTTGTTGTCCCTCAGCTCCATGCGACCCACGCGAACAATCTGACAGACAAAACTGATTTTCTCCCTTTTCAGGTCTTTGCTTCCGAGGTCCTAGAAATATTAGTTTCCATAAATTATTTTGGAGACCCATTATTCAATGCAAGCTCCAATGAAAAGGACAGTAAAAAAATGGATTGAGACTCTTCTCAGACCAGTTTTTATCATTTTAATCAGTTATTCATATGACAAAAAGGAATTTAATAACAATAGTCAATTACTGTTAAGTGAGCTTAAGATACACATTTAAGGGCTAGGGGCAGTGCCTCACACCTGTAATCCCAGCACTTTGGAAGGCCGAGGAGGGTGGATCACGAGGTCAGGAGTTTGAGAGCAGCCTGGCCAACATGGGGAAACCCCATCTCTACTAAAAATACAAAAAATTAGCAAGGTGTGGTGGTGCATGCCTGTAATCCCAGCTACTCGGGAGCTGAGGCAGGAGAACTGCTTGAACCCAGGAGGCGTAGGTTGCAGTGAGCCGAGATCACGCCATTGCATTCCAGCCTGGGTGACAGAGCAAGACTCCGTCTCAAGGAAAAAAATAAAAACGATACACATTTAAGAGGCACATTCCATGTTAATGGGGTAAATCTTTGTCACGGTGATTCTAAGGGTGGCTAGAGACTCAGATGATTTCTGGAAATGCGCTCTACTTAGTAATACTAAATTAACCTGTATACAGGCATCCCAGGGACCCATGTTCTAGTGTCGCAGGAAGGCAGACAGAAATGGCTAAAAGTAGTCCTTAGAATGGTAGCCAATTCAACTAAGCATCTTTGGGTGCACTTACAGTAAACACGGCTCGCAAATTATGTAATCTGTCTATGTCTTTAGGTAATCCTGAACTGGACCAGCGAACCAGGTAGTTCTCACTTGAAAAATGGAGAAATAAAAGCAAGTTAATTTTCCAAATAACAGGGTACCAAATGTACATCCACATTGCTTCATAATTAATACCATGTACGTGCACTATACAGACAACTATTGAGTTTATAAATATCAAAAGTATCACATACAGCTACTCATCAATTAACATCCACAGCACAAAAACCTTGCCAAGTTTTAATGTGCAATGTCTTGGGTTGTCACTGTAATAGAACTACTTGCAAATGGTATTTCTAAGTTGGTTTTTTTTTTAAGAGCCTATTTGTTCATTTAGAATGACAATACTATAAAATTCAGCACAATGCATGTTTATTTCAAAACCTATGACAAACCAAATACATTGTAAAATAAAAACTGCATCCTATGTCAAGAGGAAACAAAGTCTTTATCAGAAGTGAGAATAAAATCCACTCGTATTTTTCTGTATCATTCATACACTAAGTTTTCAAATTTTGAATAATACAAGTGAAGATACTAGAGTTTTAACATATACACAGACACACACATAATTCATACATAGTTGAACCACATTGTTTCCATCTGGGCAAAGAGAAAGTTATACTGAAGGCTAAGCAGGAAAAAATAGACTTACAGTGTTTTCATTTAACAAATATTAACTGACAGTCTGTATGTGGCAGGCACCATTCTAAATGATGTATTCCAGCCAATCATCTTGCAGAAAAAACAAGACAAAACTCACAGAAATGGCATTCATAGAAACCAAATTTTGAAAAATGGAAATAGTGATATTTGAGGGACCAGGATATATAAAATCTTACGAAGACAACTTAGGAAACAAAGTATTACTTCAATCTTCAGCTACACTCTTAAGATACGGCCAGAGTGTACCTGCAACTGCTATAACTCTACGAGCAAATAGCAATCTACACGCAAGAAGGTTCACCCTGACCCAGAGCCCAACCTGGCTGCCATCACACTGTCTAAGACAGCTCTTGACTCGGCTGCTTGCTCGTGTCCAGCAGCCATTCATCCAAGGCCTCTCAGCATGAATGGGACGCTTCAGTGGTTCTGATCCCAAGTTCCTAACACTAACCAAAGAGGAAAGACGGCAGCCAAGAAATGTCACCCACCTGATGAATTTGGACTCCACAGGGTCATATAGAGACATGAGGACTTCAGCATCTTCTCCTATTTTACAAACCACATTTTTGAGGTTCACAAACAAGGCCAGAGAAGGGGTTGCAGCAAACTTGGCTTGTCTGTTAATATCTATGTTCTGCTTTTGAGACTGTGTATGGAAGGAAACAGAAAGTCAACCCCAGCAACACTCATCACTGACACTTGCTTTCTTTATTCCCTACAGAATAGAAAATTGTAATAACTCATTGGCATAACCCAGCAAAGGCCTTGGTGCAGTCACTTTCTTATCTCCCCTGCACATTCTTAAATCATGCATTCACACAACAGACAAAAAATTGTATCCTGTGCAACTGCTGTGCTGAGTATTTTCAGAGATACAAAACTTTCAGGTGTCCATCCAATAAATCAAAATAATGATTATATATGTGTAGTTATTTAATTTTTTGTTCCCTCATTAGACTAAACCCTCCAAGGACATCTGTCTCATGTATCATTATGTCTTCAACATTTGGTACACAGTAGATGCTCAGTAAGTACTTGTTGAATTAACAGATGATTCAATTAGTCAATTTCTGAGTATCTACTGTGTGTGTGTGTATATATATATACTGGTGGGAGGTGACTGGATCATGGGGTGGATTTTTCATGAATGGTTTAGCACCATCCTCTCAGTGCTGTCCTCATGATGGTGAGCTCTCACAAGATCTCGTCGTTTAAAAGTGTAGCGTGTAGCACCCCCCCGCACACCCTCTCTCTTCCTCCTGCTCTAGCCATGTGAAGTGTTGGCTCCCACTTCGCCTTCCACCATAATTATAAGATTCCTGAGGCCTCCCCAGAAGCAGAAGCCACTATCCTTCCTATACAGTCTGCAGAACCATGAACCAATTAAACCTCTTTTCTTTATAAATTACCCAGTCTCAGGCACTTCTTTATAGTAAGGCGAGAACAGGCTAATGCATACATGATACCATTAAAGATCATAGAAGACGAAAAGACAATAAGACATGTACTCTCTGCCCTCAATGAGCTTGGAATACATGACCTGCCTACCATTATCCGAGAGGAAATGCAGAATCAAGTCTTGTGTCTCATTTGACAGATGAGAACACAAAATCAACATCATTAGGATCCTGTCTCCTACGATGAAACACAATGCTGTCCGACCCCCTTTCATGTCATGGGTGACATCCTGTGCCACCAGGCTCCATTCCACTCATGACTGTAGGACACAAACTCTGCAGCTACTCCTTTTCAGGTTCTTTCTTAGTGACAATTTTGGGCTTGACTGATACTTTACTAATGTTGAAAACTTATTACTGAGAAAACGTGAATGGCATATGACAGAGTCAAACTTACTTTTTCCTCTTGTAACCTTTCCTCCACTTGTTTAGAAGCTATTTCATGAGCTCTGAAGAGACTAATCGTGCTAGTTAATTCTGGATCCAAAATATTCCCATCTTCATCTCTAACCACCAGGTCCAAATCTAGAATTCTAGAACAACAAGAATTTAGTAAGTTCACAGACATAGACCAAGGAGGCTGAATTTTCTAGCACAACTTCCACCACAGCAACTGGGCAGGTAAAAACAACCTAGAAACTCGGGCTTGCCCAAAATATTAGGAATATAAAATTCTTGGAGGCTGCTTTCTTTAGCTTAAAATGTGTCATCTTGGGAGAAGTAAAAAAAAAAAAAAAAAAAAAAATCCTCAATTTTTATTTCCATTGCAATCAACAGTGGCTTTGTCTTGCAAGGAGAAGTTTTACAGATCTACAAGGCCCAAGTGAAGTATGTATTACTAATTATTATGTAAAATATGAAAAGTTTTAAGGCATACTTTTTTTTTTTTTTTTTTTTTTTTTGAGACAGTCTCGTTCTTGTTGCCCATACTGGAGTGCAGTGGTGCGATCTCGGCTCACTGCAACCTCCATCTCCCGGGTTCAAGCAATTCTCCTGCCTCAGCCTCCCGAGTAGCTGGGGTTACAGGTGTGTGCCACCACACCCGGCTAATTTTTGTATTTTTAGTAGAGATGAGGTTTTGCCATGTTAGCCAGGCTGGTCTCAACTCCTGACCTCAGGTGATCTGCCCACCTCAGCCTCCCAAAGTGCTGGGATTACAGGCGTGAGCCACTGCACCCCACCTAAGGCATACTACATATGTACACACACACACACATTCACATATATATGCAATCACATATACATCCATCAACCCAAACACATAGCTGGCAGTTGTGACATCATCAGAGAGTTGAGGAAGGAGAGAGGGAAGAAAACTTGGAGGAGAGATCTATCCACCACCTTTTTACTCCCCACTGACCCCAATAGGGATCCCTGCATGTCTCCCCTTCTACTTCGAGTCCTTACATGAGGCCACAGGAAGATTTTCAATACAGATGTTCTATTGTATGTGAACACCAAACATATGGACGTTATCTACAATAAGGTTAAGCAACTTCCTGGCCAGATGGCTAAATGTAGTCACCAACTAAAAACACAAGCAACATCTGGCTAATAAATCTGTCCAGTCTATAACAGTACATTCTCCCTCTCCCTCTCCCTCTCCACGGTCTCCCTCTCCCTCTCCACGGTCTCCCTCTCCCTCTCTCTCCACGGTCTGCCTCTGATGCCGAGCCAAGGCTGGACTGTACTGCCGCCATCTCGGCTCACTGCAGCCTCCCTGCCTGATTCTCCTGCCTCAGCCTGCGGAGTGCCTGGGATTGCAGGCGCGCGCCGCCACACCTGACTGGTTTTCGTATTTTTTGATGGAGACGGGGTTTCACCGGGTTGGCCCGGCTGGTCTCCAGCTCCTGACCGTGAGTGATCTGCCAGCCTCAGCCTCCCGAGGTGCTGGGATTGCAGACAGAGTCTTGCTCACCCAGTGCTCAGTGTTGCCCAGGCTGGAGTGCAGTGGCATGATCTCGGCTCGCTACAACCTCCACCTCCCAGCCACCTGCCTTGGCCTCCCAAAGTGCCGAGATTGCAGCCTCTGCCCGGCCGCCACCCCGTCTGGGAAGTGAGGAGCGTGTCTGCCCGGCCACCCAGTCTGGGAAGTGAGGAGCGCCTCTTCCCGGCCGTCATCCCGTCTAGAAGTGAGGAGCGTCTCTGCCCGGCCGCCCATCGTCTGGGATCTGGGGAGCGCCTCTGCCCTGCCGCCCCGTCTGAGATGTGAAGAGCGCCTCTGCCCAGCCACGACCCCGTCTGGGAACTGAGGAGTGTCTCTGCCCCGCCGCCACCCCGTCTGGGAGGTGAGGAGCGTCTCTGACGGGCCGCCCCATCTGAGAAGTGAGGAGCCCCTCCACCCGGCAGCCACCCCGTTCGGGAGGTGGGGGGCGCCTCTGCCCGGCCGCCCCGTCTGGGAAGTGAGGAGCCCCTCTGCCTGGTGGCCACCCCGTCTGGGAGGTGTACGCAACAGCTCATTGAGAACGGGCCATGATGACGATGGCGGTTTTGTCGAATAGAAAAGGGGGAAATGTGGGGAAAAGAAAGAGAGATCAGATTGTTACTGTGTCTGTGTAGAAAGAAGTAGACATGGGAGACTCCATTTTGTTCTGTATTAAGAAAAATTCTTCTGCCTTGGGATGCTGTTAATCTATGACGTTACCCCCAACCCCGTGCTCTCTGAAACATGTGCTGTGTCCACTCAGGGTTAAACGGATTAAGGGCGGTGCAAGATGTGCTTTGTTAAACAGATGCTTGAAGGCAGCATGCTCCTTAAGAGTCACCACCACTCCCTAATCTCAAGTACCCAGGGACACAAACACTGCGGAAGGCCGCAGGGTCCTCTGCCTAGGAAAACCAGAGACCTTTGTTCACATGTTTATCTGCTGACCTTCCCTCCACTATTGTCCTATGACCCTGCCAAATCCCCCTCTCGGAGAAACACCCAAGAATGATCAATAAATACTAAAAATAAATAAATAAATAAATAAATAAACAGTACATATTTTGGGGAATATTCTCTCTGATTCCTCAAATCCAACAAAATTGTAAGATGATTTTTACCACAGTTTTTATTTAAAGAACACAGACAACTGTGTAACAAAAGAGATCAAGAGTTGTGATCTGGCAGTAGGTTCTGGCTTTCTTGTTAACAAAACACGCAGGTCTAAGGGCAGAAAATTAACCATAGGTGCCTCTTACCCGTTAGGATTATATTCCTGTAATTAACAAGCCGATGGAAACAGGCTTTTTTAACAATATGAAAAAGGAAACAGAGTCATTTGAAAGAATGATAAATTTCAATTAGAGAACATCTTTATAGTTACAAATTAAAGAGGAAAGTTGAATTGCCAATAAATGTTCCATCTAAAAAACTACCCTGAGACTTCGAGTCTTGAGGTCACACACCTTAAAGCCAGATACGAGTCTGCCAGCATCTCAAACATATTTAGTCTTTGGAGTTTTGCTCAAGCACTGTACCACTGGGAAGACAAATACAGAAAACTGATTTTTTCCTTTTAATATCTATTGAGCAAATTCCACTGACAGTGAAGCAGGAGGACCAACTGGGCCTGTCAACAGCATCAGGGTAAACAGACTTTAAACAAATAGAGGCTTTTTGCACTGCATGAAAACAGCCGCAGTGGCTGCAATGTAAGCAGGGTGCCTCAAGACCAACAGAAAGACATCTGGAGAAAATGTAAAAAGCATTTTAAGGTCTCATTAGTTATTTTTGTAATATGTCTCACTAACAAAGCAAGCTCCTCCCTCCCAAATACTACTCCTTATCCTATCCCTGAACCGGCCCCTAGGAACGTGCTGGTACAGGCAGGGTCAGTGACGGTGTGGGCATGGTTTGTGCTGGTGTGGGTGGGGTCAATACTGGTATGGGCAGGGGTCAGTAATGCGTGGATAGAGTCAGTACTACTGTGGGTAGGGCATGGTCACTTCTAGTGTAGGCATGATCAGTTCTGGTATGGGCACGTCAGTGCTGGTGCCAGGGCAGCTACAAAGAACCAGCTTAGGAGGCCCAGCCAGTAGGTCCTACAGGCCACGCAGAATTGGGTTCCCTCAGGGAACACACGAGAGGACGGCCCTGTGCCAGCCTGCTGTGCACGTCCTGCCACATCATCACCTCACACCTGCCAGGGCAGACCGTCAGACCCATTGCACAAAGGAGGAAACCTAAGCTTGGAGAAGTTATTTATTCCAAAACCAGATCCTGGGTTCTGTATCAGAACTCTCCAATGGCAGAGCCATGCTCCTTCCAGAATGCCACATGCAAACCATCAAACGAAGTGGCCTGTGCAGTCAACCCTTCTACGCATTGTTCTCAGCAACCAGTGTTCAGCTGGTTCTGAATCAGAGTGAGTTTCCATTATGAAGGTGCAACTTATCACAGCAAGGCAATGGAGAGATGAAGTCCATGGAAGCCCAATGCATCTATGAGGACAGGGTGGGAGACCTCCCCACCTGAAATCATGTGTAGAACTGTGTGTGTGTGTGTGTCTGTGTGTGTGTGTCTGTGTCTGTCTGTGTGTGTGTGTGTGTGTGTGTGTGTCTGTGTTGGGGGGGTCTGTGTGCCTGTGTTTGTGTATTGTGTATGTACATTTTTCTAGAGATATGGTCCAAGACCTTCATCACATTCTCAAACAGCTCCTCAAACCCCTCCACCCAGGTTAAAAATCAATCAAAAAAGCAAGAATGCCTAAGCGATCAATGAAAAAGACGCAAAACATCTTTTCCTTATTAAATCCACCCACCTTAAAATCAAACATTCAACACTGTGGTATCATTTTGCATCATTTAGGTTTTCTGAAGGAAGAACTAGGAAGATATATGCAGAGCGCTGGGCTTTGGAGAAATTATGGAAGAGCCTGGAGATCCTTGGGCAAAAAACCTGTCTTATTAAGGACTGTATTTCCTATCAAAGTAGTAAACTGTATTTGGAAACACTTCCTTCCTTAACTAGATTTTTCCATGATACAATGTACTTTGCTAGCTTCCTGCAGCCAAATTAAGCAGGTGGTCTCTGAACATAAGTTTAAATTATGATACTCCAATAGAAAATCAAATCAAAGCTCCAAAAGTCTGCTTTTTTAAGCAGGTGGTCTTGAAATGGGTTTTGCTGCAACAATAGCTAATATCTCAGGCTTTCTGGAAAAAAAAATAAAAATCTCTCCTACAGCATTTCTAATCCAAACCCTACATCTTGCTCATAACGTTGCTTTAAGAAGTTTTTCACACTTCAAAATATAAATTACCAGAAAATTATGTGATAATTCTGATTTTACAGAAAGGTTCCTTGATTTACCCGGACTCCTTTCTGCTGAATGGCTGGAAGCAAACCCCTTCCCTTTTCTGACTTCCACATTCCAATGTGTAAAATGAGGGGGTTGAATTAAACCAGAAGTTTTCCAAATCTGCTGTCCAGCACAACCCAACTCTATTTTTAAAACTTGAGATTTCCGGCTGGGAGCAGTGGCTCTCGCATGTAATCCTGGCACTTTGTGATGCCAAGGCGGGTGGATCACCTGAGGTAGGGAGTTTGAGATCAGCCTGACCAACATGGAAAAACCCCATCTCTACTAAAAATACAAAATTAGCCAGGCATGGTGGTGCATGCCTATAATCCCAGCTATTCGGGAGGCTGAAGCAGGAGAATCACTTGAACCCAGGAGACGGGGATTGCAATGGGCCAAGATCATGCCATTGCACTACAGTCTGGGCAACAAGGCCGAAACTCCATCTCAAAAAAAAACAAACAAACAAAAAAAAAACACTGGAGATTTCCAGCCAGCATCCCAGATATCACAAATCAGAGCCTTAAGGGGTAGGTCTTGGGATTCTATAATTCAACAGCTATCCCAGTGATTCTGAAATAGAAGAGCATTTGGGAACCATGTGACCAGATACTTTTTAAGGCTTCTTGCAGCTCTGCTATTCTATGAAAACTAAATATTACCAGGTGGAAAAGGGCATGGCCTCATTCTAGTTACAGGACCCAGCAGAATTAGGATCAGAGCAGCTTGTTTGCTTTCAGCATCAAAAAACACGTGCTAACATAGAAGGTACAGCTGTAGGCAGGGGTGAGCACTAAAGGCACTCATGCAGAGCTGGGGGGATGCCTGCTATGGATGGGAAGAACTCTTGCTCTGGCAAGAGACATAACTGCACAAAGCAACTATTTGTTGTTTATCTGCAGTGAAATTTAACTGGGCTGTATTTCTGTTTGTGAAAACTGGCAAGCCTACACAGGTGACAAACTTTCCAGTGATCTAATGTCCACTCCAATGCTCAGAACCTGGGATTCCACAGAAAGAAACCTGTTGCTTGTCACTATGCAAGGCCCCCCAGATCTGGACTCAAAGTCAAAAACTATGGTCAGAAAGTAAAAGTTCCTTGCTAGGGGAGTAATGATGGGGTTCCCTCCAGAACGGTGAAAATGACAGGCTCCCTGGCTTCTTGACTCTATCCCTTGAAGAATGACAAGGTTTCAAGAATGGCTCACAAAATTCCCCAGTTCAGAATCCAGTGGAAAATACCTCATCCTTTTCAAAATGAAAAACATGCCATTACTTTGATGGTAGAAATTTTGTTTTATGATAAAATATGATCTTGGTCTCCTGAAGACTTATAGTGATGTTATTACATTGGATAATTTAAGCGTAAAATCATCTTTCAAATAAACAAACCTGTTTCCATAATCAATTTTGGCTGTGACCTTCTTCTTCAGTTCTTTGAGTTCATCCTGAGGCAGAGTTCCAGAAAGAATTTGTGATCGCCATTCAATAAGGTCATAGATCATGTGCCGCACACTTCGAAACATCTCCCTGTTATCTTGCTATACGGGGAAAAACCCAATCAGAAAGATTTTGTTATAAAACAGCATTGTGGAGATGGTAGAGAATGGCTATCTCTTCAAATACGCATGAGGTATAAGCACTAGATCATGAGATTTAGTTAATGTTGAATTAAAAGGTGCTTTCAGCATAAACTAAAACATATTATACGGAATTTGGTTTCCATGCGACATTAAAAGATTAAAGGAACAAAAAGTAATGCATAATCCCCAAGACTTCATCCAACATCCTGTGTCCCACTGAAGCAAAAAGGTGATCCCAACAGGGGCTAGACCTTGAGCGTCAACACCTGCTCGTGAGCTTCCTGCATCTGGATCAGAGATGGGCAAGTCTAAAGCTCCTCCGGAATTAGTCTGAGCCTAAAGATCTGAATCCTACAACCTACATACGGTCTTCAGAACACCCTGCACCCTGGACCCTTCTCAGCACACTGAGAACCTGAACTCCTCGGCCTCGCTCTCAGCTCAGCTATAGGGAAGAAGAAGCATTCCACCCTGGGCGGGCTGCTGCACACTGTGGTGTGTACAACCCACAAGAGACACTTCTGCAAGAGGCCAAATCTCAATCTACAAGCTCTTGGTGCTTTGTGACAAGAGGAAAATGCAAATAAGATGCAAAACTCACACTTCTTACCACTTTCTAAGAATTTTGATGGGATTGACGGTTCAAAGAAAAGCAACAGTTTGCAGCTTGCAATTACAAGCGTACAATAATCAAGGAGATTAGGGATTATCTGAAGGAAAATAACTCAGTGGTTCTTTCCATGAAAAGAAATTTAGGTGGAACCTAATGTGATAAAACTCTAAGCATGCTGGCCTTGGTAGCTCCGGCCTATAATCCTAGCACTTTGGGAAGCAGAGGCGGGAGGATTGCTTGAGTCCAGGAGTTGGAGATCAGCCTGGGCAACATAAGGAGACCTCATCTCTTCAAAAATTAAAAAAATTAGCTGAGCATGGTGGCTCACAGGTGTAGTCCCAGCTACTCAGGAGGCTGAGGTGGGAGCATTGCTTGAGCCTGGGAGGTTAAGACTGCAGGGAGCTGTGATCATGCCACTGCAATCTAGCCTGGGCAACAGAGCAAGACCCTATCTCAAAAAATAAATAAATAAAAAGGTATCTAAATGTCATGGTCCCTTTAAAACATTAAATTTGTTCACTGCCACTTTTTTAAAAAACTCCCCCTCTACATATCTAAACCACGTACTGAGCTCACTCTGGTATTTAACCTTCTTTCTAGGAGTTTCTAATATCCACGCTGCCTTCTCTTGTCCACTGCTCTAAGGCTGTATCAACTATCTAAAATCCTTACTATTTTGCTAATATCTACAATGTGCAGCAAAAAAATGCATTTTTTTTTTTTTTTTGAGAAGGGGTCTCGCTCTGTTACTCAGGCTGGAGTGCAGTGGCGCAATCTTGGCTCATTGCAACCTCCGCCTTCCAGGATCAAGCAATTCTCCTGCCTAAGCTTCCCAAGTAGCTGGGACTACAGGCATGCTCCACCATGCTCAGCTAATTTTTGTATTTTTAGTAGGGACGGGGTTTCACCATGTTGGCCGGGCTGGTCTCAAACTCCTCACCTCAAGTGATCCATCCGCCTCGGCCTCCCTAAGTGCTGGGATTACAGGCATAAGCCACTGCGCCCAGCCCATATAAAAATATTATAGCCATTTTGGGGGTTAGCTTTCTTTGCACAAATCCAACCATGTAAGTCTATCAGAGGCAAATTTAAGTTTTGTAAAAGGAAACCAAGGTGCTCATTAAGAATACCTACTCTAGGGTTACAGACTTAAGTAGGTCCACTGACTATGAGCATCAACTCCTGTTTGTTTTGTTGCCATATTTTTGTTTAAAAATTGCTAAGTTGAAGATGAAACCCTGACTACAGAATTGCTCAGATTTACACAAAACATTCATGGCTAACTTTACGCTTTTAGGTTTTTCAGTACGTTTGATGACAATTACTGCAACTGCTTATTACTGTGCATTTATAGGAAACCACTGTATAATCAAAAACAACAAGCCTGCCCAACAAGCAGCTGCAGGACTTTAGGAAGTTTTCTATGTTCTCAAGAAATGAACGTACCGACTTCCTTCCAGAGCCCTGGCTTGGTGGTAATAACATTAGCATATGAGAAATCAACACTCTGAATAGAAATACAAGCTTAACAAAAGGTAATCTACTGCAAATATGAATTTATGTGCAAAGAAATGCCCCGAGGGAATACGAAATGGAAGATGTCAGAGCTTCAACCTCTCTGCATTAATAAGACTTCTTCTGTGATCAGGAGAACTGGACAATTGCACACGAAGCTAGAATGTAAAATATTTCCCTATTCCTGTCACAAACACAGGTAAATCTAGAAGACTGTTGTTTTTCTTAAATGATAAGAGGTATTACCTACTGTCAGACAACGGCAAAAAAAAAAAAAAAAATAGTAATTGCCCTCTACCGGATCCTTAAATAAGCACCTATTACTGTTTAAAAGGTGACATCAACACCCACTGCCCGATCCTGCATTCCAGGGGCCTGAAACAACCACATTTCTCCTTCCAATGCAAGGAAAGACACATCCTACAGTCCCTTCTGCTACAGCTCACTGTAATACACCCAAATACATGGCAGGTCGAAGGGCACACAGCCCCCAGCAGGGGCTAAACTCTCAGCCATGTCGCTTCCTTTGCCAATTCCGAGTAAAACTCTGTCTCGGAAGCTCTGCTTTTAAGTTTCGCTGAGAAAAAAAAACATCCCATTGGCATATCAGGGTCAAAAAAGCCCACTCTCTATTTCTAAGCTTTGAATGAATATCTCATTTTCTCACCACGTAGAGCTGCCTCCAGATGGTGGACCACTCTCGGAGTGTCGTGGTGACTTCCTGGATGAGGGGGAGGTCACCCGGGATGACTGTTTCATGTTGCCTGGGAGGAAAGAAGGAAAGAGCAGCTGAGTCCACGGTTTCACTGCCTGCTATGAGTAGTACCTGGTAAATTTCACATCTAGGCCATAGCGTTCAGTATTAAGCAAATGGGAAGAAAATCTACAAATAAGACTGCATGCACACATATAAATACATACGTCTCTACGAATGACAAGTTATATTTGTACAGAGCTTGGGAAGGTTCATACATTACCCTGCACGTAAGCCATCCACCTCATACGTCAAAGTAAGATGAAAGAGGCAAATAATATTCCATTAAAAGTCTACAGAATGTCAAGGTCTGGCAAAAGGAAAGTATATTCATAATATGTGTACCCATCTATCTTAAAGATGCCATAAATTACAGCCGGTCCATGTGGCATTAAAATGCAGGTTTGGGTTAAGATTACTTTTACATTTTCCATCACGCATAAAACTCATTACATGATAATACAGGAAGCAGTTATCCTTGGCGAAATATGAGAGAGGTTACAGCTTCCAAATGTCCATGGTTACTCTATCTGATGCCAACTCTGATTAAACTCTGTATCCTCTTTCTTATCCTTTTTCCTCCGCCCCAAAAGTTTAACCTTTGACTTACTCTTCTTTTTTGAAACGGTGTCTCGCTCTGTCACACAGGCTGGAGTGCAGTGGTGCAATCTCGGCTCACTGCAATCTCTGCCTCCCAGGTTCAAGCGATTCTCCTGCTTCAGCCTCCCAAGCAGCTGGGACTACAGGTGCCCACCACCATGCCCGGCTAATTTTTGTATTTTTAGTAGAGATGAGGTTTCACCATATTGGCCAGGCTGGTCTTGAACGCCTGACTTCAGGTGATACTCCCACCTCAGCCTCCCAAAGTGCTGGGATTACAGGCATGAGCCACCGCGCCCAGCCCCTTGACTTATTCTTAACTCATTACCTATTTATGCGCTCGTTTTCATCAAATCAACCACTGCTTCCTGGGCATGTGCTCTGGGTCAGGCACTATGCTAAGTAAGACTCAGACTACTGAGGGTTAGGGGGAGAGAGTGAATTTGTGGCTGGTGTAGTTAGGCTAGCTGGCCCCACAGGTTGTCTGTGTGTCCTGAACAGGCAAGAATGTGGCCAGCATGGGATGCCGAGGGATGCTACAATAGTTCCCACCTACAACCCTTGATGTGCACAGAGCCCAGACCTGTGGAAGGAACCCTGACTGGCTCACGATTGGAGATCAGGCCTGTGATGACTTATTGACAGTGGAGGGGAGGATCCCAAAGCAACAGACAACGGGGACCCTGGAAGAACGGTGGTCTCATGGATAGTTCCAGAACCAGACATCAGAGGGAAGGGTGCAGGCAAAACCATCCCCTAGAAAACTGCTATGAAGAATGACCCTTTGGGCTGGGTGTGGTGGCTCACGCCTGTAATCTCAGCACTTTGGGAGGCCGAGGTGGGTGGATCAGGAGTTCGAGACCAGCCTGGCCAACATGGTGAAACCCCGTCTCTACTAAAAATAAATAAATACAAAAAATCAGCCGGGCATGGTGGTGCGGGCCTGTAATCCCAGCTACTCAGGAGGCTGAAGCAGGAGAATCACTTGAACCCGGGAGACGGAAGTTGCAGTGAGCCAAGATTGTACCATTGCACTCCAGCCTGGGCAACAAAGCGAGACACCATCTCAAAAACAACAACAACAAAATGACCCTTTCATGGGCCACCATCAGTGTCTACTGAAGAACATGACTATTAAAACAGCCCTGCCAAGGATGTCCCCAAGTTTCCCAGTAAGGATGCTGATGGAAATGCGGTTCATTACATGCTACGGTGTCATCCCTATAAAGTCTGCAGGGAGAAATTTCCTTCCACTCACAGTATGAGGATCTGCAACAACGACTGGGCTGTTTTCATCTTACGGATCCTGGGTTGAGTGCACTGGTGCTCCTCACACTGGCTATGAGAAGCCTGGAGCTCAACGACCTCCCTTCCACCATGTGAATAGGGCCTCAGTGCATGCACCATGTCCTGCTGTTGGTTCTGGTTCCACCTTAGGTTCCTCCCTTCTGGTAGGCCCAGTGGATCCCTGGGATTAATGTGCCAGCTGGCATTAACACATTTGATCTGGCTTTATTGTCTTACCTTTGTTACCACCTTGTTACCTGCCAGTGTTCAAGAATATGTAACCCCAATAATGCCTGCCTCATAGGGCTGCTGGTAAGACTGAGGGAAAGTGCATCAAGGCAGAGCATCTTTAAGAATGAATGGGGCTCCACGCGGTGGCTCACGCCTGTAATCACAACACTTCGGGAGGCTAAAGCGGGTAGAGCACGTGAGGTCAGGGGTTCAAAGCCAGCTTGGCCAACGTGGTGAAACCCTGTCTCTACTAAAAATACAAAAATTAGCCAGGCATGGTGGCGTGCGCCTGTAATCCCAGCTACTTGGGAGGCTGAGACAGGAGAATCGCTTGAACGCAGGAGGCAGAGGTTGCAGTGAGCGGAGATCATGCTACTGCACTCCAGCCTGGGCGACAGAGCAAGACTTCGTCTCAAAAAAAAAAAAAAAAAAAAAAAAGAATGGGACATAGGGGAGTGGGGAGATGATGGGTCAAAGGGACACCGAGTTTCTGTTAGACAGAAGGAATAAGTTCAACAGGCCTCCTATCCTACACCAAGGTGACTACAATAGCTATGTATTGTATACTCGAAATTGCTGAGAGTAGATTTTAAGTGTTCTCACTACAAACAAATGATAAGTATGTAAGGTAATGCACACATAGTTTGATTTAGCCATCCCACAATGTATACATACTTCAAAACATCATGTTGCACACCATAAATACATACAATTTTTATTTGTCAAATCTAAAAATAATTTTTTGGCCGGGTGCGGTGGCTCACATCTGTAATCCCAGCACTTTGGGAGGCCAAGGCAGGCAGATCACTTAAGGTCAGAAGTTCAAGACCAGCCTGGCCACCATGGTGAAACCCCATCTCTACTGAAAAAAAAAAAACACACACACACACACACAAAAATTAGCTGGGCATGGTGGTGAATGCCTGTAGTCCCAGCCACTGGGGAGGCTAAGGCAGGAGAATCACTTGAACCTGGAGGCAGAGGTTGCAGTGAGCCAAGATCTCGCCACTGCACTTCAACCTGGGTGACAGAGCAAGACTCCATCTCATAAAATAAAAATACACAATACAAAATAAAAATAATAATAATTTTTTTTGAAAAGAGAATGAATGGGACATAGCAGATGCTCACCCAACAGTGGGGATGATTCTCATTAGTTACTTGGCTGCCTAACTGAATGAGGGGTCAAGAGACAAATCAGGGCTGGTGGTCCCGATGTGAGCATCACCCACAGAGACAGATCAGCTGAAGAGGGAAACGCAACAGAGGCCATGTCAATCAGGGAGGGGCAACAAAGAAATAGGAGAAGGCTAGGACAGCACCCTCAGAGTAGCGGACACAGGACAGAGGAGACGGTGACATGCCTGAGCAGTAGGTCAGCATAATAAGAAGAGGATAAGAGCATCGGCGTTAAGAGGGGCTTTCAGTGAAGCAAGGACCAACGTGTCCAAGGCTGCAGTGGAGCTCCAGAGGCAGAGGATGAGAAGACACTGTGAGGTCCAGACATAAGGAGGCATTGCTAACCATGTCAGTACTGGGAAAAGCATGGAGGACAAAATGGGAATTGCTTTGGTTATGGGGGAATAGGTACAGAATCAGTGGTAACAGGCATAGAGTAATCATTTGGGATGTCTGAGAATGAATGAAGTCAGCGTCCAGAGAGAAGAGAGACAAAGCAAAAGAGATCCTTCACGAGAGTCAATGCAAGCAAGATACTGTGAGAGAGATCACATGAGAGAGAGCCTTGCAAGAGAAAGACAGAGCCTGTAAAAGAAAGACAGAGCCTGCAAGAGAAAGACAGAGCCTGCAAGAGACAGATCATGCAAGAGAGAGCTCATGCAAGAAAGAGAGGCTTACAAGGCAGCCTGCAAGACAGAGGCCATATGAGAACGATCATGCAAGAGACCAGCAAGAGACAGATCCTGAAAGAGACAGACTCTGCAAGAGAGACAGGACAATAAACTTGGAGAGCAAGAAGGCAGGCAGAGGTGGGATGAAAGCGTGGCCCACATTGGCACTAGAAAGGGGAAAGGACCAGGAGAAGAAGGGAAGGTGGAAGTCTACAACAACCTGGAGGAAAAGAAGAGGGATGAGATCACCTGTCAAGCCTGAAGGCCGGGGTTCTTCAGGGAAGGAGCTGTTGGGCAGCTAGGCTTGAGTGGCCGTGGCAAGGGAGACAGATAGAGCCAGGAAAACAGTGTGGAGAACAATCACAGGGAACCCAAAGCAAAGGCAGGGAAATTGTTTCTAAACTGTTCATTTCACCATAGCTCTATGCATTTGCCCACAGTGGGGCACCTTGGACCAGAAGGCCCAGGAACAGGAACCAAATGTGTCTCTGTCTGCCTGTCTGGTTAGGTGTGACTCTACTTATTGAGACTCAGAATAACCTGTTGTTCACTTTATTATCATGCTTCATAATTACATTTTACATATATTCTTTTGTATACATCAAAGTGCTTTTTAAATAATCATACACAGTCTGCCCTGTATAAGGATTCTAATGCAGATATAAAGTACACTAAATGCACACTTGATCCAGTTACTTCCACAGAGTAAAAGTCTCAACTTTCTTTTTCTTCCCTTTAAAACTTTGCATACAAAACACTTTATCTGTCTAAAAAGTACCATATTGCAGGTCATCATCATTCATGCCTCTAAATTATTTTCTTCATTTTAAGTATGCATCATGGAACTATGGAACCCGAACGGTTCTTTTCATATGTTAAAAGTACAGTGCTTGGAAAGGCAATTTTGTAATCAGCCAAAGAGATGTCATTATGCAGTAATCATATGATTAGTAATTTTATAATTTACATATTTAACTGAGTGTGAAGATGTAGCAGAGACAAAAAAAGAAAACATTTTAATGTTCCTTCTTCCAAGTTCACACCTGGTTATTCATCTGCCATTCCTGCCTAATGGGTTCCTGTTCTAGAAATGTCCTTTTAATGATCTTATACATCAGTTTTATGACCTCTAGGAAACATACATCACAATTAGACAAAATGTAAACTCCTGCATGTCCCAATTTAACAACTGTTGCTTCACCCTAAACTCCATTTATATCACAGCCTGCAATGTCTTCCCAAAAAAAAGGGGACTCAGAGCTGGGGGGCTTTGGAGTCTCTGCCAAATGAAGTCAGTAGCTCACAGAGGAAGCACAGAGCACCAGGGCGAATGCTTTCCAATAGTGACCCCAGGTTCAAGGACAGTAACTGCCAAGTATGGTGCTGACTTCAGACTCCATAAAGGATAAAAGCCATGTTAAACACAACTCTGAATCACAAGTCCCCTTTCTCTCCCCAAAACTCCTGTCCCCCAGGAGTCAATCACACCCATTGTCTTGACCCTCTCATATTACGCCATCGTACAAAAGAGCAGCAAGGCCAAATATAGTACTTGCAATTCTTCATTTAAACATCAAGACCAGACTCACCCTTTTCCTTCAACTATCGCTTCTTTAAGATGAATATATGAAGCAGGAAATATACCCTTTGGGAGGAAAAAAAAAACAGTAGCTTTTATTATCAATAGGATTGCTGAATGTAAATCAAACAATAGTTCCCAAAAAGGTGGGGTGAGGGGTGGCTAGATCGCTCTTAATTTTTTAAGTCTTAACATATCAAAGAAAACACAAAGAAGTAGAAAAGACGGCAACTCATTTGGCTTGTATTGCAGTCTGCCGATGTCTTAGAAGCAAACAGGCAACACACTTGCAAAGGAAAAAGTCCACAAAGATACAGGCAATTTGCAGGCTGCTCCATAGATCACACCTTTTTGGCCTCAATGCAGGCAGAACAAAGGCCAACTGATGTCTCAAAAGCAATTTTTGATGATGGTCTCCTCTTTCAAAATGATGAAAGTTGGTTTACACCACCAATTGTCCCTTGTGCACTGACCACGTACCCAGACCCACAGAGACTTTCTCAGAGACTTCCCCAACAGGGGGGCCCTCTGGTAAAATACAGAAAGACAGGCCGAATTTCGCCCAATCTGCACAACACCTGGGGGTACACCCTAGCTTCCGCTGATAAGCTGGTCGGCCTCCCTCAAGTGCAATGCACATGTGAGCCCAAGAGAATGAAGCCTGGGGAGAGTTTCTCAACAGGACATTCAGCCTCAGGCACATTCTGTGAAGTGCCAGAAAGAGCTTTATCAAGAGTTTGGGTCCGAGGCCAGGCACGATGTAATCCCAGCACTTTGGGAGGCTCAGGTGTGTGGATCACCTGAGGTCAGGAGTTCAAGACCAGCCTGGCCAACATGGTGAAACCCCATCTCTACTAAAAATACAAAAATTAGCCGGGTGTGGTGGCGGGCACCTGTAGTCCCAGCTACTCAGGAGGCTGAGGCAGGAGAATCGCTTGAACCCGGGAAGTGGAGGTTGCAGTGAGCAGAGATCCCGCCACTGCGCTCCAGCCTGGGCGACAGAGCGAGACTCCGCCTCAGGAAAAAAAAAAAAAAAAACGTAGGGTCCTGCTTTCTGAGCAAGCAAAATAACTCCCTTACTGGAATAAAGCAAAGGTAAGAAAAGAGGCAACGGGGTTGGGGTCTTGGGCAGTGCAACGCAGCCCAGCTACCGCTTCCTGCATGAGATTTAGTGCATGCAGCAGAAATTGATAAAGTGGCACCCCTGTGGCTTCAAGGCACCTGTTGTGGGAATGGAAGCTTCTGCATGGGTTTCCCCGGCATTCAGCCCTGAATGATGCAGAAAACAAGCTACTAATCAAGTTTGGGAAGGGCAGGGGGTGGGCAGGGGGCAGGCAGGGGGCTGAACTGGTCTAGCAGGCACCAATGATTCATGTTGCTTCTGCCAACAAGGAAAGTGGCCAAATTCCATATAAAGAAGAATTATCACAGAGAGGGAAGGCGTCAGGCAGAGAGTCAGAGGCTGAGCAACAAACAAGGCTGGGCCAGGCTCAGAGGTGCACACCTGCAACCGGCACTTCGGGAAGCCAAGGTGAGAGGATCACTTCAGCCTAGGAGCCTAGGAGCTCACCAACAGCCAGGGCAAGATGGTGAGACCCTTTCACTGCCGAAATTTTTTTTACAAATTAGTTAGGCATGGTGGTGTGCACCTGTAGTCCCAGCTACTTGGGAGGCTGAGGGAGGAGAATACCTTGAGCCCAGGAAGTCGCGGTGGCAGTGATCTATGATCGTGCCACCGCACTCAGTCTGAGCCACAAAGTGAGACCCTGTCTCCAAAAAAATAAAACATTAACTTAAAAAAAACAGAAGTCTGAAGGGACCCAACGCTGGGTTGCTGTGTTCAGGTCCTGGTTATCCGGGACACCTCCAAATCCCAGGTACACCCTCCTGGGTTTCTTTCCATGATAGCAATAGGTGTCCACCCAGATGGGGGAGAAAAACAAAAAACCAGTCCCAGTCTTGTCCATGTCCACAGGTGGAGACAACCCTCAATCTCAGCAAACCCACTGGAGAATCATGAAGCCACAGGAAGGATAATGACTGAGTGAGGCTGGACACACCTGCAGGTTTGAAATGCGCAACTTCCGCTGGGCCTGCTCAGCACCACCCCAATCAACTGCACACTTATAACTACAGGAAAGTTGTTTACAGACACGTGGTGCCAGGATTCCTAGGGCCCACATCCCTTTTCTGCTACTGCCTAGGAGGCCCCTTACAAATTTATAATCTCTGTAAAGCTTGGATTTATTCATCTACCAGTGGAGATCTTAGATGGAAAAATAGCTATGCCCTACCCAGCGCTACTGTGTTGATGAGTTATGAATGAGTTATGATGTCTAGGTGCCCAGGTGTAGTGCAGAAATACTGTGGTTTCAGGAGGCATTGTGGGAATGGAAGAGATCTCAAATTGGGGAAGGTGATAACAAATACCAAGTAAGATTCAAAGAAAAAGGAACAGCTTGCCTGGGGCACATCCAGCCCAGGATGTGGCAGTTGTGTCCTATGTAGGAATGTGATGGGGGAGGGGCATATTAGTCCATGATCTTAATCTCTTATTACTAAAGGTTTCAACTGCAGCTTTCCTAAATTCAGAGCTTCATCTGCAGATACACACTATTTTTTTAGGGATAGATCTCACTCATTATGACCAGCAGAGGCTGGTCTCAATCTCCTGAGCTCAAGCAATCCTCCCACTTCAGTCTCTCAAGTAGCTGGGCCTACAGGTGCATATCTTTGGGCCTGGCTGGAATTCACTCTTGATTGGGGAAGGGAAAACCAATGTGAAAATAGAACTTTCCTTGGAGAAATCTATTCCACCATCCACTGGATTGAAATCGATCTTGTGCAAACTTCAAGGCTATAGGTCACTGATGTGTAGAGACCTGTAGCCCAGTCTGAGGTTGGCAAGGTGGAGGTAAGAGGTCCTGGTCCCAATTTGCAGATCTGGCTCACTGATTTCCTAACACTGTCTCTCACATTAGACATGACTGTGCCAGAGGATGGCTGCCATAGGGACCACCCTGGATCCTTCCCAAGTGCTGGTGTTGCGAGAGGATGACCCATTCTGACCTGCTCAGCAAAGCCTGGGTTAGGGGCTCTGGGGAAGGCAGAGTGGAAGGACCCTGGCACTTGGGCCACTAGACTTTGGAGGACTTATTACAGGCTCAGGACCACAATCCAGAGTCCAGCCCAATAAGGAGATAATGAGAGGTAAATTTAGGACACAAAAGTAAAATGAACCATCCGTCAAACATAATTAGATATTAAAACACATCGGGTCAAACATAATTAGATATTAAAACATATTGGGTAACGTGGACAGCCCAACCACAGCTTAGAATAGAGGTTACTTCAAAATCTTAACATCGTAGAATGAAACAGAAGAGCCATAATTAGGTTCCATGAAGCTAAGAATGTTAAAGCCACAACAGAATTGTGTATGGGAGTGCCCACCACAATGATCCGAGGTGTAATTACATGTCTTAGTTTCAGAAATTCAAACAACCACTCATGCAAACTGCTCTAGGAGAGCAGAACTCCTTTTTTCACAGCTTGACTTAGGCAGAGTAAAAACAGTTATATGCAAGAGGGAAACAGCATGCATGAGCTTGCAAATTTGCTAATCTATTATTAAGGACAACATAAGATTGACAACTGTGAGAAATAATTTTTTTCCTGAAGTCGCTTTACTCGGATCATTCTCTGACACACACAGACCTAAAAAGGACACAAAATTCATGAACAGAAGACAACAGGCCAACACTATATCACAAACTAGCAATTCACTCACGGAGATGAAGCTACAATTTCTATGTACACATATTGTTCAGAAGAAAACAATCCAAGCTCGTTCACATTCCTACCCATATATTTTTTTAAATTCAGAGAAAGAGATATAGAAGTAAAACCCTCAGACACAAATGAGATGGAATTGATTTCCTCTCAAGGTGTGATTTATGAAGAGACATGCACTGTGTTTAAGAAGAAGGACTTACCTTCTTAGACTTTTTTCGTAACGTGTAACCTCGGTACCACCCTAAACAAACACAAAGTTGAAACAGTTAGTACAAAGAGACATGTTAGGGTCCTCACAATACATTCATGATGTGTAGAACTCACTGTTTGGCAGAACCAGTGAGGTCAGTTTGTCACCAGCATTTTTCAGTGAACCTAAGGCTTTGGAGATATACTACGTGGTTTCCCAGAGAGCATTTCAACAGCGCACCCGGAGCCCAGCTGGCAACCTTCACACATGGGCCTCCATACCTTCACCTCCGTCATCTCATGTGGTTCGGAAGCAGCAGTTTGAAGTTCAGATGCACAGTTCCAAGAGCAGGACTTGTCCTTTCAACCACTGGCCCTGAGTAGGCTCCTTGTGTATGCATTTTCTTCACTCTCCCTCTGCCTGATTTAGACCAAGATCTCTCCAAGGGCACATGTCAGCATCTCGCTGCCCCAAAACAGAAAACCCATTGAGAGAGAACTTCCTCCCACTTCAAGACAGGGCACTTTTTCCTGGAGCAGCCACGACCTCACAAAGTACTTCTGTAGCAACAATACAGCCCTCAACCCACAGGAAGCTCCAGGGCCAAGCACAGGACACACCTGCCCTTTGGGTTTGGCCCAGGCTCCACTTCTCGCTCCTTCCAAGTGGCGAGAGAAAGAAAATAGTGAGAGCAGAAAGAAAGACACACTCGAACCATCCGCATGCCATGGATGCCACACAGAAGAGTCCCTTCAACAAGGGACCAGACCCAGCCACACCCCTGGCACCCCTCTCAGGCTGAGGACAGGAACTGCCCCTGCAAAGGCCTAGGGGTCTACCGTCAGTATCCAGCCTCCAAGCACCCCACCATTTGTGAGTTCAGATGGATGATTTTTTACTCCCAAACATTCTGAAGTCACTCCAGGCCATCTAGTTTCTGGAAAGCTAATCAAAAGCTCAAAGAGGCCAGGCACAGTGGCTCACGCCTATAATCCTGGCATTTTGGGAGGCCAAGGCAGGTGGATCACTTGAGGTCAGGAGTTCAAGACCAGCCTGGCCAACATGGTGAAAGCCCATCTCTAATAAAAAATACAAAAATTAGCCAAGCATGGTGGTAAGCCCCTATGATCACAGCTACTCAGGAGGCTGAGGCAGGAGAATTGCTTAAACCCGAGAGGCAGAGGTTGCAGTGAGCTAAGATCATGCCACTGCACTCCAGCCTGGATGAGAGAGCAAGACTCTATCTCAAAAAAAAAAAGCTTAAAGACAAATCCCAACTCTGCCCCATAGGAACAAAGGACCCTGTCAGAGAGTGACAGAGGGCACTTGGAAAACGTGAGCTGGGTAAATTCCCAGAGAATAACCAAATACTGGGTTTCTTTACACTATTAAAAAGGCAAACCTCAGAACCAAAGATCAGACAGATGTGAAAACGGGCCATTGTCACAGCAACTGGCCTCCACCTCTCTCAAAAGGTGAAAATTTTCACAACCAGGGATGAAAAGGATGATTGTGAACCAGAAAGTGATGGTGTTAAGATGAGCAGAATCCCCAAGGGATGACTAACCAGCTGTTTTCTGCATATCCAGAAAAGAGGACAGAAACTGCCAGGACTCTGGCAAAGGTTTTGCTAAGACCCAGTTATGATGAACTGAACTCATTTCACTCTCTTGACTGGAGACTCAACAGACTGATTGGGGGAACCTCAGATACAAAATGCCTAGACTTCAGCCACACATTTGAAGGATTATCTCCTGATAGCCATATTGTCAAGTTCAGTGGTTTTGATAAGCTGGCCCAGTATCAGCGCCCATCTATGACACAGTGCTCATATATCAAAGCCCATCTATGACACAGTGCTCATATATCAAAAAGGAAAAAGAAAGGTCAGTTGAATGAGTTATGCAAAGCTGTGTACTCAGTTTCAACAACTGTCCTTTATCCTATTATAGTCTTCCTGCATTTTCAACATTAATATGTCCTTTCTTTTCTGAAACTGACAAAGATTAACGTCTTAGAATACATAAGGAAATAATACAGAGACACAAAAAGACAGCAACTAAGTATAGTAAGAAAATGAGGCCAAGAGTGGTGGCTTACTCCTGTCATCCTGGTATTTTGGGCAGCCGAAGAGGGCAGATAACTTGAGGTCTGGAGTTCCAAGACTAGCCTGGCCAACATGGCAAAACCCCGTCTCTACTAAAAAAAAAAAAATTGGCTGGGCGTGGTGGCGTGCACCTGTAATACCAGGTACTCGGGAAGCTGAGAATCACCTGAACCAGGGAGGCAGAGGTTGCAGTGAGCTGAGATCATGCCACTGCACTCCAGCCTGGGCAATAGAGCAAGACTCCATCTCAAAAAAAAAAAAAAGAAAAGAAAGAAAATGAGCAAAGTTTATAAACTATGTATAGAAGAAACCCATAAGACCTCAACATGTATGAAGAGATGCTTCAGTTTAATAATAGTCAGAGAAATGAAAAGTACACAGTTAAGAGTGGTAGAAGGCAGAACACTGCAGGATGCAGGAAGCCCCTGGTCACCGTGGGTGGCAGTGTCCACTGCGGCAACCAGCCTGGGAGAAGCAGGCCCTGCTTATCCAAAGTCTACATCTCCACACCCAAGACCCAGCAACCCCCTCCTGGGAACGCAGCCCAAAGACATCTGTGTGCCCTGCAGAGTGAGATGGACATGGGATGCTCAGGGCAGCTTGATCTTGGGTGGTGGGAAGCGGGGACAACCTAAGTGCTCATACCCGGGGAGGCAGGCAGTTAGTAAAACATGAAATGTGCACACGATGCAGTTAGAGCCATGGACTAAAGGGACACAGAGAACACAGTGCATTTTAAATGGAGCACGAGGGAAAATAAAAAACAGAACAAGACTATAATGACACACTTACATCTGTTAAAAACAGATGCACACCAAACAGCACGAGAACACAGGCAAACGAGAGGCCACTTCACACACAGTAGAAAGGTTTTCTATGGGAGGCAGGAGGAGGAAGGGCCAAGCAGTAGGCATGAAAGGCAAGGAGTTTTGTGTCTTTATTTAATGTTCATAGGCAGTCGATTCCTCTTCTAATGGCCTTCCTAAGCAAAATGAAAACCATGGTTTTCCTCCCCACGATTTTTGGCATGCACTATTTCTTCAACAAAGTGAGCCCGCACACCATGTACCAGAGACCACACTGGGTGCCACAAATACAGAAAGAGATTAGACCCAATCTCTGTCCTCCATGAGCTCAGAAACTGGAAGTGCCCTAAGACAAGTAGGGGTCACACCACAAACCCTGCTGCATGACAGAGTTCGGCATGAAGGAGAGAGGATGTCCCGGCAGAGGTTTTGCACCGGAGAGTAAGAGAACAGAACGGAACGATTACCTGGCTGCTCTGGGGCACAGCAAAGAGGGGATGAGGCTGGAAGGAGAAAGATTCACAGCTGTTACAGAATTAACTTCTCCCTGGCACGGCTTGCAAGTGGCCTCCACGTAGTCAACCAACCTGCTCCAAAAAAAGAGACATCCACCCAGGGAACAGGCAAATACAGGCAAGACACAGGTCCCAAACTCGGGGAGGACACAGTCCAGCACAGGAAAATGGCGGTCTAGTCATTTTAGAAGAAAATGCATCACTATCCCTTTTAAAGAGTTGAATAAATTAAGTTTGAATGTGGCTGAATCAAAAGGACAATTTCCTCAACTTTGGGCAATGCCTGCAGCTTGCCTCTGGTGCAGCATCTCACCCTGGGGACGCTATGGAAGCCCTGGGGACCCTATGGAAACGAGTCGACAGCAGGATTGGCACGCCCTTGACCAGACAAGAGTCACTCAATCAACACTGGGGCCTGGCCTCACCTCTCCTATCTGGAGGTAGGACATTGTTTAAAGGCAGGGGTCTGCACGAATGAGCTCTCAAAGCTCTTTCCACTTCCACCATGAGCTAGAAAGCTCATTTTCTTTGTTCTATGCTGTAAGCCTTCGTGAGCTCAAGAAAGAGAAATTAACCACAACTTGAAGGTAAATTTAGTCTTTGAACCCTAAAATAAAGATTTATCATCTAGAAATTATAGCCTCTGGAGCAAGCTCTGTAATATCCTGGAAAGGATCATAGAAAAAAAGAAAATCAAACTTGCTAAACCAAAAAGTCATCTTAGAGGAAAAGGAGAGCCAAGGAAAGAAAAAGAAAATGCCAGACTCTAATACAAGCCATGAAATTTAGATAAAACAAGAGGAAGATATTGGAAAACAAATGGAAGTACATTATTCTCTTTTTATTTAATGACAAAAAGTCACCACACTCCCCAAAGTCAAAACTATTAATACTTCTCCAAATGCATTTCTCTGATTAGATTCAGATTAAAACCAAAAAGTTAGTTGTCAAGGAACGGAAATTCATTTTATGCTAAAGAGTCTTTACAAAGACTGAAATATTTTCATCAGAATCTAGAAAGAATGACTAGCCCAGAAAATTAATGTTCACTGTAGATCTCTTATCATGATGTCAGCCAAAAAGTCAAATGCCTGCAATCAGATATTTTTGAAGTTACACGTATTACAAGGACCACTGACATGCCCGAGGAGTCCACTGTTTAAAAAACACATTCCTCAGCTGGGCATGGTGGTGGGCACCTGCAATCCCAGGTACTCAGGATGCTGAGGCAGGAGAATCCCTTGAACCCAGGAGGCAGAGGTTGCAGTGAGCTGAAATTGCACCACCATACTCCAGCCCGGGCGACAGAGCGAGCCTCCATCTCAAAAAAAAAAAAACCACCACCACACACGCATTCCTCTTATGAAGCAAAGAACAAAAATGCAGTCTCCACAGGCCCAGGGGCCACAGGAAATCATTAACTATTCAGGAATGACATCATTGCCCAGTGTTTATTAACCAGGATTTCAACTTCAACTGACCGGCAGCAAAAGTAAAACAAGATACAAGAGCATTTCCCTTCAAATCAGAAAAGTGTCTGAGATGAGCGGTTTGATCCTTAACCTCTACTTAATTTCTCTCTGTCTCCTCTCAGACACATGCAGTATATACTGAGAGGAGATAAGGGAACACAGCTGTCAGCTGTAAACACGGAAAACAAGCAGAAGACCCCATCACAACTACTCATCCGCTTAAGGACTGGGGCTGGTTTTTGCAGAGCTGCACTGGCTTCCACGCAGAGGCCACTAAAGTCGATTTTTTTTTTCAGACAGGACTTTTTTAGGGAAGGTACAGCATGCATCAGATGGGGAAATAAGGGCCATGAACATGGATCTGTTAGTAGGTCTGTGTTTCTCAGAGGAGTCTACCAGGAGCTGGTCACAGTTTGCCTCGAGCAGGAAGCTGGGCATACTTCATTCCTTGTAAAGTGGATTTCAAGTTGGAAGTTCAATTTGCTGATTACTACGGGATGTCTTCAATTTCCCCTCTCACCCCCAACCTCCCATGTGGAAGGGTTTTGCTAAAAAACCTCTGTGAAAAAGCAGTTTTTCTACTGAAATTATCCTTTTTATTCATATGCTATATGGGAACCACCCTTTCAAGCAGGAAATTAAGCCGACAACAATAAGAAAACACAATCTCACCAAAACCTCCAGATCTGAACAGTCTTTAAAAAATCAAGCCCATCATTTCTTCCCTTCTGTGCAACAATAACCACAGCATAAAATGAAATATGGCATGCTCAAATTATTTGCAAACACAAAATATAAAAACAAATTGTCTGAAAAGCCAAGGACATTGGAAAACCACTGTCACCAATAGTTTATTTATTGGATAATTATAACAATTGCTTCAGGACGGGCACGGTGGCTCATGCCTGTAATCCTAGCACTTTGGGAGGCCGAGGCGGGCAAATCACCTGAGGTTGGGAGTTCAAGACCAGCCTGACCAACAAGGAGAAACCCCGTCACTACTAAAAATACAAAATTAGGTGGGTACAGTGACACATGCCTGTAATCCCAGCTACTCAGGAGGCTGAGGCAGGAGAATCGCTTGAACCTGGGAGGCAGAGGCTGTGGTGGGCCAAAATCGCGCCATTGCACTCCAGCCTGGGCAACAAGAGCAAAACTCCGTCTCAAAAAAAACAAAAAAAAATATTGCTTCATTGGACGGCATCCCATATAACTATGATAAATCTCTGTTCATCCCAAGAAAATGGGGATTACAGGTTTAAAAAAAAAGGAAAGGATGAAAATTGGGGTTCCTCTGAGACATATACTGCTAACAAATCTAAGTGAGGACATTAAAAGAAGAAATCTTAGTTCACATCAAACACATCAAAACAATGAAGCAGGCTAGGCACAGTGGCTCACGCCTGTAATTCCAGCATTCTGAGAGGCTGAGGCAGGCAAATCACTTGAGCTCAGGAGTTCAGGACCAGCCTGGGCAACATGGTGAAATCCTGTCTCTACAAAAAATATAAATAATTAGCTGAGTGTGGCAGCATGCACCTGTAGTCCCAGCTACTTGGGAGCCTGAGGTGGCAAGACTGCTTGAGCCCAAGATGGGGAGGCTGCCTGCGGTGAGCTCTGATTGTGCCACTGCACTCCAACCTGCACGATGGAGCAAGACCCTGTCTCAAAACAACGAAGTAAACTATCTTAAACCTATTTTTTATCAAGTGGTCAACTGTTAACAATCAAGATTTATACACACTTGGCCAGGCAGAGTGGACCACACCTGTAATCCCAGTACTTTGGGAGGCTGAGGTGGGCAGATCATTTGAGGTCAGGAGTTCGAGACCAGCCTGACCAACAGGGTGAAATGCAGTCTCTACTAAAAATACAAAAAAATTTGCCAGGCATGGTGGCGGGCACCTGTAATCCCAGCTACTCGGGAGGCTAAAGCATGAGAGTCACTTGTACCTGGGAGGCAGAGGTTGCAGTGAGCTGAGATTACACCACCTCACTCCAGCCTGTGCGACAGAGCAAGACTCTGTCTCAAAAGGAAAAAAAAAAAAAAGATTTACACATGCTTGAAAATAAGGAGCCAAGGAGTTTAAAAATGGGAATTTCAGTTTTAAGTTCACCTTCAGAAAGTATTAAACAACAGCCTCACTACTACCCTTACCTGAAACAGTATCCATCTGCAAGAAAAGGGAGCCTGAGAAGGAAGCATGACTGTCTTATGTGTCTGTAACAGAGGAATGCTTTGCCCAGCAGGCACTGAGAAGGTGTGCCATCTGCCCAAAATGTAAGAGAAAAGATACCAAGATGCATACGCACCTTCATATGTTTCTAAGATGTGCACAGTGTCTCCGATCTGTAAAGAAAGTTCATCCGCTCCTCTGGCATCATAGTTATAAAAAGCTGTGATGAAAAAAGGGGAAATATATTAGTAATAGTAAAGATAGAAGTGACCATGCTGAGTCGTGTTGGCTTGTTTTAATGTTGTTGTTTTTAATATTGAAATACATTCAGTCGCTGCCTGCATCATCCTCTCTGATACCCACAGAAGTGACCTTTTCTTTCAGACAAATATAAAGGGTCAATAGTTTAAGGAGGAGAAATTCATAACTACCCATGACACCAGATGACCATAAGTGACATAAGAAGACATTGTTAACAGTATTTTGATTGACACTTCAATACTATCTTTTATTTCCACTAATAGATTTTTATCTGCCTATGAATCAATTGCACATGGAGTGAATATTCTTTGGAAACCAAATTAATAAAAAAATTATCATATAGCAATGTTGATATTAAGCCAATAGATTTTACAATCACAGTAGACAAAAATATGTCCTGTGTTAGAAGAAATCCTTAAAACTGACAATGATAAGCAAGAAATGTCTGAAATCCCATGTTTATCCTGACATAAAGCTGCTCCTATTTTGCAAAAGGATCATAGTGCTCCTACATAAGCCCCTAAAAAGTCACACCATTAAATTCCAACCACACTTTTGCTCATGCATTATGGAATAAAGGCAGCAGTCACAGGTGTAAAAAGGATGCTACAAAGTGTTTAAGGCCCAAAAAGTATTCAACTAGCCCACTCTCAATTTAAAAAAATATATATTAATGTTCCTCCTACCCAACAGCCTCTACCTAATAGGATATAGCATTCAATATAAAACTCATCTTCAAAATCGCGGATCAAAGCTCTCATCCATCCATCCTGCACAGCCCAGCCAGGCGAGGCTATGCACAAAAGGCACCTGCATTGTGGCACACCTCTAAAATTCTCTAAAATTAAACCATGTCATGTGCAAACTCCTCTGGCAAGCACGGGCCACCGTACCTTCCCACCACACACTCCCTTCCCTGGGCCCTTGCTTCTACTGAAGGAAAGAAGCCAGTCCAGCCCACATCTTTGGGTACCAACTTCTCCCTCGCCAGCTGGGCCTTCCCACTGGGTGCACCTCATCACGAAAGCCAGACCCAAGTCTGTGTTTGATCTTTTAACTCCGCTCCTCCAAACAGCCCTGGCACCACGCAAAGCTTCCCATCTCTTGTTCTGCATGAGCCAGTCTTATTTCAGATGTGTGTGTTAAGACATCCCCAACTAAAGAAAAGCCACCAGAGGGCAGAGCCACCCACCTTTCAACATTTCCTGCCCACACCTCCAAGGACAGGAAGGTGCTTAGCCGTACAAGGAATGGCCTCCATAAACCTGAGCTGCCTGAGCTGCACCTCAGGCTGTAAAGTCCAGAATTTCAGGCGCACGCAGCCTCCTGGTGTTCACGTTCATGGTCTCTACAGACAGCTAAAGTGGGTAGGGCAGCACCCCTCCCCGAGCCCCTGGGTGCCTGCCCTCTGGCAAACGATCTGCTCTATCTTCAGGTTTTCAATGGCCAAAATAAGGACCGGATACTGACCTCGTAGAATTGCGTGTGTGTTTTGTGTCTTAGAGAAAATGATGCCCCTGTTGGATCTGGCACAATGGGGTCCATGGTGAACACTCAGGTAACGGTGAAGGCCTTCCTTTTGGTTGTATTTTTTTTACTGCTATCAAGATGTCTACCGCTACCTGAATTCTTTTTAGAAAGCCAAAGCAAGCACATTGCCACATGTGCACAAAAATTCTGTAATATCAAAAGCTAGACCTATGATATTGAAAATTCTATTTCCTCAGGTATCTTCCTATATTTTCCCCAAAATTCATAAAATGTAAGTGTCCTCAACTGACAAAGATGGTTATTAGTTAGTTATTAAGTTTATTTGGCATTTTACAGTGAATCTTTAACAAGAAATAACTGCATCAGGTGAAGGAAGCCCAGGGCAGAGGCTGGACTTCCCCAGCTCAGCATGACCGTATTCGTAAACCTTCAGGAACCATAAATACATCTATCACAGTTCCTAACAGCATCCCTGCCAGCACACCTATTCTGTTCTAGACGTGGGAAAAATAAACACGTCAAAAATCATAGAAATGAAATAAAATGAGCACATCAAGGGTAAATACATTCAAGCACCTGTGAATTTGTAAAGCACATACACATAATTCCTTTCTTCCTGTTTCACCTCTAAATACCCTACTCCCCAATCCCTAAAGCAGACAGTGGAAAGCAGTGATTGAAATCTCATACATGGATATGGAAACTTCACATTTAACTGTGAAATGAGCCAGACAACCCATGATTTTGTAGGTAAGAAAAAAAAGAGCCTCAGGGGTTATGCACATGGCCCCAAATCATGCAACCCAGTCAAGATCACAACCCCAGATGCCCAGCCCCTAGCCCTTTGTTCATTTTAGGACTAATGATTAAATAATCCCATATATGAAGACAAATTAAAAGCCAGCCTTGCAAGGGTATTTGACAAGGGAGTAGGAGAGAGGAGCGGAAGGATGCAGATAGAGTAACAGCCCTCCAAAGACGACTCCAAAAGCTTTCACGGCCACAGGGGCACTGCGAGGGTGATGAAATTCAGCATCTTGGCCGGGTGTGGCAGCTCATGCCTGTAATCTCAACACTTTGGGGGGATTACTTTTGGGAGGCTGAGGCAGGCAGATCACTTGAGGCCAGGAGTTCGAGACCAGCCTAGCTATCAAGGCAAAACCCCGTCTCTACTAAAATTACAAGAAAAATAGCCGGGCGTGGTGGTGCGCACCTGTAATCCCAGCTACTCGGGAGGCTGAGGCAAGAGAATCGCTTGAACCCAGGAGGCAGAGGTTGCAATGAGCCGTGATCGCACCACTGCACTCCAGCCTGGGCAACAGAGCGAGACTCCGTCTCAAAAACAAAAAGAAAAAATTAGGATCTTGAGATGAGCGTTAATCCTGGATCAATCCAGGTGGGCCCAATGTAATCACAAAGGTCCTTATAAGAGGAAGACGGGAGGGTCAGAGTCAGAAGCAGAGGAGGTCAAAGAGATGCAAGAAAGAGGCAAAACAAGCCGAGGAACACAGTGGCCTCTGGAAGCTGGAAGCGGTGAGGAAGCGCAGACTCCCCCACAGCCCCGTGGGAGCATGGGCCACTGACACCTACACTTTAGGACGCTGAATCTCGTATCTTAGCCCGAGTTTGTGGCAATTCGTCACAGCAGCAATAGGAAATTAGTACAAGGAGGTGTGTGAAAAGCAATTTGAAAGTGGTACTTTGTGGTTCACTGATTGACTCTGGAACTGGGGTCTCCACTGCAGGCACCTAAACCCAGACAAGTCCAGGGCTGTGGTTCCCAATTCTTGAGTGACATGAGAAAAACAAGAACCATGTAGGGAATTTTTTTAAATGAATCCAAAAGTATGTAATGTGAGAGGCTATCCTTTATTCTGATTATTTGGCCTTTCACAGTTGCCCCTTCTTAGGGGTTGAGGGCAACGACTTCTTGTCTCCTTTAAGAAGGATGAGGATGACAAATGGCATCTAAGATGTTGTCACCTGACATATGACGTACTACAAAGATGGTGGCCTTTTTGCTGATCGCTCAGTTTTGCTTCAATTTTCTGATCTGTTAGGGTCTGGGAACAACTCCATAGAGAACAAGCTCATGGCGTCCCATTCACATCCTGGCAAGGGTAGCACCAGCCTCCCTCTGGGTGGTGGGCTGAATGCCTACTACATTCTCCCTGGTCGAGTCCATCTTCATTTTATAATGGCCTGGCTGCCAATGAGCATCTTCAGGTCCACATGAATTTCTCAACCCTGGACAGCAGACTCCAGCGTAGAAGCTAGACACATTGTGTGAGATGTTAAGTGGGAAAAGAGACAGAGATAAACCAAGCGCCAAGTTCTTTGCTTGGATGATGTTTTGGTTTTTTGTTTTTTTCTTTTTCTAGGAGAGTGTGAAACAGCCTACAGTGAGTGGATCTTTTCCCTAAAATAAAAAATTAACAGGCTGCACTCATGCCTCATGCAGCTGTGCCTTATCAGAGACCTAAAAAGGTATTGCGATCACCTCTGTTCAGTCTCCTGATTGTCTATAAAAAAGCTGCCCAGGAAAATGCAAACCAAACCACAATGAGGTATTATCTCACCCCAGTTAGGATAGTTAGTATCAAGAAGACAAAAAAATAACAAATGCCAGTGAGGTGCAGAGATAAGAGAACTGTTAGACACTCGGTGGGAATATGCCATTATAGACAACAATATGAAGGTTCCTTAAAAAAACTACAAATAAAACCACCACATGACCCAGCAATCCCGCCACTGGGCATTTATCCAAAGGAAAGGAAATCAGTGTATCAGAGACACATCTGCAACCCCAAGGTTCTTGCAGCACTATTCATAATACCCAAGATACGCAGTCAACCTAGGTGTCCCACACAGATGAATAAAGAAAATCAACATAGGCGTCCAACAACAAATGAAGGGATACAAAAAAATGTGGTATATATACATAATGGAATACAATTCAGCCATTTAAAAAAAATAGAATCTTGTCATTCCCAACAACATGGATGGAATTGGAGGACATTAAGTGAAATATGATAGGAACAGAAAGTTAAACACCACATGTTCTCACTCATAGGTGGAAGCTAAAAAAACTGAGCTTATAGAAGTAAAAAGGAGAACAGAGGATACTAGAGCCTAAGAAGGGTAGGGGGGAAGTGGGGACAGGAGAAATTTGCTAAAGGATACGAAATTACAGCTAGATAGGAGAATTAAGTTCTAGTGATCTATAGCTCCTTAGGATGACTATAGTTAACCATAATATACCATACAGTTTTAAATGGCTGGAAGGAAGATACTGAAATGATAAACATTTGAGATGAGAGACATGCTAATTACCCTAATCTGATCACCATACTTCATATGTACCACATGAAGGTGTACCCCATAAATACATACAATTATTATATCATCTCAACTGATGCAGAGAAAACATTTAATGAAATGTAACACCCATTCAGGGAAAAGCAAAAAAAACAACTTGACTACTCTCACTTGAGAAAAAACATAGTAAGCCCATCAGCCCACTTCACAGATGAAAACAGAGGTCTACAGGGGCGTTGTGACTGGCTCAAGGTACACAGTGAGCTGATGGCAGCCCTGGGATCCTGGGACTTCCCTCCCAGGATATCTCACCACTCCACACTGCCTGGCCCAAGACTTCATCACCCCTCGGTGAGATGTACAGACTGTCTTCCCTTCTCTCCATCACCAGTTACCTTCCTGAACTCTCACTCCAAAGTCTGGGACCATTTCGCCGAGCATTCTGAATGATGGCTCATTTCTCCAGCACACAACCCATCTTTCCATCTCATCTCAGCCCCCTCACCCTCCTCGGCTCCACCTGCCCTGCCAGGCCTGCCACACGCTCCTCTGCAGCTGAAAATCCTTCCTCCCTCCGCCTCCGACTGCCCCACTTGTCTACAAGGCCTGCCTTTAATTCCACAGCCTTTTCCAGGCCCTAACAGAATTATTTCTCCCCCTACCAAGAAGAAGTTACACGCAGACCTAAATGAATGGCTTCCTTCTGAACTCCCTGTACACTCTGTGCCACCCCACAACCTTGTAGAGTTGCTCATCTGTAAGTCTGTCTCTCCCATCAGACACAAACTCCTTGAGGGAGGTAAATATTTATTAATCATTGGATTTCCCACAGTAGCTAAAACCATACCTTGCAGGCACTCAATAAAAATGCACTGAATTTAACCAGATCCCAAAGTACTCTTCCTCATGCAGTCTGAAAGAGGAAAAGCAAAAGCTGTAGCATTTGTTCGTCTTCAAAATGCTCTTGCCCTCTGCAAAAAGATACAGAGGCTGAGACTTAATCAGTAAGAAAGAGAAACACAATATTAGCTTTGCCAGCTCTGCTGTGGGTCTTTTTGATCTAAGGAGATAGCCCACCTGCCATCAGTGCTCAGGTCCATAGCCTCCCCAAAGCATCAAAGGCCAGGGGTGGCCATACGTTACTCCTTGAAATCAACTCGGCTCAGTCACTCTCTGTCTCACACACCACTGAAACATGATTTCAAGACTTCAAGTAGCAACTTAAACGTTAATTAATTCTTTTAAAGTCAATTTGTGAAAATTAATTGCTCTGTGTTCTCATTTCCTTTCTCTTGCCTTCAGTTGGAAACGCTTTTCAATGGTATGCATCTTCTCAGGGCTGGGGAAAACAAAGGCCACGTCCTCACACGGCCCAATGCCAGGGCCCTCCCTGTCTGTGCTCCTACAGGGTTTCACCCTAGGGCCATCCGCCTGGTCTCGAACTTCACACACCCTACACGTTTGCCTGGTCCATGCAGGTACCTTGCATTTCCTAAGCCTCCATAGGCCCCTGCGCTGGTCCACACTGAGCTGGGCTTGGAGAGAGGAGATAAGCCAGATGTAACCCCAGAGAGGAAATCAGCCTAAGCTAGGTCTCCAAGGAACAACCTTTCACTGAGCCATTCAGGAAACACCATGTAGAGAGAAACAGAACATTATACACACCCTTTCAACTTGACCCTGGGGCAGAGACCAGCCGTTTATAGCAACTTGGTGAAGATGGAGAACAAGTCAACTGTATTGTTGCAAACGGCTCAGTACCCAACATTACCCACTGTACTACTAGCGAGAATGTGATCCCAGTAGCCACAAATAAAAGGATAAATTCATCAGGCAGCTTTAGATGGCACCCACTTGGAGCTGGAGGCTGGGTTTCCTAAACTCTATCTTCAAAATCAAACTGGCAGCCACGCCATCACCAAGCTTCTACGACCTGTAGTAAAATCCTTCCACTGCTTTTGTCTGGGGGCAAATGCCTTAGGCTGGATTAGAGCCTCCTAGAGAGATGAGCCTGAATGGTAGCACTTACTGTATCACACTGCCACCATTTAATCACCTGTGCCTCTTCCACTTGACTGTGAGCCTCTCAAGGACAAAATCTGCATCTTATTTTTCGCAATCATCTAAAAACACCTGGCACACAGCAGGCCTTGGAAGGAAGGAAGGGAGGAAGGGAGGGAGGAAGGAAGGAAGGAAGGAAGGAAGGAAGGAGGGAAGGGAAGGGAAGGGAAGGGAAGGGAAGGGAAGGGAAGGGAAGGGAAGGGAAGGGAGGGAAGGAGAGGGAGAGGAGGGAAGCGAAAGGACGGAAGTGAAGGGAGGGAAGAGAGGGAAGGAAGTTTCTTAGAGCCTGGTTATAATGGTGTTATTAAAAGTATTGTCTCTAATATTTTTTTAAAGATGAACTGAATAAAAGCAATAACATACTTGGGAATAATCTTAAGGAGGTACAGACTTGTAAACTAAAACTAACGAAATGTTGCTGAGAGAAATAAAAGACATGAACAAACTGAAAAATATTTGTGTTCATGGAGTGGGAGACTTAATATTGTTAAGATGTCAATGCTGATCCGAAACGATCTACAGATTCAGTGCAACTCCTATCAAAATCCCAATGACACTTTCCACAGAAATAGAAAAACCCATCTCAAAGGTCCCAGATTAGCCAAAACAATCTTGAAAAACAAAAACAAAATTGGAGGCCCGATTTCAATACCTACTACAAAGCTACAGTAATCAAAACAGTGTAGTACTGTCATAAAGACAAATATACAGACAAATGGGATAGAACAGAGAACTCAAAAGTAAACCCTCACATAGAAAGTCAAATGATTTCAACAAGGATGCCAAGACTATTCAATGGGGAGAGGACAGTCTTTTCCACAAATGGTGCTGGGAAAACTGGATATCCACTTGCAAAAAAAAATGAAGTTGGATTATTATATCATTCACAAAAATTAACTCAAAATGGATGAAAGACCTAAACATAAGAGCTAAAACTATAAAATTCTTAGAAGAAAACACAGAGGAACAACTTCATGACACTGGATTTGGCAATGATTTACTGGATATTATATCAAAAGTACAGGCAACAAAAGAAAAGATAGCTAAGTTAGACTTCGTCAAAATTAAAAACTCTTGTGCATTAAAGAATATTATTAACAGAGAGAAAAGGCAACCTACAGAAGGGGAGAAAGTATTTACAAATCCCCTATCTGTTAAGGGAATGGTATCCAGAATATATAAAGAATTCCTGGGGGCTGGGCGCCATGGTTCATGCCTGTAATCCCAGCACTTTGGGAGGCTGAGGCAGGTGGATCACTTGAGGTCAGGAGTTAGAGACCAGCCTGGCCAACATGGTGAAATCCCAACTCTACTAAAAAAAATGCCAAAACTGGCCGGGTGCAGTGGTTCATACCTGTAATCCCAGCACTTTGGGAGGCCAAGGTGGGTGGATCACCTGAGGTCAGGAGTTAGAGATCAGCCTGACCAACATGGAGAAACCCCATTTCTACTAAAAATGCAAAATTAGTCGGGCATGGCGGCACGCGCCTGGAGTTCCAGCTACTTGGGAGGCTGAAGCAGGAGAATTGTTCGAACCGGGGAGGCGGAGGTTGCAGTGAGCCAAGATTGTGCCACTACACTCCAGCCTGGGCAACAAGAGCGAAACTCCATCTCAAAAAAAAAAAAAGAGTCGGGCATGGTGGTACATGCCTGTAGTCCCAGCTACTTGGGAGACTGAGGCAGGGGAATGGATTGAATCCGGGAGGCGGAGGTTGCAGTGAGCCGAGAGCGCACCACTGCACCCCAGCCTGGGTGACAGAGTGAGACCCTGTCTCAAAAAAATAAAAAAAGCAAAAACCAAAACAGAAAATAACAACCTTGGTAAGGACACGAAGAAACTGGAACTCTGCAAGTTACTGGTGGGCTCCAAAATGGTGTAGCTGCTGTGGAAAGCAGCAAATTACCATGAGATCCAGCAATTCCACTTCTGGATACCTACCCAAGAGAACCAGAAGCAAGGTCTGGAATAGATATTTGCACATCCATGTTCACAGCAGCATTATTCACAACAGCCAAAAAGTGGAACTAACCCAAGTTTCCATCAACAGGTAAATTACTCAACAACATGTTACACATACATACAGTGGAATATCCATCGGCCTTAAAAGAAAGGACATGTTGACACATTACAACACGGGTGAACCTTGAAGACACTGAAGATATTATGCTGCATGAAATAAGCCAGTCACAGACAAATACAGTACGATTCCACTTACATGAGGTTCCTCTTCCTCGAGTTGTCAAACTCAGAGACAAGTAAGAAACGAAAGTAAGAAAGGGGGTTGCCAGAGGCTGGGAGGACGAAGGAGTGAGTTAGTGTTTAATGGGTGCTGAGTTTCACTGGGGAAGACAGAGTTGTATTTTTAGTAGAGACAGCGCTTCTCTATGTTGGCCAGGCTGGTCTCCAACTCCTGACCTCAAGTGATCCGCCCGCCTCAGCCTCCCAAAGTGCTGGGATTACAGGTGTGAGCCACCGCGCCTGGCCCCACCCCACATTTCTAAAAAGGACACCACTTTCAAAGTCACCAAGTCACTCCTTTTGGGTTCATATCTTTCTTAGGAACAGAAAGATTGTGGCTCTGCCAGTAGAATCCCCTGAGGCAGTATTTCATGCAATGTTTGGGTAACAGAATCAAGGAGTCATCTACCTAATTAAGGAAACAGAGCTAGCTGGGCCTGGTGAGACAGAGGAACCATCATTTGTTATTCAATATTTCTTTTTGGCTTTTGGTTGGAAACAGGTGGGAGGGATGGTGAAGATAAGAATGTGAAAAGAAATATACAAAAGAGCCTTTCCTCACATTCTAACTGAACTGATAGACACAGTAAAAGACATTTTAATATCTTTCTTCGGAATAAAATATCTCTGTATGCCTTATCCACAACTAGCAGCAACTATCTTATTTCTTTTTTTTTTTCTATTGGGTTCATATCTACATGTATATATCTATACGTATAGATATACACACGTATATATCTATGTGTGTGTGTGTGTGTGTATATACACATATATACGTATATATGTGTCTGTGTGTGTGTGTGTGTATATATATATATATATATATATTTGAGGGTAGGTCTGTTTATAATTCACAAATAAAGCCAGCAATCATCCAATCATCCCAGAAGAGGCTTTGTCATTATGCAAATATAAACAGATGAGTTCTTGCCAAACCAAACCAGAGTCCCCATGCGCCCTCCAACTTCAGGCCTTGGTCCACAGCCCTACCTCTCCCCAGCTTGGCTCTCCAGGTCCCCATCACCTCTGGATGAAACCCTTCCCTGCCACTCCCCCACGACAGTCAGAGGCCTCATGTGAGCGCTCAACAGCAGCCTTGCACATCCCGACAATATACCGCCAGGCGACTGCTCACTGCTGTCCGTGCCTGTCACATAGCAGGTGCCCAATAAAGGCTTCTCAAGTGCAGCCACCACTGAGGACCCCTCCTCTAGCCTCCTGTGCCATGCCCCCACTACAATACCACATGGCTGGTGACCCCTTGACCTCTCTGTACCTCACACCTGCATCTTCTCCATCTCAGCAGCCATGCCTAACAGTGCCTGGCACCTGGAGTGCCACAAATGCTCACTGAGTGAATCACTTAATAAATAAATAGAGGAAGTCAAGGCAGTAAAACTATTACCTGAATGTTAAACCCACTGGAAACCACTGCGGCTTTGCTTGTACTTACTTCAAGCAAATAAATGCGGTGGCTCGTGCCTGTAAGCCCCAAGCGGGCGGATCACCTGAGGTCAGGAGTTCGAGACCAGCCTGACCAACATGGTGAAACCCCATCTCTACTACAAATACAAATTAGCCGGGCATGGTGGCGCATGCCTGTAATCCCAGCTATTCTGGAAGCTGAGGCAGGAGAAACCCGGGAGGCGGGGGTTGCAGTGAGCCGAGATTGCACCATTGCACTCCAGTCTGGGCAACAAGAGCAAAACTCCGACTCAAAAAAAAAAGAAAGAAACTAAAGAGCAGACCAGGATCTTGACTAGCAAAGACAACTTCCAACAGTCTAACCAGGTAGGCATGTCCTGGAGATCCAACCCCTATGTCCAGAAACAAAGCACACTCTATTTCACTTGAACAAATGGTGCTAACGATCCTCCCCAGGGCAGCTATACACACCCTCAAGGAGCTGTAAGCAGCAGCAAAGACTGAGGAGGTCACGCTGGCTCTGATCCAGGGCCCACCTGGGGAAGATGCAGCCTGGCACGTCAGAGGGTCTCCCCTTCCATGTGTGGGCTAAACTCTGATTTTTTTTATCTAGTCCAAATTCGTGTCTAAGGGGTCTGGGAAGTCATGCCCCACAAATCATAAATTCTCATCAGATGGGTTTTATATAACCCTATATATCGTGATTTACTTTCCAACCTGACTCTGGCATAACATTATGAGACAAAGAAGAAAATCAAAATATTTTACCCCAAAACATGTTTCTTTGCCATATTTTAAAATGGCCCTGCAAAGCTGTTTTGTGGGGGAAAACTTGTATCTGTAAAGAATCTCTATTAACATAGCTAGATCTTTTTATTCCAGACCCTAAAAAGATTAAGATCTGAATAGGAAACATTTGTCACCTATTGTCTCTAAGGGCACCCACTGTAAGACTTCAAAAGAACATTGGTCTCCACAATCTTTATCTTAACTTGAACTTTCCCTTTCTATCTATCCCAGTTCTTTAGACAAACTCAACCAATTGTCAACCAGAAAATGTTTAAATTCACCTACAGCCTGGAAGCCCCTGCTTTGGAATGTCCCGCCTTTCTGGACCAAACCAATGTATTTCTTCATGTATTTGATTGATGTCTCATGCGTCTCTAAAATGTATAAAATCAAGCTGCACCCCGACCGCCTGGGGCACATGTTCTCAGGACCTCCTGAGGGCTGTGTCACGGGCCATGGTCACTCATATTTGGCTCAGAATAAATCTCTTCAAATATTTCACAGAGTTCGACTCTTTTTGACACAAAAACACTCAGCAGTGACCCTCCCCTGAACACATCTGAGCGGAGTGAAACAGCAAGAACTAAGCAGCGCCTCCCTCAGAATGAAGAAGATTCCTCATAGGTCCCCAACCCACTAGAATCAGGAAGGTGTCATAGAGCCCTGTGGCACATATTCTAGTATACTAATACCCAGGTGCCCAAAGGACTCAGCCTTCTAGAGAAAACCTACCTGCTTTACCTAACAGAGCCCTGACCCCACCAACGGCTCCAGAATACCCAGCCTCCGGTCCTGTAAATCAAGACATCATCACCTCTCGATCACCTTCTGTACAGATGTGGGAATACCCATTGTGCCAAAATGCCAAAACAGAGTCCCTGCTCTGGTCTCCATGAGCTGTGACTTCCCTGTCAACCTACCCTCTGTATGGCTGGCTTCTGAAGCCCCAACAAACCCTGTGAGTTTAAAATTACGGAGCCAAAGCAGCAACATTCCTGCGTATTACACAAAGACCGTGGACCATGACATCCAATATCTCTAACTACAGAAAAAAGTTCAACACCATGAGCCATGTAACAAATGGGCATATATACAGACATAAATATGCTCACATCCATCTACATGTATACACTCACATGTATGTTAGTGGTATAATAAAACACACAGTCTTTAGGTGATCAGCTCAGTGACTTTTATATAATTCTATACGCCGTGTACACCCAAGATAGGAAGAGATCCAGAAAGTACCCTCAAGCCCCTCTCTAGGAGATTTTTCTCCCAAAACACCATTTTCTAATTTTTATTACCATAGATAAGTCATAAATAACGGTCAATGCTTAAACTTCAAATACACGGAATCCTATGTGCTCCTTTATGTCTGACTTCTTCTGCTCAACATTTTGAGCCACATGAATGGTGTTGTATCAGTAGTTTGTTATTTTCTATTGTTGAATAGTATTCCATCATATCAACACATCACAATGTGTCTATCCATTCTCCTGTTGATGGACATTTGAGTTATTTGTTTCCAGGTTTGAGTTATTATAAATAAGGCTGCAGTCAGGCACAGTGGCTCACACCTGTAAAACCAGCACTTTGGAAAGCTGAAGTGGGAGAATCACTTGAGCCCATGAGATCGAAACCAGCCTGAGCAACATGGGAAGACTCCGTATCTACAACGAAATATATTAGCTAGGCATGATGGTGGGCACCTGCAGTCCCAGCTACTTGGGAGGCTGAGGCAGGATCACTTGAGCCCAGGAGTTGAGGGCTGCAGTGAGCTATGACCGTGCCACTGCAGTCAAGCCTGGGTGACAGAGTGATACTCTGGCTCTGAAAAAAATAAAAACGAAGATAAATAAATAAATAAGGCTGGATTGAACATTCCAGCGTGAACTGTTTTGTGAATCTGTTTTTGGCCCATGGAATTTCCACTTTGATGGGAGGCGTTTGCACTTTTGGAGAAGTTGCACATGCCAAAGGCATCTTCAGGTGAGCCAGCAGCCCAGTGCCGTCCCCAAGCCTGAAGGGTGACACCTCTGTCCATACTGCAACCAGGAGGGAGAAGACAGGGAAAGGCAGCCACGCCAGGGACTCGCCAAAAAATATTTGGTTTCTTTGTAGTTGCTTGAAATTCCTCCTCTGTCGTTGTTACATTATTTAGCTTTGATAAAAAAGTAAAATTGAAGATTAAAAACCAATCGAGCCCTCTGTGAGGAAAACAATAAAGCCTAGTGCCTGTTGGCACAGGCTGCTGGAGAGGACCCCCTTGCAGAGACCCCTTCCCCGCTTTCCCCCGTCGGGTGCAGCCTGTGCCCAGGGAGAGCCCATGTTCCCTCCAATGTGGGGGCTTCTCAGGTGACAAAGCACTTTGCCTCCTCCCTGTGGGCTCTGGCCTGAGCCTCCTCTAGGACCCTAGAGAGAATGCCCATTTTCAAGGCTGGTGGCCCCCCACTGCTCAGGCAAAATCTCTGGAACTCTGCAGACCAGCCTGGCCACTCCCTCCCTCTGAGCCAAGCACTCAGCCTCTGGAATCAAGACATGGACTCGGTCCCAAACCCCTGTTCTGTGCCCTGACAAGCAACACAAACTCTGTGAAGCTCAGTTTCTCCCTCCATGAAATGGGAGGATGACAGCAAAGGGGTCCCTGGTGAGTGTGTATTAGCTCCTGCATATGAAGGTCCATCCAGCCGGGGCCACCCTACATGTGCACAATAAACATTTGCTTAGATTTTAAGACGGCCCCAGTGCGAGCTGAGGAGCTGCTTTTCTCTCCCAGCAAGGCACGTGGGCGGGGAGCAAGGATCTGCAGTGTCTTGCCATCTTCCCACTGAGCAGCTCAGCCGGGCCCAGCTCCTGTTCCTGTGCTCCCCTCCTGAGCCCCTCTCCTCCCACTCACTCAGCTGCACCAGGACCTGGTACAGTCACTTCTAACTAGACAGAGGGTAGATGCTCGTAGGCTGTAGGCCTTAGCACAAGAAGGTACGAAGTCACTCTCAGATCCTAAAGGTCAGGACACACAGGACCTTCTGCTGGTGAAATCTCAGGCTTCCAGAAGTCCCAACGGGGCAGAGCTCTGGAGGGAGAAGTCTGCTCAGATGTGTTTGCACACCTCAGATGCTGACTGCTGATGAGCTCTTCTGAGGCACAGGCGGCCCAGACATAGCCCTCTTGTTCCCAGGCAGATCAGCAACTGCACAGTGGCAGCCTGGGCCTGGCCCAGATGCGCCGGCTGCAGAGACGCGGGCATTTCCATACTTGCAGACCGAAACTGAACAGTGGCAGAGAGTCCATCCCAGCACAGCCTTGGAGGAGGGAGCCAAGGCTCCCGACTTGACCAGACCTGGGCTGCCTGCCTTTGTCATCTGTTTTAACAGGCATATGGACAGGTCTCACCCAAAGGCTACCCTCAACACCACTATTTGAGCCAGCTAGTGTGCAGTGTCAGTTCCCAGAGGACACAAACGAATCTTTCCTTAGTTAACTGCTTGATAAATTTTCCTTCCCTAGAGAGCACCCAAAAAGTGTGTGGTAAGCCGCCCTTCACAGAGTGAGCCACTGAACTGCTCACAGCCCCTGTGCAACGTGACCACTCGGCAGGAATACAGATTCTAGGTAAGGCACTAAATAAAACAGCGGAAGCCAAGACAGCCATCCCTCCTGCCTGCCAGCTCACTGCACACAGAGCTACTCTGCCCCAGATCTGGGCCTTCTGGGAACCACCTTTAACCCCAGACAGCGCCAGCCTGTCTTCCCCAGCAGCTTAAACTGACACCTGGCCAAACCCTTGTGCCCCGAACATGGGCGGGGCTCCACAGAACACCCAGGCTGCATCAGTTCCCAGCAGGACTGGCTACAAAATGTTCACGGCCCAAGGCAAAATGAAAATGTAAAGGCCTTTGTTCAAAAATTATGATAAATTACTGGCTCACGCCTGTAATCCCAGCCCTTTGGGAGGCCAAGGTGAGCGGATCATTGGAGGCCAGAAGTTTGAGACCAGCCTGGCCAACATAGTGAAACCCCTTCTCTACAAAAAGGACAAAATTTAGCCGAACATGATGGTGCATGCCCATAATCCCAGCTACTTGGGAGGCTGAGGCACAAGAATCACTTGAACCTGGGAGGCAGAGGTTGCAGTGAGCTGAGAATGCACCACTGACTCTAGCCTGGGCAACAGAGCAAGACTCCATCTCAAGAAAAAAGAAACAAAAAACAAAAACTGTGATACATTTGGAGATGATTAGGATGGCTATTATTTAAATAAATAACAAATGTTGGTAAGGATCTGAAGCAGCAGAAACCCTTGTGCACTGGTCACAGGAATGTAAAATGGTGCAGCCGCGGAAAAACCGTTTGGCAGTTCCTCAAAAGTTAAATATACAACTACTATATGATCAGGCAATACCAACATAACTGAAAGCGGGGACTTGAACAGAAACTTGTACACCAAGGTTCACAGCAGCATTATTCACAATAGCTAAAAGGCAGAAGCAACCCAAATGTCTATCAACAGATGAATGGATAAAACGTGGTATGTACATATAATGAAATACTACCCACACCTAAAAAAGGAAATTCTGACACATGCTACAATGTGGATGAACCTTGAGGACATTGTGCTGAGTGAAATAAGCCAGTCACAAAAGGACAGAAGCGTGTGATCCTACTTACACGAAGTTCTTAGAGTAGTCACTTGCATAGAGACAGAAAATAGCACGGCGGCTGCCAGGGGCTGGGAGGAGGAGGGAATGGGAGTTAGTGTTTAATAGGAACAGAGTCTGTCTTCAGGAAGAAGAAAAGAGTTCTGGCAATGGATGGTGGTGATGGTTGCCCAACAACGTCAGTGTGTTTAACGCCACTGAACTGTACACCTAAAAATGGTTCAAATGGGAAATTTTAGGTTATATATATCTTGCCACAATAAAGAAAATAGAAAAAACATTTCAAGATGTGACAGCAGAGCCCAGGACTGTTCTGAGGTTGTGGAGGGTCCTACATAGCAGCCCAGGCCTCAGGCCCCTGCATCGGCTGTGATTCCCAAGAAGGCCTCTCTTTCCAGGACTCAGCTGCCTCATCTGCAAGGGCAGGCCTCTCCAGCAGTGCTGCTCTGAGCCTGATGAGCAATGTTATATTTTAATAGTCATTTCAATTGACTATAAAAATACAGCAACACATAATAAGATTGCTTTTGCACCACAGTAGAAATACTTAGCAAGAGATGAGAAATACTCAGCAAGAGGCTATAAAACCCTGTTTGCTTGCTTACAGAGGTGCTGCTGGGCAGGACGAAAGCACACAAGGATAAAGGGCAGGCAGGGGAGACTTTGCCCAGAAAGCGCCCACGACAGTGTGTCCACCATGACACCCAACACACAGGACCACTCGGAAGTTTTAAAAATGTACCGAGCAAACTACTGAACATCTCTCCACATTTTCTGTTTGTTTCATTTTTAGCTTTTAAAGCTCCATCGGCTCTGACATCAGAAAACACTCCTCTCCCTGCAGTTCCCCAATGCTCCACCTGACTCACCTGTAACATGTTTCAGGTGACATCAAAGCTGACCACTGAGCAGCCACACACCCTCTAACCCCAACACACGTGGAACAAGGCTTCCCCCACCAACACAGCTCCAGGGAAAAATCTCAACCACAAATGAGGGACGTTCTACCCACACTCATTCCCAGGAGGCCTATGCCACGAAGGCATTCAGCTGAAAAATGGGAGCTCCACTGATGACAGTGTACTAACACCAGCACCTCCCCTGCCATCACCACTGATTAACAATACTACCACCACCACCACCATCAGCAGTACTACCACCACCAACATTACCAAAACTGCTATCAATAATATTGCTACCACTACCACCTCCACTGCCATCACCACCTCCACCGCCATCACCACCGATAACAATACTACCACCACCACCATCACCAATACCACCACTACCAACACTATGAAAAATACTACCAACAATACTACCACAACCACCATCACTGACAATACTACCACCACTACCACCTCCACTGCCATCACCACTACCACCACACCACACCACAACACTACCACCACCACCATCACCAATACCACCACTACCAACACTACTAAAAATACTACCAACAGTACTACCACCACTACCACCTCCACTGCCATCGCTGCCAATAACAATACCACCACCACCAACACTACGAAAATTACTACCAATACTTCCACCACCACCATCACCAATACTTCACAACCATCACCAAAATACTACCACCACTACCAAAAATACTACCACCACTACCAAAAATACTACCACCACCAGCAGCACCAACAATACTACCACCACCAACACTACATCACTAACTATACTACCAACAATACCACCAACAAAAAATACTACCACTACCATCACCAACAATACTACCAACAATAACAATACTATCACCACCACCATCACCTACAATACTACCAACAATAACAATACTACCACATCACCAACAATACTACCAACACTACCACCACCACCATCACCAACAATACTACCAAGAATAACATCACCAACACTACCAACAATACTACCACATCACCAACAATACTACCACCAATACTACCAATAACAACATCACCAACACTACCAACAATACTACCACATCACCAACAATACTACCAACAACAACAATACTACCAATAACAACATCACCAACACTACCAACAATACTACATCACCAACAATACTACCAAGAATAACATCACCAACAGTACCAACAATACTACATCACCAACAACACTACCACCAATACTACCACCACCATCACCAACCGTACTACCAAGAATAACAACACCAACACTACCAATAATACATCACCAACAATACTACCACCAATACTACCACCACCACCATCACCAACAATACTACCAAGAATAACATCACCAACACTACCAACAATACTACCGCCACATCACCAACACTACCAACAATACTACCAACAGTAACAATATTACCACCACCATCACCAACAATACAACCAACAATAACAATACTACTGCCACCACCACCATCACCTACAATACTATGAACAATAACAATGCTATTACCATCACCATCACCTACAACACTACCAACAATAACAATACTACCGTATCACCAACAATACTACCACCACCATTGGTTACTTGGTGTACACCCTATATAAACGAAGAGGCTGGCCAGGCATGGTAGCTCATGCCTGTAATCCCACCCCTCTGGGAGGCCGAGGTGGGCGGATCACAAGGTCAAGAAATTGATACCATCCTGGCCAACATGGTGAAATCCCATCTCTACTAAGAATACAAAAATTAGCTGGGCCTGGTGGTACACATCTGTAGTCCCAGCTACTCAGGAGTCCGAGGCAGGAAAATCGCTTGAACCCAGGAGGCGGAGGTTGCAGTGAGCCGAGATCGCACCACTGCACTCCAGCCTGGGTGACAATAGTGAAACTCCATCTCAAAAAAAAAAAAAATGAAGAGGCTGAAGTAAAGTTACATAGTCATTTACTCAGTGTACACCCAATGTAAATGAAGAGATTATTTCCTGTCACAGCGTGTTTCCATTTGATTTAGTTCTAGGAAGTCCTTAGGTCTTCTGCCTCCAGGCTCTATTCTTCTGCCTCAATACTAGTAATACCAACAACAATACTTACTACTACTACCATTGTCACCAATACTACAAACAACAATACTACCACCAACAATACCACCACCAACACTACCAAAAACACTACCAACAATACTACCACCACCACAATCACCACCAACACATCACCAACAATACTACCAACAGCAATAATACCAACAAAAACAACATTACCACCATCACCACTATCACCAACAATACTACGAATACTACCACTACTACCAATACTACCAACACTACCAACAATACTACCACCACCACTATCACTAATATTAGCAATACTACTACCATCACCAATACTACCACCACCACTACCAATACTATCAACAATACTACCATCACCACTATCACCAACAATACTACCAACAATACTACCACTACTAACACTACCAATACTACCAACAATACTACCACCACCACTATCACTAATATTACCAACAATACTACCACCATCACCAATATTACCACCACCACTACCAATACTACCACCATCACCACTATCACCAACACTACTACCAGTAATACTACCACCAACAACCATGCTAACACTACCAACAATACTACCAACAACACTACCACCACTATCATCAATACTAAAAACACTACCAAAAACAATACTACCACCACCATCACCAATACTACTACTACCAACAATACTACCACCTTCACCACCCCCACCAACATCAATACTACCAACACAATCACCGCCAGCAATGTTACCACCACCACCATCACCGCCAACAGCAATACTACCAACCACCATCATCAACAATAACATCACCAACATCACCAGCACCACCGCTATCACCAGTACCACCATCATCATGGTAGAGTTAAACTTCATTCTGCCCTGGGAAAGACCAGAAACTCCAACGAACACTTGACGCATTTCCTCACATCATCCCATATTAACCCTATGAAGTGGGGCTAACAAAAACCCCATTTCTGCACACAAAGACTCTGAGGCAAAGAGCAGGAGGAAGGAGGGCATGCTGCCGCCCCACCTCCAGGCATCATGTGGCCTTGCTCTGAGAACAGCACTCCCAGCACATCCCAAACAAAGAGTAACTGTACTGCTGCGTCCACAACAAAGGCTGCAGAGTCCCTCTCTCTGCAACCGATTTCCCTTTGCTTCAAAGGGACAGTGACAATTCTGGGCACTGTCAAAGGCCCCATTGCCCTTATTCCAGAAAGCCCTTGAGACAAGATGAAATAACAATTCCATTAATCCCATGAATGGAACCCCAGTCTAAAGGAGAGAGAGCCTTTACATGTCACAGCTAGGCTAAGCTGACCCTGCAGGCAAGCACAGACCAGACCTCCAATCATCCAGTCAATCCAGACCAACAAACCAATATTTACCACCCAAGATCCCAGGTAAGAACTGCCACCCAAAGAGGAGACAAGACATGACACAGATAAGCTGTGGCGAACTCGAATTAGGAACCTGCTCTCCAAATAACACAACTAGGAAAAGCTGTAATGAGAGCTATTAGCCCCTTACCATGGAACAGCCACTGACTGCTTCTCGTGGACTACCTAATTTATCTAATTTCATTATCACAAAAACTTTACAAGGGAGGGATTACTACTCATTCCCATTTCACAAATGGAAAAAAAAAATGAGGCTTAGAGAGGATGTTAGATGGCTCCTCAAAGACGCAGGTCTAGAAGGTGGGAGAAACCTGCTTTGGGGGGCTAATGTTTCTGACCCAGCTTCTGTCCCTAGCCACAACACTGCATGCTGCATAACACGCGGCTCCACACTCTAAAAAAGCACAGCCCTCCCATCGAGAGCCAGACAGAGCTTTGCCTCTCTGGCCACTCTCCCTTTGGTGCTCCCCAAATAGCCCTCATAAAACCAGCCAGAGACATGTCAAAACAAAAGTCACAAGAAATATCACCCAATATCATACAAGGACTGTCACAAGCAAACCTTGTCACAAAGTCCTTTTTAGGTGAAATATTCTTGAGTAATACTTTTCCCCTCCAGATCCTTCCTGCATCAGTCAAACGCCTACATTTTGCTGTCTAACATGAATTTATAGTTATAGCACAGAAAGGACATTCAACACCCGATGCTCTCATCACAGAGAGATCCAACCATGTCCCAGCTCTGCCCTTGCTGCTCTGAAATTAAGCAGGGGATGTACTGATGCCCTGGGAAAAAGGAATTCACAAGAATGGGTCTCATCATAGGACCAACCCTCCCTCACACACCTACCCACTTTGGACTGCCATGTATAGTTGGTAGGTGTGTTCACTGCCAAAGGCTCAGGGCTGAAGGGACACGTGGGAGCCGAAATCCTGCCTGGGTTGCACTTGTCAAGCAACATGTCCAACCAAGAAGTGCCTTCCTGGAATCCCCAGAGGCACTAGACAGCTTAGGGGCTGTCCTGCGGCTCCCCATTCCCCACAGGGAGAGGGCTGCAGGAGAGCAGGAGCTGGGTGTGTTAACCCCATGTCCCCCAACCCAGGTCACCTTCAATAAACACCTTCGGGAATCAATGGAGATGGATCAGCAAACAAGTGCAGAGGGGAACCCAGAGTGCCAGGCAGGCAGCAAGGGCAGGATGCACCTCCCCCCAGCAGAACGTGCACCACTCCCAGAAAGGGGAGGCCAGGATCCCGAAGGGTGGCCAGGGAACCAAAGCAAAGACGAAAGCTCAGTTACAAAGGGAACAGGGTCCAGGGGGTGGGCCCGGGCCACTGAAAGGGATTCTGAAAGCCCAGCTTGCGGGGCCCAGGCATACAACCAGCTCCAGACCTGCCTTCTCACGCAACCCCAGTACTACCCTGGGCCAGGCCCAGCACACATATCCCCAACCTCAGGAAAGGCATAGGGGGCAAGGTTCCCTTTGAGGGAGAGGATGGAAAATCCAGCCCAAAGGATCAGAGCAGCTCACAATGATTCCAGGGAGGGGAAGCTTGGGATCCAGGCTGGATGGCAGCTGCACAGCTGGGCGCCCGCATCACAGGCTCCGAGAGGTGAGGATTCCTGGGAAGCAGTGCCTCTGGCTCAGCATACCTGACCCTGCAACCCCACATCGGGAAACTTTCCTTCTCCATCTGTGGCCTGGAGCATTTTGAGGGCCCTGTTTCAGGGTGCCTATCCCGACCCCACCCCACGTAAAAAAGAGGTTCATCCAGATGCCCTCAAAAGGCCCGGCTGGACAGTATTACCACCTTCATCACCCTCACCAGCAACATCAGTACTACCAACACAATCACCACCAGCAGTATTACCACCACCACCACCATCACCACCAACAGTAATACTACCAACCACCACCATCACCACCAACAGTAATACTACCAACCACCACCATCACCACCAACAGTAATACTACCAACCACCACCATCACCACCAACAGTAATACTACCAACCACCACCATCACCACCAACAGTAATACTACCAACCACCACCATCACCACCAACAGTAATACTACCAACCACCACCATCACCACCAACAGTAATACTACCAACCACCATCACCACCAACAGTAATACTACCAACCACCACCATCACCACCAACAGTAATACTACCAACCACCACCATCACCACCAACAGTAATACTACCAACCACCACCATCACCACCAACAGTAATACTACCAACCACCACCATCACCACCAACAGTAATACTACCAACCACCACCACCACCACCAACAGTAATACTACCAACCACCACCACCACCACCAACAGTAATACTACCAACCACCACCACCACCACCAACAGTAATACTACCAACCACCACCATCACCAACAGTAATACTACCAACCACCACCATCACCACCAACAGTAATACTACCAACCACCACCATCACCAACAACAGTAATACTACCAACCACCACCACCACCACCAACAGTAATACTACCAACCACCACCATCACCACCAACAGTAATACTACCAACCACCACCATCACCACCAACAGTAATACTACCAACCACCACCATCACCACCAACAGTAATACTACCAACCACCATCACCACCAACAGTAATACTACCAACCACCACCACCACCACCAACAGTAATACTACCAACCACCACCATCACCAACAGTAATACTACCAACCACCACCACCACCACCAACAGTAATACTACCAACCACCACCATCACCACCAACAGTAATACTACCAACCACCACCACCACCAACAGTAATACTACCAACCACCACCATCACCACCAACAGTAATACTACCAACCACCACCACCACCACCAACAGTAATACTACCAACCACCACCATCACCACCAACAGTAATACTACCAACTACCACCATCACCACCAACAGTAATACTACCAACCACCACCATCACCAACAGTAATACTACCAACCACCACCATCACCACCAACAGTAATACTACCAACCACCACCATCACCACCAACAGTAGTACTACCAACCACCACCATCATCAACCACATTACCAGCACCACCATCATCATGGCAGAGGTAAACTTTATTCTGCCCTGAGAAAGACCAGAAACACCATGGAATACCACATCATCCCATATCAACCCTATGAAATAGGGCTAACAGCAATCCCATTTCTGCACGCAAAGACTGAGGCAAAGAGCAGGAGGAAGGAGGGCATGCTGCTGCCAAGCCTCCAGGTACCAGTCCTTGGACCGCATCTCTCCCCAGTCATGGGCCAGGGATGGGGGGACAGGATCAGACCTGCATTCTCACTGCATTGATCTGCTTCACAATGAGCGTCTGATCCAAGAAGTGAGCCTGTCCGCTGTGACCGTGAGATGGGCACTAACGCACTTCCTCCAGCAAAGAGTGGACAAGTTGTTCACAACAGTCAAATGCTGGGAAGAAACCATGTCACAAGTGTCCATCAAGAGATGAACAAATTAAACAAAATGTGGCTAATGCATACAGTGAAATATTCTTCAGAGCAAGGAAGTGTTGACGTGTGCTGTGACATGGATGAACCCGGAAGATACTGTGCTCTGCGAAATTAGCCAGGCACAAAAGGACAAATACTGTGCAATTCCGTTCCTATGTGGCTCCTAGAGTAGTCAAATTCAGAGACAGAAAATATAATAGATTAGAAGTTAACGGAGGCTGAGGGGACAGGGAATGGAAAGTTAGCTTTTTCTTTTTTTAGATGAAGTCTCGCTCTGTTGCCCAGACTGGAGTGTAGTGCTGCGATCTCAGCTCACTGCAACCTCCGCCTTCCGGGTCAAGCGATTCTCCTGCCTCAGCCTCCCAAGTAGCTGGGATTACAGGTGCCCGCCACCACATCCAGCTAATTTTTGTATTTTTAGTAGAAATGGGGTTTCACCATGTTGGCCAGGCTGGTCTTGAACTCCTGACCTCAAGTGATCCACCCACCTCGGCCTCCCAAAGTGCTAGGAATACAGGCATGAGCTACCGTGTCTGGCCAAGAATTAGCTTTTAACGGATACAAAGTTTCTGTCTGGGACGGTGAAAGTCTTGGAAACAGAGAATGAGTAGCACAACACTGTAGATGTATTTAATGCCAATGAAATGTGCATTTTTAAAGGGTTAAAGGGGAAAATTCTATGTTATATATATTTTTCCCATAAATTTAAAAAATTAATGTAATATGCCAAAAACCACTGAATGGCAGACTTTTACAGTGGATACCCTGCATGGTATGTGAGTAACTGCTCGAGAAAGCTGTTTAAAAAGAGTCCAGAGCGTCTCTGCCTATGAACGTTCATCAGCAAGTGAATGCCGCAAACCACACCTGAGCATTCCAAGTTGTTACGCTCAATAAAGCACTGCGGCAATCATGAGATGCACGGCAGAGGTGTGCCCAAAACCCCCTGCTCTTGGCCACTCCGACACTGAACTGCCTGCATCAGCAAAGTGCCAGAAACTTCGAAGAAACTGCTCACGACCGCCAGCCATACAGTATGTGCACCTGCACCCAAGTGGATTCATGAACACGTGTTTCTTGGGACTGGAAAAAGAGGCCGGTGGCAGCAAAACCAGATGCACAGCTGAGCATGTCCACAGGTAAAGAGTATTTGACTCACTCCATTCATTTCCTAAAAGAAAATCCATAAAAATGATCCCGTTGAGTATGGGCTGGACCTAGTGACTCACTTCTAGCCAATAAAATACTGCCAGTGATGGGCTGTCACTTCCATGATTCAGTTACAAAAGGGCTCTGACTTCTGCCTTGTGTGCACTCTCTCTCTCTCTCTCCCTCTCTCTCTCTCTCTTTCCCCTTCTCCCCTCTTTCCCTCTCCCCCTCTCCGCTGCACCCTCTGCCTCCCACTCACCTGCTGTGACAAAACCAGCCCTACATGAGCTGCCCCTATGGAGAGGCCCACGTGGGAAGGAAATGCAAGTACCCTCTGCCAACAGCCACCAAGAAAGTGAATCCTGCCAACACCACCATGTGAGCTCAGAAGCTGATTCTCCTCCAGTAAGACCCTGAAATGACTCTGTCCCCCGTGGACACCTTAAATACAGCCCTTCAGAGGGCCTGAGCTGGGGGCCCAGCTAAGCCACACAGAAACTGGATAAAAAACGTTTTCTGGCCAGGCACGGTGGCTCACACCTGTAATCCCAGCACTTTGGGAGGCCGAGGCAGGCGGATCACAAAGTCAGGAGTTGGAGACCAGCTTGACTGACATAGTGAAACCCCGTCTCTACTAAAAATACAAAAATTAGCCAGGTATGGTGGTGCACGCCTGTAATCCCAGCTACTCAGGAGGCCGAGGCAGGAGAATCGTTTGAACCCGGGAGACAGAGGCTGCAGTGAGCCCAGACTCTGCCACTGCACTCCAGCCTGGGTGACAGAGAGAGGATCAGTCTCAAAAACAAAAACATTGTTTTCAGCTCCTAGGTTTTGGTGTGATCTGTTACACAGCTGTTGATAACACCCTCTCCAGCTTCTTACTGAGAGCTCTCTTGTCTTTTTGCAGCCAAGTCTCTGTGGCGACATTGCCCACACGAGCCCCAATCCACCTCGCCACTGATACGTGCCCTGCAGAGCCGAGGGCACCCTAGCAATGACACTCTTCCTTCTTTTCCTTCCCAGTCACTTCCTCCTCAGGCTTGGTGTCCTCCCTGGGCCTCCGCTCCCCGGTCTCCTCCATCTCAGTCCTTTGCGCAGTTGTTCTTTGGGACTCCAGCTCCTCAGCTTCTCCTCACTTTCCAAACCCTCCCACACAGGTCATCTCTGGAGGCTTCCATACGCATCTTCGTGCTGACTCCCAACTGCGTAAACTGCTCCAGCCACCCAACAGCTGCCTCGGCAGGTCCGCTTGCAAGGTTCAGAGACCACACATGGCTCTGCGTGCTGAGGGCTTCCTGCAGCAAGCATTTCCTACTGTCTACCACGGGCACAGCCCTGCACCCTGTGCCCAGTGCTGGGGAAGAACTGTACCCTGAGTTCATCCTTCTCCAGGACCACCGGAGACCAGCAGCCCCTGCATCCAGGCCTAGACACTTCCCTCCCCTCGTCTACAACCAATCAGTCAGGACATGGCACTCCTTATCCTCCTAATATTCTCAAACCCACTGGCTCCTCCCCACCCCCACCACCATCAACCCCACTCAGGCCCCATCACCTCCCCTGCACGGCTGCCATGCCTCCCCATCACCTGTCTCCTCTCCTTCCCGTTCTTCAAACCACTGCCCATGAACTCTTCCTGCAACAAAATCTGATATAGCTCTGGACCCTTCAAGAATCATCCACTCTGAACCTTTCAATCACCAGCCACTGCTCTGAGCATTAAGTCCAAATTCCTCCAGACAGCTTGGGACGACCCTGCTTGGCACCCAGCCTCGCCTCGACTCACCCAGACTGAACTTCAGTGGTCTGTGCACTCTTGCACCTCAGGGCCCTCAGCTAAACTGATGCTACTCCTTCCTACCCCTCTTCATCTCATTAACTCATATCTAATCTCTTCAAAGCACCTATTTAAAAAGCCGCTTCTTCCAGGAAGCCTCCCTTGGTAGTCCTTTCTCCCTCCTACCATTCACAGCTGTCTTGTGGCTGCCTACTTACTTGCCAATCCCCCATATCTACTTCAGTCCCTATTGTATCCCAGGGCCAAGCACACAGCAGTCATTTTGCAGGCACAGGGTAAATATTTACTGAATGCATGAATTTAGCCGAAATCCACTGAATGATTGCATTAACTTAAATAGCATTCAGTAGGTGCTTACATACACTTACTCGTTTAACCTCAATCTTATGCTACAACCACTATTACTACTCCCATTTAACAGAAAGGCTGCACACAGAGATTAACTTGCCTCAGGTCAACCAGTGCTAGGTCTAGGATCTGATCCCAAGCAGTTTGGTTCCAGCACCTACTCTCTTGACCTCAGAAAAATTAGCTTGCCAAAGAAAGTAAGGCAGTCAGGTTCAAAGAAGGTCTTAAACCTTTCATTTGTTTGTTTTTATTTTTTGAGATGGAGTCTCTCTCTGTCACCCAGGCTGGAGTGCAGTGGCACAATCTCTGCTCACTGCAGTCTCCGCCTCCCACGTTCAAATGATTCTCCTGCCTCTGCCTCAGTGTAGCTGGGATTACAGGCACACACCAACATATCTGGCTTTTTTTTTTTTTGGTAGAGATAGGATTTCACCATGTTGGCCAGGCTGGTCTTGAACTCCTGACCTCAAATGATTCACCAGCCTCAGCCTCCCAAAGTGCTGAGATTACAGGCGTGAGCCACCACGTCCGGCCTATTTGTTTGTTTTTAATGATCATTTCTAGATGAACAAGAAAAAGAAATCAATATATTTTAGGATAGTAACTAAAATCACAAAAGGTCAGGAAAACTAAAAGAATTTATACTGAGGTCATGAAACATGTAATCTAGTTAAGCATTTTCTGGAAAGAAACATCTTGCAAATAAACGCCCATCCAGAGGAATCATCAGCTATCCCCTACTTTCCATTAGAAGCTTCCCAACAGGACAGATCATGCTTATCTTTTAATGAATTTGTGTAACATTGAGTGTATTTACAGTAAAAATAAACGGGATAATGGAACTCTGCTGCATCGCAGATCCCAGGGTCCCAGATGACGGCTCCCTCGGGGCTGGCTCGGCTCCCTCGGGGCTGGCTCGTTCCATTAAGGAAACTTCCTGCAAATCAGAAGGAAGGAGCAGCTCCATCCATTCCTCTCGCATTCTAACGCTTGTAGGTCTTCACGATTTATTCTACTGTTCTACCTGCCAACCTGCTCCCAAATGAATCCAGTGCACAGCTTCCACCTGAAACTAAAAGTGAGCTTCACCCCACTCGAAAAGAAACCTAGAAGAAGGAATGAACCCATCTCCTCCTTGAGCTCATTCCTCAGGACTCACAAAACACTCAGAAAATGAGCAAATATCGGCTGGGCGCGGTGGCTCACACCTATAATCCCAGCACTTCGGGAGGCCGAGGCAGGTGAATCACGAGGTCAGGAGATCGAGACCATCCTGGCTAACATGGTGAAACCCTGTCTCTACTAAAAGTACAAAAAATTAGCCGGGCGTGGTGGCGGGCGCCTGTAGTCCCGCTACTCGGGAGGCTGAGGCAGGAGAATGGTGTGAAACCGGGAGGCAGAGCTTGCAGTGAGCCGAGATCGTGCCACTGCACTCCAGCCTGGGCGACAGAGCGAGACTCCGTCTCAAAAAAAAAAGAAAAAGAGCAAATATCAGAGTGACAACACACATCCGACACCCTCTTGGCTCTCCCCTCCTCATGATGTGACTTTAGAATCCTTTAAACAAAGCAGCTTAAAAGAGAATAATTGGCAAAATTATCTTCCCATGGGACTTTTAAGTCTGAGCACCTCACCTGCAAAGGCGGGCTGAGAAAGGCAAAGTTGTCTAGGAAAGGTGATTATACACTACTCAGACAGGTACAATCCACAAATGCTGTTTTTTTTGTTTTGTTTTGTTTTGTTTTGTCTGTTTTGAGATGGAGTCTCGCACTGTCGCCCAGGCTGGAGTGCAGTGGCACGATCTCGGCTCACTGCAAGCTCCGCCTCCCGGGTTCACGCCATTCTCCTGCCTCAGCCTCCCGAGTAGCGGGACTACAGGCACCCGCCACCACGCCTGGCTAATTTTTTGTACTTTTAGTAGAGACAGGGTTTCACCGTGTTAGCCAGGATGGTCTCGATCTCCTGACCTCGTGATCCGCCCGCCTTGGCCTCCCACAGTGCTGGGATTACAGGCATGAGCCACTGTGCCCGGCCCACAGATGCTGTTTAACTGCGGTTTTGAAGATGTTTTTGTTGTTGGATTGGTTTTACTTTTGTGTTTTAAAAGACTAAAGTTAAAACTAGCACCATGAAATGAAATATTTCATCAGAATTTAGGTAATGCAATCTATCCATAAAACAATCTTTTTAAACTGGTTTTTAGAGGTTTCTTTACACAGTATAGCATCTCCTCTCATAACCACAGGATACATCCCATCAAACTTACTCTTGTCCCCTGTGTCCACTAGACACCAATAAAAACAAGGAAGCTACCAACACTTTCTGGGAGTTTAAACAGCTGAAATGCCCTCTGGTAACACTGCACGGCAGATAAACCAACCGAGCACATTTTATGAAGAATGTCATCCTCCCAGACAATGACCAAACAGATGACTCTGGACCAGCAGGTCCCTGAAATATTGTGATGGAAAAATGTGAATGTACAGATGATAATTACTTTGGTTGTTTATCCATCTGTTTGCTTTCTCATATATATGGATTCATGACTACATTTAATCATCCTCCGAAGAATCATCTTGGTGAGGTTACAGGGCAATATAATAGAGTCACTGTAATTCAATAGACGCTTTTGATTTCCCTGATAAGATAGAGTTAGCAATTACTGTTTGCTATCACAACTCCAGTTCTTGTCAATACAAGTCAAATTTTACTTGATAAACTAATTACACAAACCCTGGCCAACTACAAAAAAAGGCACTCTGACTTATTTGAACTGAGAGTTTGTTTACTAAAATAGGTACTTTGGGCCAGGCGCAGTGGCTCACGCCTATAATCCCAGCACTTTGGGAGGCTGAGGTGGGTGGATCACTTGAGGTCAGGAGTTCGAGACTAGCCTGGCCAACATGGTGAAACTCCGTCTCTACTAAAAATACAAAAATTAGCCGGGCATGGTGGCAGGCGCCTGTAATCCCAGGTACTTGGGAGGCTGAGGCAGGAGAATCATTTGAACCCGGGAGGCAGAGGTTGCAGTGAGCCGAGATTATACCACTACACTCCAGCCTGGGTGACAGAGACCCTGTCTCCACAAAATAAATAAAACACATACTCTGAATATTGAGTACGAAGTGCTGCAGACTCCTGTCATCTAATATGGAAAACCACCTGGTTTGAAAGAATAAACAGAATGGTTTGCATGGATGTCTTCCTTCTAGAACAGTTTTATTCCAAATTATTCTCAATCAACTCCCAACTGCAAATTAAACCAAAATTACAAAGCAAGGCAAATCACTGAATCCCCAAATACTTTGATTCTGCCATCATCCCTGTAAACCGTGATTAATTCACAGGGCAAATTTCTTATCCATTACTGAGACTACAAAGAAATAACCAGATTAGAGGCAAAAACATCATTTGTGAAAAACAATTCTCAAAGGTTGGAAAGGCACTAGAGAGGAGTTGCACCCTTCTCCTTCTTGCTTCTCCTCCAAATCTGTCTTACCCTAGACTCTCCCAATGCCAGCCCCAACTCAGGGCTAAATGCAGCCACCAGCTCATGGAGGCTCCTATTCAGGCAACAAGGTAGGCGTGGCCTTCAAAGGACAAAGGAAGCAGTCTCCTTCATTGGGGACATGCGTCACACTTACAGCTGCCGAGAGAGGGACCCAAATACAGAAAGGCCTAATAATCTGACTTCTGGGATTAACAAACACCAAACCAAAGCATCCAAAGGAATGAAAGCAGCAGCACTAATCCACTTCCCTGAACTACAGCCCATCACAGAACACTGGTCTCGTGACGACTCGGACTCATCTGGACTGAAGAGTTTGTTTTCTAAAATAGGTATTTTGGGTCAGGCGCGGTGGCTCACGCCTGTAATCCCAGCACTCTGGGAGGCCGAGGCAGGAGGATCACCTGAGGTGAGTGATTACTAAATCAAGCTGCTACAAACGAGAGAAAAATTAAAAGATAACTTTAAGTTAAAGTAAAAACACTGATGTCCCTTAACCTACCAGCCTAAGAAATACAGCAAAAGTAAACAGGTACATGCAGAAATAGAAAAATTCATCCTAGAATTTAGATGAAATCTCAAAGGACCCTGAATAGCCAAAACAATCTTGAAAAAGAACAAAGCTAGCGGACTTGCACTTCCTGATTTCAAAATTTAGTACAAAGCTACTGCTATGGTCTGATGTCCCCCAGAATTCATGTGTTGAAACTCAATAGCCAATGTCATCGTTTTAAATGGTGGGACTTTGAGGGGTGACTAAATCAGGAGGATGAAACCTTCACGGATGGAATCAGGCCCCTTATAGAAGAGCTTAAGGAAGGGGGTTCCTTCCCTTGCATCCCTTCTGCCATGTGAGGGCACAGTGTTCATCCCTTCCGGTGTTCATCCCCTCCTGTGTTCATCCCCTCCGGTGCTCGTCCCCTCCGGTGTTCGTCCCCCCCCCGGTGTTCATCCCCCCACCGTGTTCATCCCTTCAGGTGTTCATCCCCTCCGGTGTTCGTCCCCTCCGGTGCTCATCCCCCCCGGTGTTTGTCCCCCCAGGTGTTCGCCCCCCCAGTGTTCGTCCCCCCGTGTTCATCCTTTCAGGTGTTCGTCCCCTCCTGTGTTCGTCCCCTCCTGTGTTCATCCCCTCCAGTGCTCATCCCCTCTGGTGTTCATCCCCTCCTGTGTTCGTCCCCTCCTGTGTTCATCCCCTCCGGTGCTCATCCCCGCTGGTGTTCATCCCCTCCTGTCTTCATCCCCTCCGGTGTTCATCCCCTCTGGAGAATGTAGCAGCAAGGTGCCATTTTGGAAGCAGGGAGCAGCCGTCATTAGACACAGAATTTGCTAGTGCCTTGATCTTGGACTTCCCAGCCTCCAGAACTATGAGAATAAATTGCTGTTATTTATAAACTATCCAGTCTCATGTATGTTGTCCTAGCAGCACAAATGGACTAAGAAAGAACTCATAATCAAAAGTGTCAATCAAAACAGCTGCCGTAAAGACAGATATACAGAGACCAATAGAAGAGAATAGAGAGCCCGGAAATAAATCCTCACGTATAAGGTCAAACGGTTTCAACAGAGAGCCAAGACCATTCAATGGGAAAGAACAATAAATGGTTTCAACAAATGGCTGAAGACTGGATATTCACAAGCAAAAAAATGAAGCCAGGCCGGGCGCAGTGGCTCTTGCCTGTAATCCCAGCACTTTGGGATGCTGAGGCGGGCGGATCACCTGAGGTCGGGAGTTTGAGACAAGCCTGACCAACATGGAGAAACCCTGTCTCTACTAAAAATACAAAAAATTAGCCAGGCGTGGTGGTGCATGCCTGTAATCTCAGCTACTCAGGAGGCTGAGGCAGGAGAATAGCTTGAACCCAGGAGGCAGAGGTTGTGGTGAGCTGAGATCGTGCCATTGCACTCCAGCCTGGGCGAAAAGAGTGAAACTCCATCTCAAAAAAAAAAAAAAAGATGAAGCTGGACTCTTCTACTATTCACAAAAGTTAACTCAAAATGGACAGAAGGCCTAAGCACAAGAGCTAAAACTGTAAAACTCTTAGCAGGAAACAGGGGAAAAACTTCGAGGCACTGGATTTGGCAATTATTTATTGGATATGACCTCAAGTGCACAGAAAACAACAATAACAAGATAAAGAAGTTGGACTTCATCAAAATTAAAAACTTTTGTGTATCAAAGGAGACTATCAACAGAGTAGAAAGGCAACACCACAGAATGGGATAAAATATTTCCAAATCCTATATCCACTAAGGGCTTAATATCCAGAATAAAGAATTCCTACAACTCAATAAAAACAAAGAAACATTAAAAATGGGCAAAGAGCTTGAATAAACATTTCTCCAAAAAGATACACAAATGATCAATAAGCTCATGAAAAAAAAGCTCAACATCACTAACCCTTAAGAAAATGAAAATCAAAAGGACAGTAAGATACCACTTCACACCCATAAGAATGGCTATGATTAAAAAGAAGACAAAAAAAAAAACAGAAAATAACAAGTGTTGGAGAAAAACAAGTGTGGAGAAACTCAAACCCCTGTGTACTAGTGGTGGGAATGTAAAACAGATAGAGCCACTATAGAAAACAGTACAGCAGTCCCTCAAAAAACTAAAAATAGAATTACTATATGACCTACCAATTCCACTTCTGGGTACACACTCAAAATAAGTGAAATCAGGGTCTTGAAGAGATATTTGTACACCCATGTTCATAGCAGCATTATTCACAAGAGCTAAAACATGGAGACAACCCAAGTATCCGTTGGCAATGGATGGATAAGCAAAACTGGCATATACAAACAATGGAATATTATTCAGCCTTACAAAGAAAGGAAATTACGACATATGCTAAAATACAGTGAACCATTAGGGCTTTAAACTAAGTGAAATAAGCCACTCACAAAATGACAAATGCCATTTGATTATGAAGTTCCTAGAGTCGTCTAAACTAAGTGAAATAAGCCACTCACAAAATGACAAATGCCATTTGATTATGAAGTTCCTAGATTCGTTCCTAGAATGGTGGCTGCCAGAGGCTAGGAAGAGGGGGAAGGGAGGGTTAGTGTCTGATGGGCACAGAGTTGCTTTGGGGAAGATGAAAAGAGTTCCGGTGACGAATGGTGCTGCTGTTTGCACAACATGAATGTCCTTAATACCACTGAACTGTACACTTAAAAATGGTTAAGACAGTAAATTTCATGGTATGTATGTTTTGCCACAATTTTATAAAATAAAGGAAAAAGAAGTAAGCACACATGTTCACCAGGGAACAGTTTGGGAATCTACTTCTCCCAATAAGTTTGATCATTTTTCTCTGATTTTACACTAATGTTTTGCATTCTTTATAAATGGGAGTCTTTGTCATGAAATACTTTGAACCAATACCAGAGGTGGGCAAACTACAGGTTAGAAGCCAAATCTCACTGTCACCAGTTTTTGTACTCCTGTGAGCTAAGAATGGTTTTTATGTTTTTAAATACTTTGGAAAAAATCAAAATAAGAATGTTTCATGACATGCAAAAACTATAGAGTATATACAAATTTCACTGTCTATAAATAAAGTTTTATTGGAACACAGCCATGCTTATGAGCCTATGCACTGTCTGTGGCTGCTTTTGTGTTACAATGGCAGAGCTGAGTAGCTGCAGCAGAAACCATGATGGCCCACAAAACCTAAAATATTTACTTTCTGGCCTTTTAACACAAAAAGTCTACAGCCAAGCACAGTGGCTCACGCTTGCAATCCCAATCCTTTGGGAGGCTGAGACACAAGGATCACCTGAGCTGAGGCCAAGAATTTGAGACCAGCCTGGGCAACATAGCAAAACCCTGTCTGTACAAAATGTTTAAAAATTAGCAAAGTATGGTGGTGTGCACCTGTAGTCCCAATTACTGGGGAGGCTGAGGTGGGAAGATCACTTGAGCCTAGGAGTTCAAGGCTGCAGTGAGCTATGACTGTGCCACTGCACTCCAGCCTGGATGACAAAGTGAGGCCTTGTCTAAAAAAATTAAAAAATGCCACTGTTTTCCAGAACAGCCCTACTTTCAAACATTTTGCAACAGTGCTCACACAAATCTTTAAAAAGTTCATGCAGTTTACACATTTCAGCCTCGTCCATTCAACAAATATTTACTAAGCACCAGCCCTGTGGCAAGGATGGCAGTAGATGCCTGCAGGGCAGATGCTGCCCTTATCCTCATGGAGTTAGATGGTGGAGATGGCCCAGGAACCAGGCGATCCCAAGGCAGTATTCAGCACTGCCCTCTGATTCACAGGATGCTGGGACAGCTCAGAGTAGGGGCACCTTAACCACAGGAAGGCAAGTATCCAAGGGATAGAGAGAAGTTAGGCAAACAGCAGAACACACAGGAAGGAAAGGAGAGAGGCGGAAGGAAGGAAGAGCTGCTGGTGAGGAAGGTGCATTCCAGGTTGAGAGAAGAGGACATCATCACTCTCTGACAGCTCAAGGATGTGGCTCAGCCTGGCTGGACGTCCCAGCAGCAGCACAGAGGGCAGGGCAGGCCAGACCCCCACTGGGCCTTTAAAGAACAAGCCTCCAATCTGCATCTCCCAGGCCCTCCTACATGGATGCAAGCCAGAACTCCTCTGGGGGCTGCCAGCCAAGATTTGGCATAGAGCAATTATGATCTCCAACTTCCGGCCCTACTGCAGGGGGCTGCACAAACCCAGCACACATGAACACAGTGTAGATTAAAGCCACACAATCACTAAGCAAAGTATATTAATATTTACAGCTGTTCTTCCAACTTCACGGAGTTCTTCATGGACAATCTCTAGATAAAAATCAGCAACATCCTAATTGAGGCTTTTTATGTGGTTATGATATAATAGTCTACATTCCAAAAAAAGTTTTATATTTCTCTCTTTTTTTGAGACGGAGTCTCGCTCTGTCACCCAGGCTGGAGTGCAGTGGCGTGATCCGCTCACTGCAAGCTCCGCCTCCTGGGTTCACACCATTCTCCTGCCTCAGCCTCCTGAGTAGCTGGGACTACAGGCGCCTGCCACCATGCCTGGCTAATTTTTTGTATTTTTAATAGAGACAGGGTTTCACCGTGTTAGCCAGGATGGTCTCCTGACCTCATGACCCGCCCACCTTGGCCTCCCAAAGTGCTGGGATTACAGGCGTGAGCCACCGCACCCGGCCTAGTTTTATACTTTCCATAATCCTTATTGTTACCCTATGTGCACAGGGCTTTATCAAGAAGACAAAAAAAAAAAAAAAAAAAAAAAACTCGTAAATTCCAAATAGGCTGTGACTAGCTGTGCTAGCAAGCCATGCACAAAGTTAGACTCACAGCAGGTACGAAAGTAGGTTAAGTTGACACACATCTTTTCAACAGGAAAAAAACAAAACAAAAAACCTGCAATGTGGATTTAAAGAGATTGCCCAGTCTTGCTCCAAATGTATGGCTCCATGTCAGGTATCAGTGATTTTTAAAGATAATGTTATAACTCGTCTTTGGGTATTTGCAGAATTTATCAGCTTTGGATTCTAAACGACCAAGTGTTACGATTATGAAAAAGTGAGTCGAATGGTGCACGGCTTCTCTCCGAAGGTGGGAGCCTGCAACAGAGCCCCAGTGGTGTCGGGGCGAGCCCCACAGCACGTGGGTCACACTCAAGGCTACCCCTGAGCGTAGCATTTGTCACACAGGTTCTGACTCAACATCAACGGTGCCCCTTTCTCAGAAGCACAAATGACAAGGCAGGTGCCAGGCTGTTTTGTTTTGGTAATAAAAATCTAGATCCTGTTTAGACTAAAGACAATAGAAATACTATATATAAAATTTGAGTTTTCAGCCTGGGCAACAAGAGTGAAACTTAGTCTCAAAAAAAAAAATCTGAGTTTTAAGAGTAAAATAGGTTGGGTGCAGTGGATAACACATGTAATCCCAGCACTTTGGGAGGCCAAGAGGAGGGCAGATTACAAGGTCAGGAGTTCGAAACCAGCCTGTCCAACATGGCAAAACCTCATCTCTACTGAGAAATTACAAAAATTAGCTGGGCATGGTGGTGGGTGACTGTGATCCCAGTTACTTGGGAGGCTGAGGCAGGAGAATCACTTGAACGTGGGAGGCGGAGGTTGCAGTGAGTGGAGATCACACCATTGAACTCCAGCCTAGGCAACAGGACCGAAACTCTGTCTCAAAAAAAAGATTAAAATAGCTTCAAATTCACTATTATAAGATCAATGGAGAATTCATGTTGGAGAGGTTCAAATGGCCCCTCAGCAAATGTCTCCCTCCTCCCACAAAACATCAATGCCTCAAAGAGAAGCAGAAGGAATACACACCTCATCATTTCCAGGGGCGGAACCTCCCGTTTGCCCTGCATGTATGTCCTCCTGCTCATCCGGGGGGCTGACTCAGGGCACTCCAAAATCAATGTCCTGCTTCCTCCATCTTTTTACCCCCTCCCTAGGCCAGCAGGCAGGACAGGGAACCCTCAGCAAATGCCACATGCAAAACCCAGGAAGTACAGGGAGCTCTACAGAATCCTTGTGCATTCTTACATTGTTTAACTTTTACAGGCAGGAGGCAACCCAGCTCTAGAGGACACCGAAGGGCCCAGGCTGGCTTCTTCCTTACCCCTCTGACAGTGGCAAAAGTTAAATCCTTAAGGACAGACAGTATCATTTCTCATCTTGGCACTTACAGTAACAGCTTCACCCAACGAAAGGTGTCCACTGGGAGAGGCTGCCGCTGTAGGCATCTACTACACAGCACAAACATTAACCATTTTGATCAGAAACATTTGTTTCCCCTAAAATAAAGTTGTACTTTCACCTCAACGCACCCACAAGAGCTGCAAATCTCAACACCTCCACAGAATCTGTCCTGATTGTGGGAAGCCCTGCCACATTGGCAGCCTCCCAGAGGAAGGTCCCCACATCAAGGCCCTGGCCCTGGGCCTTCTGCTTGTCCAGACATCCAAAGCCAAGGTCCTCCCAGTCCTCCTCCACAAGCTCAAAAATGCCTCAGACTCCTCCACATATATCCAGGCCAACCTATGGAAAAAGGACTGAAGGACACATATACGAGAGACCCCAGAGCAGGAGGGGAGGAGTTGGCCAGGAGCTGACGGTGACACTGGGCCCAGTTCTTGGCCTGATCTGAACTCTGGGCACCTGCGGTGAGGGAAAGTTCCCCCAAGTCTGGCAGTAATTGAACCAAATGTCAAGCGGAGAGGGACTTGGAGATATTCTGCAGTCGCCTGTGCCCTGTGCATCAGCCAGTGGCCCAGTGCGCCCACCTCTACCAGTGAGGGCCGTGGTACTTCAGCGACGGTCCACCCCTTACCTACCACAAAGGGCCTCCTAAGCTCAGCTCAACAGGGGCTCTGGAACCTGCACTGCTGGGCCTTGTTTCCCCTGGTGCCACCAGACCAGGTCCCACCCGCTGCTCCAAGACAGAGTCCCACACGGCCACATATCCTGGTGTCTCCGCCTCTCCAAACCTCACAGCTGCAGTGTTCCAATGCTCCTCCAGTTCAGCCTGGAATGGTGCTAATTTTACTTTTCGAGAAATCCTATCAGCCTGTTGATTGGGTTTAGTCAAAAGCAATCTCTAGGTCTTCCCGGGAGGACAGGATTTTTGTTTGTTCTGTTTTTTGGAGACACGGGTCTTACTATTTTGCTCAGGCTGGGCTTGAACTCATAATCGTCCTGCCTCAGCCTTCGGCATAGCTGAGACTAGGCGCATGCCAACACACCCCGCCCCAGCATGGCTTTGAAGGCCCTTCTCTGCTATTTTGCAGTCATCAGCTGATCCAAGTCCCTAATTTTAAACTTCACATTTAGCCTGCAGGAGGTTCCTTCAATGCTAGGCCTGTGGGCTCAGATAATCAAGCACTCTGAATACTGATTCTGGAGTTCAGCTTTGACTATCCTCAACCTTCCAGAATCCACACATCCAATACGTAGCATCTCAGGAGTCATCAGCGTCTCCATCAATATTCTATGAACTGTCTCAGTGGCCCACTTTTATTCCATCTTGCTAACAAAAGACTTAATGCCTTTCTACTACCTGACAATTCTTTGTTACCTTTCTAAGTAACCTCTGGAAGGGGAGATTGAGTTTGAGCTGGCTGGGCTAATAATAATGCCAGGTACTCTGTACCAGGCACAAGATTAAGCACTTTCCAGTGACTCTGCATCCTCCCGAAGCCCAGGGAGAGCAGGGGCCACGCATATCCTCAGTCGATAGATGAAGACACATTGGTTCCTGGAAGTGACAGGAAGGCCGTCCGCCAGAGCCTGACTGCATAAACTCTGTGCTGTACCACCTCCCGCTTCAGAATGGCTTCCCTGAAATACATGGGAATGTGGAGCTGGAAAACTCCTGGAAAGTCGACCACCCCATTCAACAGATGAGGCCCCACCCCAACCCCAGTGGGGGCTTCTGTCTTTGGATTCTATCCATGCCTCTCCAAGTCTGAGCCCATGAGAGGCTTCCAGCAAAAACACACTGTTGTGTTCCCTGTGCTCAGCTCAGCTCGGGCTCCTGAACCTGCACTTCTGGGCCTCGCTTCCCCCGGTGCCACCAGACCAGGTACCACCCACTGCTCCAAGACAGACTTCCACACAGAGAAGGATCAGCCATGCATCCTGGTGTCTTCACCCCTCCAAACCTCACAGCTGCACAGCGTGCAAATGCTCCTCCAGGACAGCCTGGAATGGTATTCATTTTAATTTTATAGAAAGTGAAAGTATCCCGTCTGGACTTCTCCCCCTGGCTTCTATCCATGTCTCTCCAAGTCTAAGCTCATGAGAGGCTTGCAGTGAAAACACACTGTTGTCTCTCCCACCCACCATCCTCTGGGATTATACTGCCCAGATCTTATTTCCGAGATACTCCATCCCTCCTGGGTCAGAGACCTGGCTCGGTGGGCGTGCAGCAACTAGCCCAAGAGAATTCCCAACTCCAAAATAAACTGGCTTCCTGGGGCCCCCATCCTCGACGCAGGGAATCTGATGCTGGCACTGCCCATGGGCAGGGGAGATGGGCCCTTGCAGGATCTGATGAAGAGACAGGGAGTCCGTCCTCTATCAGCTCCCCTTTCATGTCCTCAGGTCAAGCATCTCAAAACTGTCAGAAACCACCTGATGTCCAAATAGCCAAAAACCCAGTAGGGGGTACTCACCTAGAGAAAACCAGGGACTGGGCCCCGAGTCCTTGTGCTGATGTCCACACTTCTCTGCCATGGCTAATGCAATCGGGGCAGCACAGGCAGCTTTGTCTCTACATGTCTTAGATGCCAACCTTGGCAAAACCTTGCCTTGGCCTGGACTCCTGTGCACGAGGCCAGTGACCCCAGGCCAGGCCTTGCCCATGCAAGGCCTTCAACCACAGAATCAGAATCTCCAGTCTCACAAGGCTGGAGAGGGCCAGCCCTGGAAATGCAGGAGGAGGCGCTGCATCCCCTCTAAGGAGACAGAACAGCAAAGCGGCCAAGAGGACCACCGGCGCCCATGCCAACCCACCCGGGAAGGGCACCTGTTCCCCACCCCGATGGTCACGGGGAAGGCTCAGGGAGGTAAGAAGTGAAGCACGTAGTGCAGGCCTGGGCCAGAGGAAGTTCAGCCAGCCTTTGCTGCTGTGTCCAAGAATCGTGCAACTAAATGAAACACAGAAGTGCCACGTGACCCCGCAATTCCACTCCGAGGTCCATACCCAAGAGAACTGAGCACCTGCTCAAACACACATGTGGACATGAATGTTCCCAGCAGCACCAGTCACAAGAGCCAAAAGGTGGAAAGAACCCACAAGTCCATCACAAGGGGAACGGACAAACAAATCGTGGTCTACTCATACAGCAGAATGCTATTCCACCACAGAAAGGAATGAAGCAGCAATCCATGCCACAGTGTGGATAAGCACGCTAAATGGACGAAGGCAGACACAAGGACCACACACGTGGGATCTGCATTTTTATGAACTAACCAGGACAGATAAATCCAGAGACACAGAACACAGTTTGGTGGTGGCCAGGAGCTGGGGGAAGAGGAAAAAAAAGAAGAAACTGCTAAATGGGTACATGGCTTTCCTTTGGAGTGATAGAAATGTCTTGGACTACGCAGTGGCGGTGGCTGCACAACACTGTGACCTTCTAAATGCCACTGAATTGTTCTTGTTAACGGTTAGCTACATGTTATGTGACTCTCACCTTCATTATTTTGTTTTTAAATCATGCAACTGATTCATGAACTTAAACAACTGTGCCCTGAAGTGCCCTCCCGCCTGCTTCCCCTGCCCCTCCCCGCAATGGTCCCTCCATCCTGAGGTTCTCAGGACAAAAGTCCTACCTGTTAAACGGGCCTGAGCACTCCTGGCCCTCACCCAACCTCTCTCCCATGCATCTGAAGCTGGAGCCCAGGTAGCGCCTCCCTCAGGCTCCTCCCAGTCTGCCGCTCTCCCTCTGCTTCCCTCCACATCCTCGGCGTCCTCCAAGGCTCGCCAGGAGCCTCCTTGGTGAAGCTTCCCAGAGACTCCACCATGAGTACTGAGCCCCAGGCCCCTTCTCTGGCCAACAGCAAACACTCTGAAGCTCCTAACTGTCACCCTGTGGTCCACTTCTCTACTAGATTAGGGAGCAAAGTCCAATAAATGATAATATCTCCTGGGTGTCAACACTGAATCCTCATGAAAACACTAAGGGGTAGCAATTGCTTTTCTCCCCAGTTTACAGGTGAGCACACCAAAGCATAGAGGGTGAGGTAAATTCCAAAAATTACAACCAGCAATCTGGGGAAAATGGTTCATCCCCAGATCAGTCCAACTGCAAACCATCTCTTAACCCTCTGGGATTCCAGGTCAATGGAATGTAGCCCATAAGAGGCTCTGATCCTGGATTGCAGAATCAATTCCAATGCAAATAAGCTTCCATGGAATTCCACCTGTACCTGATGGATCTAAACACGGCTGGAAGCTCTGCCTCCAGCCTACAGTCTTTCTAGACAGAGAGGCCCTCGTCAAATGAGACATGTGAAAATGCCCAAGAGATTAAAGGCCTCCCGCCAAGCCTCTGAAAGTGACCTGATTAAATACTTAACTGTAATACCAGTCTAGACCAACAGATCAAGCCTCCTGGCTCACGCCAACAGTGGCTATGGGGTGATTGTACAAAATAACGCTTAGAAATAGAGGAGAGGAAGAAAGGAAGCCCATTTCTCTTTAGTTTCTGGTAAATTGGGTGGTAAATTGCCCCAGAGCCTCCACTCCTTGGCTTGTGGTCGTGTAACACCCACTTCTGCCTCCATCCTCACATGGCTGAGTTCTCATGCGTCCCTCCTCTTCTTAACAAGGACATCACGCATATTGGATTAAAGGCCCACCCTAACCCAGTATGACCACACCTTAAGCTGGAGGCTTAAGAATACTGGGCAAGTTCACAAGTCAGACTGCAGGCTCCACTGAGGCCCTTGGGGGCAGGGCCTGAGACACATGGACACCAGCCGAGGACACAGCTCTCAGGACACAGCTGAGTTCTCATGTGTCCCTCCTCTTCTTAACAAGGACACCAGGCATCCTGGATTAAAGGCCCACCCTAATCTAGCATGACCACATCTTAAGCTGGAGGCTTAAGAATACTGAGCAAGTTTACGAGTCAGGCTGCGGGCTCCACTGAAGTCCCTGGGGGCAGGGCCTGGGACGCATGGACACCAGCCGTGGACACGGCTCTCAGCAGCTCATCAGGCTGAACCCTGGCCCACAGCAAGAGCCCAGGGAGATGGGTCCCACGAGCTCATGCTGTTCCTCCAGGCCCTTATTCGACCTGGGAGGCTCCGAGTCCTTTCTCCCATTCACGGCTTATTCTCACTCTGCTGAACGCCTTCACTCTGTGCATGTTTCATTTTTTCAGCTTCTCCAACGAGCGACACGAGGCTAGGATGTGCCGTTCCCACTGCTGAGAACACTTAGCCCCTCTTCCCCTGAGTATCTTCAGTATGTCTGTCAGAGTCCAGAAACAATACACCCCTCACTGGCGTTCGCAGACCAGGTGGCACCTGGGTAGGTGCCCCTCACCTGCACGGCAGGTGTCTTCCCTGAGACCACTCACCTCTCCGCCGAGCATGGTAACTGCCTGGCCCCAAGTCCTTCCTGCTAGGCAGCCACAGCAACCCAAGGGTGGACACCAAGCTGGTGTTGTTCTTCACTGAGTCCTTAACGCCTAGGGAGGGTGTCGCCACGTGGGCAGCTCTGACTACGCGTCTACTGAATGAACACGTGAAAGAATGAAGACAGGCCGGGCGCGGTGGCTCACACCTATAATCCCAGCACTTTGGGAGGCCGAGGTGGGCGGATCACCTGAGGTCAGGAGTTCGAGGCCAGCACGACCAACAAGATGAAACCCCGTCTCTACTAAAAATACAAAAATTGGCTGGGCATGGTGATGGGCACCTGTTATTCTAGCTACTCGGGAGGCTGAGGCAGGAGAATCGCTTGAACCCGGGAGGCGGAGGTTGCAGTGAGCCGAGATGGCCACTGCACTCCAGCCTGAGCGACAGAGTGAGACCCTGTCTCAAAAAAAAAAGAATGAGACAGTAACTCACGGACATCCTCTTTGGAAAGAAAGGAAGAGATCATCAGCTCGGCCTCTAACTCCAAAGTTCACTGCTCCAGGGGAATCTGGAATGCACATTTCAATGCCTAGTCCCTCTGGACGGAAGGCAGTTAATTCTCTCCTGCTCACCTCCAGTTCTGGTCAACAACATTCACATCAAATCCAAACTGAAAGAAAAAGCAGATCAGAGACGGAAATCTGCTATCATGGTCACACACCTGGCGTGGTAGTCACCACCGCACTCTCTAGGCAGTTTTCTTCTAAAAAGACGACGCAAAATACACCGGAGCACAATTGTTCTGAGCCTTATTTCCTCAATGACTGGAGATAAGACAAGATGCAGGGCGCCAATGGTCTGAAGTGAGCACTAAAAGCCTACAAGTCTCTCCTTCTCAATTGCCCACTAACAGAAATACTTTTTCCCCTGTGTCTCAACTGCATTTCTACGACTGTGTCAGTATCCCGGGGCTGCCACACAAAGTACCAAAGCTTGGTGGCTTCTAATAACAGATATTTATTTTCTCACAGTTTCAGAGGCCAGATGTCAGAAATTAAGGTGCCTACAGGGCCATGCTCCCTCCAAACCCTCTGGGGGAGACTTCCTCCTTGCCTCTTCCAGCTCCAGGGAGCCCTACGGGCTGCTGGACACTCCTTGGCTTGCGGCCGTGTAACGCCCACTTCTGCCTCCATCCTCACTTGGCTGAGTTCTCACGTGTCCCTCCTCTTCTTAACAAGGACACCAGGCATATTGGATTAAACGCCCACCTTAATCCAGTATGACCACATCTTAACGAATTACATCTGTGATGACCCCATTTCCAAGTAAGGTCACACTCTGAGGCACTAAGGGTTAGGACTTCAACCTGTCTTTTCAGGGGACTCAACCCATAACCTCCTCTGGCATAGAATGTTTATTAAGTGATACAGTCGTAAAACTGCAAGATAAGTAGTTGTGTTTTCCCTTAAGTTGACATGTAAATATATGAAAATACTTACGGGAAAATGTTGTTCAAAGTTCTTTTTTTTCTTTTGTCTACTTTTCCTGGAAATCTCAATTCACACTGACGTTTGTACCTATTTTCGAGCTGAGAGCAAACATCAAGTGTTTTATGTGGAAATCTGATGATTCTTAACAGCTCTCTAGTATTTAAAAAAAAAAAAGAAAGAAAGAAAAGAAAACAGAAGACAAAACACTTCGGTGGCTCTGTCACCGGATCAATTTTCAGGCTTACATGGTGCCCCGATGGTACTCCCATGTAGCAGGTGGCTACCAGGTGTCGGGCACGATGCTGAACATTTTACCCCTATCACATCACTCTTTTCTCCAGTCACAGGAAGCAAGTACTATTTATCCCCACCCTACAGATGTGCAAACTGAGGCTCAGAGCGGTTAACTAACTGGGCCAAAGTCAAACAGGAATTAAGGAGTTTGCACCCAGCTAGGCACCTCCCTCACGGGTTCAGTTTATGGAGCTCAGGGCCAAAGATTCTCAGTGTTACCAGCTCAACCCATCCCACTCCAACCCCACCCAACACACATAGCAGGCACACCCCACATCACACCCTACTGTGACATAAGCCCATCCTGGAGATTCTCCAGCTATAGCCTGGAGTTGTAGACCTATTTCTGCAGATGCACCTAGGCGCACACACACACACACACACACACACACACACACACACACACACACAGACTCTGCAATGTGTGTGTATGTGTTTAGACATGTTCACATAAGGCCGGCCAGGGTGGCTCACGCCTGTAATCCCAGCACTTTGGGAGGCCGAGGCAGGCGGATCACGAGATCAAGAGATCGAGACCATCCTGGCCAACATGGTGAAATCCCGTCTCTATTAAAAACACAAAAATTAGCTGGGCGTGGTGGTGGGCGCCTGTAATCCCAGCTACTTGGCAGGCTGAGGCAAGATAATTGCTTGAACCCGAGAGGCAGAGTTTGCAGTGAGCTGAGATCGTGCCACTGCCCTGCAGCCTGGAAACAGAGCGAGACTCCGTCTCAAAAAACAAAACAAAACAAAAATGTTCACATGAGTACCCTGAGTAGTAAGAGAAGACACCAAGAGATCTGATGGATAAAATGAAAAAGCAGGTCTGGTTACTGGCAGGACTTCACCCAGCTCTAACTACATGTATATGTGTGTGTGCATAAATAAAAGTGTTTTAGAAAATCAGCCTATGGTATGTTAGGCTTATTGCCCAGAAAGGTGGGCTGTATGAAACAGGAAATACTAATAAAAACTGAAAACAAGACTCAACACCACCGTTCAGTTTCTCCAGGCTAGTGATGCTTTCCCAGCCATAAGATGAATCATGACTAGATCAGTGATAGAGGCGGGAAGCCCAGTGAGAATTTTCTAAACCAGTTTTTAAAAACGTGGGTTGACACATTTAAAAAGAATCTGCAAAGCTGATGCACCTATGTGCAGGTAAGCAGTAGACTTTGGCAGGTAAGTCAAATACTGAGTTTGTACAATGGAAGTACTAATGCTACAGTATGTATGCCACAATTATTAAAAGTTTGTCCTTAAGAAACACTTTCATCCAATCCTTCATTTCCAGGGACTTAGATCCTTCA